>NC_000003.12:50919090-51222121 GCF_000001405.40 Homo sapiens
GAGGGCTCTGTTCTGTTCCATTGGTCTATATCTCTGTTTGGTACCAGTACCATGCTGTTTTGGTTACTGCAGCCTTGTAGTATAGTTTGAAGTCAGGTAGTGTGATGCTTCCAGCTTTGTTCTTTTGGCTTAGGATTGTCTGGGCAATGCGGACTCTTTTTTGGTTCTATATGAACTTTAGTTTTTTCCAGTTCTGTGAAGAAAGTTATTGGTAGCTTGATGGGGATAGCATTGAATCTATAAATAACCTTGGGCACTATGGCCATTTTTACGATATGATTCTTCCTATCCATGAGCATGGAATGTTCTTCCATTTGTTTGTGTCCTCTTTTATTTCGTTGAGCAGTGGTTTGTAGTTCTCTTTGAAGAGGTCCTTCACATCCCTTGTAAGTTATATTCCTAGGTATTTTATTCTCTTTCAAGCAGTTGTGAATGGGAGTTCACTCATGATTTGGCTCTCTGTCTGTTACTGGTGTAGAGGAATGCTTGTGATTTTTGTACATTGATTTTGTATCCTGAGACTTTGCTGAAGTTGCTTATCATCTTAAGGGGATTTTGGGCTGAGATGATAGGGTTTTCTAACTATACAATCATGTCATCTGCAGACAGGGACAATTTGACTTCCTCTTTTCCTAATTAAATACCCTTTATTTCTTTCTCCTGCCTGATTGCCCTGACCAGAACTTCCAACACTATGTCGAATAGGAGTGGTGAGACAGGACATCCCTGTCTTGTGCCAGTTTTCAAAGGGAATGCTTCAGTTTTTGCCCATTCAGTAAGATATTGGCTGTGGGTTTGTCATAAATAGCTCTTATTATTTTGAGATACATCCAATCAATACCTAGTTTATTGAGAGTTTTTAGCATGAAGCGCTGTTGAATTTTGTCAAAGGCCTTTTCTGCATCTATTGAGATAGTCATGTGGTTTTTGTCTTTGGTTCTGTTTATATGATGGATTATGTTTATTGATTTGCATATGTTGAACCAGCCTTGCATCCCAGGGATGAACAACTTGATCATTGTGGATAAGCTTTTTGATGTGCTGCTGGATTCGGTTTGCCAGTATTTTATTGAGGATTTTTGCATCGATTTTCATCAGGGATATTGGTGTAAAATTTTCTTTTTTTGTTGTGCCTCTGCTAGGCTTTGGTATCAGGATGATGCTGGCCTCATAAAATGAATTAGAGAGGATTCCATCTTTTTCTGTTGAGTGGAATAGTTTCAGAAGGAATGGTACCAGCTCCTCTTTGTACCCCTGGTCGAATTTTGCTGTGAATCCGTCTGGTCCTGGACTTTTTTTGGTTGGTAGTCTATTAATTATTGCCTCAATTTCAGAGCCTATTATTGGTCTATTCAGGGATTCACCTTCTTCCTGGTTTAGTCTTGGGAGGGTGTATGTGTCTAGGAATTTATCCATTTCTTCTAGATTTTCTAGTTTATTTGTGTAGAGGTGTTTATAGTATTCTCTGATGGTAGTTTGTATTTCTGTGGGATTGGTGGTGTTATCCCCTTTATCATTTTTTATTGCATCTATTTGATTCTTCTCTCTTTTCTTCTTTATTAGTCTTGCTAACGGTCTGTCAATTTTGTTGATCTTTTCAGAAAACCAGCTCCTGTATTTATTGATTTTTTGAAGGGTTTTTTGTGTGTCTATCTCCTTCAGTTCTGCTCTGATCTTAGTTATTTCTTGCCTTCTGCTAGCTTTTGAATGCGTTTGCTCTTGCTTCTCTAGTTCTTTTAATTGTGATGTTAGGGTGTCAATTTTAGATCTTTCCTGCTTTCTCTTGTGGGCATTTAGTGCTATAAATTTCCCTCTACACACTGCTTTGAATGTGTCCCAGAGATTCTGGTATGTTATGTCTTTGTTCTCATTGGTTTCAAAGAACATCTTTATTTCTGCCTTTATTTTGTTATGTACCCAGTAGTCATTCAGGAGCAGGTTGTTCAGTTTTCATGTAGTTGAGCAGTTTAGAGTGAGTTTCTTAATCTTGAGTTCTAGTTTGATTGCACTGTGGTCTGAGAGACAGTTTGTTACAATTTCTGTTCTTTTACGTTTGCCTGAGGAGTGCTTTACTTCCAGTTATGTGGTCAGTTTTGGAATAAGTGTGATAAGTGATCTTTTCACACAGTCCCATATTTATTGGAGGCTTTGTTCATTTCTTTTTACTCTTTTTTCTCTAACTTCTCTTCTGCTTCATTTCATTCAGTTGATCTTCAGTCACTGATACCCTTTCTTCCACTTGATCAAATTGGCTGCTGAAGCTTGTGCATGTGTCACGTAGTTCTTGTGGCGTGGTTTTCAGCTCCATCAGGTTATTTAAGGTCTTCTCTATGCTGTTTATTCTAGTTAGCCATTCGTCTAATCTTTTTTCAAGGTTTTTAGCTTCTTTGCGATGCGTTTGAACATCCTCCTTTAGCTCGAAGAAGTTTGTTATTACTGATCGTCTCAAACCTTCTTCTCTCAACTCGTCAAAGTCATTCTCCATCCAGCTTTGTTCCGTTGCTAGCGAGGAGCTGCATTCCTTTGGTGGAGAAGAGGTGCTCTGATTTTTAGAATTTTCAGCTTTTCTGCTCTGGTTTCTTCCCATCTTGGTGGTTTTATCTGCCTTGGTCTTTGATGATGGTGACATACAGCTGGAGTTTTGGTGTGGATGTCCTTTCTGTTTGTTAGTTTTCCTTCCAGCAGTCAGGACCCTCAGCTGCAGGTCTGTTGGAGTTTGCTGGAGGTCCACTCCAGACCCTGTTTGCCTGGGTATCACCAGCGGAGGCTGCAGAACAGCAAATATTGCAGAACGGCAAATGTTGCTGCCCAATCCTTCCTCTGGAAGCTTCATCTCAGAGGGGCACCTGGCTGTATTCGGTGTCAGTCAGCCCTTACTGGGAGGTATCTCCCAGTTAGGCTACTCAGCGGTAAAGGACCCACTTGAGGAGGCAGTCTGTCCATTTTCAGGTCTCAAACTCTGTGCTGGGAGAACCACTTCTCTCTTCAAAGCTGTCAGACAGGGACGTTTAAGTCTGCAGAAGTTTCTGCTGCCTTTTGTTCAGGTATGCCTTTCCCGCAGAGGTGGAGTCTACAGAGGCAGGCAGGCCTCCTTGAGCTGCCATGGGCTCTACCCAGTTCAAGCTTCCTGGCCACTTTGTTCATCTACTCAAGCCTCAGCAATGGCAGACGCCCCTCCCCTGGCCTCACTGCCTCCTTGCAGTTTGATCTCAGACTGCTGTGCTAGCAGTGATCGAGGCTCCGTGGGTGTAGGACCCCCTGAGCCAGGCATGGGATATAATCTCCTGGTGTGCTGTTTGCTAAGACTGTTGGAAAAGCATTGTATTAGGGTGGGAGTGTCCAATTTTCCAGTTACTGTCTGTCATGGCTTCCCTTGGCCAGGAAAGGGAATTCCCCGACCCCTTGCGCTTCCCACGTGGGGCAATGCCCCGCCCTGCTTCGTGGGCTGCACCCACTGTCTGACAAGCCCCAGTGAGATGAACCCGGTACCTCAATTGGAAATGCAGAAATCACCTGTCTTCTGCGTTGCTCACGCTGGGAGCTGTAGACTGGAGCTGTTCCTTTTTGGCCATCTTGGAACCTCCTCCACCTCTGAAGTTTTGTACTTTTGTTTTTTGTTCTTGTCAATTCTAAGGTTTATGCACTTAGCCAGTTTATTTTTAGTCTTTTTTTTTTTTTTAATTTTTTTCTCTCCATAGGTTGTTGGGAACAGGTGGGGTTTGGTTACATAAGAAAGTTCTCTAGTGGTGATTTGTGAGATTTTGGTGTACCCATCACCCAAGCAGTATACACTGCACCCAATTTGTTGTGTTTTTATGCCTCTCCCCCTTCCCACCTTTTCCCCGAGTCCCCAAAGTCCATTGTATCATTCTTAAGCCTTTTCATCCTCATAGCTTAGTCCCACTTATGAATGAGAACATACTATTCTTGGTTTTCCATTTCTGAGTTACTTCACTTAGAATAATAGACTTCAGTCTCATCCAGGTTGCTGTGAATGCCATCAATTCATTCTTTTTTATGTCTGAGTAGTCTTCCATCATATATATATACACCACAGTTTCTTTATCCAGTTGTTGATTGATGGGCATGTAGCTTGGTTCCACATTTTTGCAATTGCAAATTGTGCTCCTATAGACATGTGTGTGCAAGCATCTTTTTTTGTATAATGACTTCTTTTCCTCTGCATAGATTCCCAGTAGTGGGATTGGTGGATCAATGGTAGTTCTACTTTTAGTTCTTTAAGGACACTCCACGCTATTTTCCATAGTGGTTTTTATTTTTAGTCTTTTGTCATGCAAGAATTGAATATTATGGAATTCCCTCTATATAATGCCTTAGCTGCATTCCACAATATTTAATACTTAGTATAAATTTACTAATTGATAATCTCACGAATATTCTCCTTTAGTTTTATAATGTTTCTCTTTTGCTCTTCTCTAAATTGTAGATTTTAGTGTAAAGCTAAACCTTATCACTACCTTTTTAAAAATAGGTGGGGAAACAATCACTGGGGAATGGAGGAGGGGAAAAGTCAATGAAGTTAAATTTATAAATATATACATGACATAGCAAGGAATAATATATTATGGACATTACAGACATGTTTCTCTACCTGGTCACAGAAATTAATTTGTGTTAATGATTTCCTTACTTTACCTCCCATTTTATAATTTCTTTGCCTTAGCCAGGTACTACTTAGCTGTGGTATTTGAGCCCTTGATGGTTTACTGTGCAGAGGGATGCTGTAGTCTTCCACTAATTTTTACCACAGAGCATGATAGTATTATGATATTCCCTGGGGATCTTTTGGGTTCCATTCATGCTTCTTCCTACTCTGTTGTATAGCACCAAAAGTACTTCTGTTGAAGACTTGTAAAAATCATGCCAACCAATGCCAAAACTGCTGCTGTTTTTGTTTGTTTGTTTGTTTGTTTGTTCAGTGGCAGGGGTAACCTGAACCTGAAATGGCCTCATGGGAATCTCAGCTTCAATATAATTGAATCATATTGTTATCTGTGTATGCATGTTTCCCTTGAATTCTAAATTAGCAGAGCCAGAGTCCTCAAAGATAGAAAGCAAAAAATTTGCAAGTGAGTCATTAGGTGTGAGAATGAGAAGTTGTCTTTTACATTTCTACTTCATGTTTCTGGACCCATGTATTGTGGTTATGGGAGAAACATAACTTTATATTAGTTACTGGTTCAGAATAATTGTCGCAATTTGTGGATTGCCCCATCATTAAAAAAGCTAGCATAACAAAGTCTTCTATAGTCTTGTCTATTGTTCTATACAGTCTGTTGCTCTGGATGATGAAGTAATTAGTAAGATCAGTTAATCTGTGAGTGTCAGCTCCTTATCTTCCTTCTTTGTGTTTAAAATGAGTTCCTTGCTCATATTCCAGTTTTATATGCAACAGTGTTATGGCAAATAGGGTATTGAATAGTCTACTGAAGGTTATGTTTCCAGAAATGAAGCAGCCAGGGAAAGTAAGTCCAAATCTCATCCTCTTTGTCATGAATGGGGTCAAAAGTATGAACTTGCCTGTAGGCAGTTGGCTAATCCACTTGGAATATGTGTACCACATCCAAGTCTCAGGGTTGCCCACTGCTACCGGTCAGTTCTGATTCAGCAGTTGTGGTGTCAGATCAGCCTTGGTGAGGGAAAGTTCATGGAGTTGAGCTCCTCTATAGCTGCTATTTCTTTCACAGCATTCTTTTCAGGATGGCTGGGAAAGTAAACAGATTGAATTTACAGGACACTGGGGACAATTATGCGGGTGGTGTATGGTCTAAGGAAAATGGGCTTCTCTTTGCAAGATAATTCACTCAGGTGATGTAGTCTCACAGCATGTAAGCAAGGCAAGGATACCCTCATCAGCCCAGAAGGAGGGACTTTTTCTGATGCCAAAAGGAGGTTTACTAGGGGTGGAGCTCAGACTTTCCTAAGTTATCCCATGTCTTTATTCTATCTCCATTCTGATTCACAGGTTACTGTTATTTTTATGTCACTACCCTGCCTTTTATCTTAATTTTAATGAAAAGGCCATGAATTCAACTGATCTTGTAATTCAGCAATCCTTAGGATCAAAACTTGAGTTTGATTTTTGGCTATATGAGTGATGAAGCTGAAAGAGAAAATGAACTCTTGCATGAGCATCAAAAAAGTGAGCATTAAGCTTTTTGCAGTCCTGGTTTCCTGATTAGATATTATTCTTGCAAGTAGTATTTTATGTATATCAGATTGTCTCATCCATCTGTCAAAGTCAAATAAATGACAAATCTCTAGACAAAGCATTTTATTTGGAAGGCCAGGCATATTGGCACATACCTGTAGTCTTGGGTCCTCGGGAGGCTGAGGCAGGAGGATTGCTTGAGCCAAGGAGTTTGAGGCCATAGTGCACTATGATCATGCCTGTGAATAGGCACTGCTCTCCAGACTGGGAAACATAGCAAGACTCTGCCTCCTTAAAAAAAAAAAGTTTTATTTAGGAAAGCAGAATGGCCATTCAGGGCATACACACAGACAGGGTAGTCTTCTTTGTGTCCGAAGAAGAAACAGAAGGTTGGGGTTTTATTAGAGAAATGTTACATATTGTTTTGAAAGAAAACTTACTAACACTAGTGAAGTTTTTGGGAGCTGGCAAGCTCTGATTGGTTGGGTGAGTGATGGCGGTAGGTAAAACTGTTCTTAAAGTCATGGCAGTTCATTTCAGCAGCTACTAGGTAAAACTAGTCTTTTTTTTTTTTTTTTTTTTTTTTGAGACAGAGTCTCACTCTGTCGCCCAGGCTGGAGTGCAAATGACACAATCTTGGCTTACTGCTACCTCTGCCTCCCGGGTTCAAGTGATTCTCCTGCCTCAGCCTCCTGAGTAGCTGGGATTACAAGGCACGCACCACCAAGCCTGGCTAACTTTTGTATTTTTAGTAGAGATAGGGTTTTACCATGTCGGCCAGGCTGGTATCAAACTCCTGACCTCAAGTGCTCCACCCACCTTGGCCTCCCAAAGTTATAGCAGGCCATTTTGGCAGCTGGCTTGTGATATAACCCTTGGACAGGTGCTTTGTGCCCGAGTGCTTCTCTCCTCCCCTGATGCAGTCTCTTGACATTAATTTAGTTGGGTATGCCAAGATAATTCCAATTCATGTAACCAATTTTTATATATCCATTCTACATCTGCTAGATTTGTTAACTCTTAGTTAAAGGG
This sequence comes from Homo sapiens, assembly GCF_000001405.40. NCBI lineage: Eukaryota > Metazoa > Chordata > Mammalia > Primates > Hominidae > Homo > Homo sapiens. The sequence goes on from NC_000003.12 coordinate 50,926,295, forward strand.
AGAATCAGTAGATCAACAGTACCTGGAAGATTTCTTGCTTTTGAGCATACAGGCCAAGGGTTTTTTAAAAAAGTTTGCCTATTAATTTGTTCATTCGTTTGTTCATCCATTTATTTAATTCATTCTATGACCTCATTCTTGGTCTATTTACCAAAGCTTTTCTCAAACTCAGTCTCATGCTTTTCTCTAGGATGGAGACAATATTAGACTGTGCTTCTAGTTATGCATATTTTATTTATAAGTGTTACAGGAACCTTGACATTATCATAACCAGAGAGGGTTAGAGATCTGGGGCTTCAGTTAGATGAAAGTGGGACTTGAAAGGGAATTAGCATGGGTGCCCACTATAGCAAGATGGTGAGAGTTGTTGAGAGTCAGCTGCTAAGGAACAGTAGGAAAGATGTGAGCACGTTATGGACTGTTGGGTGGAGTTGGTACAGCATTAGACAGCTGAGAAGAAGAAGGAGAAACTCAGTGTCCTAAATTGTCACATTATGTCATGGAATGAAAAACAAGTACATTCTGGGGTTATAGTTTCTTGCCTGTGTTACAGCACCACCTTCTAACTGGTCTCCCTGTTTCTATCCATGTTCCCTTGCAGTTTATAGTGCAACATAACTGCCAGAGTTGTTCTTTAAAAATATGTTAGATCATGTTACTCCTCTGCTTAAAACCTTCTAGCGACTCCCGTCTCACACAGAGCAAACATTGAAGTTCTTACAAAGGCTTACAAGTTTTATGATGTGACTTCCTGTCACCCTGTAACCTTCAGTGACACTGGTTTTCTTGCTTTTATTCAGTCATTTCAGGTATGCTCCTGCCTTGAGGCTTCTATTGTTTCTTATGCTTGGGATTAGCTTTGTCACTTCCTTCAGGCCTTTTCTGAAATCTTCTCAGTGAAACATACCTTGACTACAGTATTTATTTCTGCCTCCTTCCTTCCCCTCACTGACTTAAAACTGGATGCTCCCACAGGGCAGTGGGGAGTGGGGGATGAGGAGGGATTGGTTAGTGGGTACCGAAATACCGCTAGATAGAATAAGATCTAGTCGTTTGATAGCACAACAGGATGTCTATAGCTAACAATAATTTATTGTATATTTCAAAATAGCTAGAAGAGAAGATTTAGAATGTTCTCAATACAAAGAAATCATAAATATTTGAGGTGATGGATATTCCATTTACCAAGATTTTCTCATTACACATTGTGTGCTTATATCAGAATATTACGTGTACCCCATAAATATGTACAACTATTATACATCCATAAAAAATCAAAATAAAAATAAGTACTACATGGGAAATTTTAAAAAAGGCTACTGTCTCTGGAAATTGACTGTAGCTGCTACCAAGTTGTCGTTTTTTCAGTCTTTGCTTCTAGAAGTCATTGGTTTCCTTTTCTAAGTCTGGGTTGAAAGGAGCTTAGGTCATAGCCCTGTGTTCCCCAGATGCAGGAAGAGTGATAAATCAAGTATCCATCATTTTACACTCACCTAATGGAAGACAGTGTGTCTCTACATTCTGCCTAGGGGAAGGGGATTATGAGGCAGAACAGAGAAGGAAAAAAATAATCCCACAATTGTCTGTAACACTGCCGTTTACTTCTTTTGAGATTCCTATTAGCAGTAGACGAGAGTTTTTCCACCTCTCTCCCATGTACTCTTAAGTACTCGTAGATACTTTGGGACTGTTTTTTTCCCCTGACCTGCATTCTAGAGAGATTTCATCAGTACTGTCTTGCAGCTGTTTTCTTTGAATTCTTTCTAACATGTATCCTCTCTATTGAGGTTTCCTTTTTTCACTGGCAATATTTTTGTGTGATTTTATTGTGATGATATATATATATATATATATATATATAATAAAGTTTACCATTTCACCTCTTTAAGTGTACAATCCAGTGGCATCAAATACATTCACAATGTTGTGCAGCCATCATCACAATTCATCTCCAGAACTTTTTCATTATCGCCAAAAGAATCTTTGTCCCTGTTAAACAGTTACTCCCCATTCTCCCTCTACCCAGCCCCTGGTAATCTCTATTCTATTTTCTGTCTCTATGAATTTTCATATTCTAGGTACCTAATATAAATGGAATAATGACATTTGTCTTTTTGTATCTGGCATATTTCACTAGCATAGTGCTTTCATGATTCATCTATGTTGTAGAATGTATTAGAATTTCATTCCTTTTTAAGGTTGAATAATATTCCATTGCACTTATATATACCACATTTAATTTTTCCATTCATCTATTGATGGACACTTGGGTGTTAATAGTTTTCGTTTGCAAGTTTCCTAGTTGATTCTATTGCATATTATTGGTTCTTGTTTTATTTGTGCTTGGTTTTGTTTCATACTTTTTCCTTTCTGAAATGGAAGTGATTCTTTTCATTTCTCTAAGCATCTTAAACATTTAAAAATGTTTATCAGGCAATTTCATAAAATTAATTTTATCTGAAAAGAATTTACAGATGGTTCCCAGTGTATGATGGTTTGCCTTAAGATTTTTCTACTTTACAGTGGTACGAAAGTCATATGCATTCAGTAGAAACCATACTTTGGGTACCTGTATAACCATTGTGTTTTTTACTGTCAGTACAGTGTTCAACAAGTTATATGAAATATTTAGCACTTTACTATAAAACACACTTTTTGTTAGATGATTCTGCCAAACCATAGGGTAATATAAGTGTTCTGAGCACATTTAAGGGAGGATAGGCTAAGCTATGGATGTTTGGCAGGTTAAATGCATCTTTGACTTCATGATATTTTCAACTTACAGTGGGTTTATGAGGATGTAACTCTGTTGTAAGTCGAACAGCATTGTGTTATTTTTAAGCCTTTGAACATTATAGAGTCTTCATGTGTTGCAGAATTTGGTTTTCAGAAGTGGATTATTTTGTTTCCTCTCTCTGTTTCTGCCTCTGAGCATATCTGTCTAGTGCTTGAGCAGTTACTGCCGTCTGTCCCCTAACCTCCAGTGTGGAACCAGGTCCTTCAACAGCATTTTAGAGCTTCTTCCCCACAGTGACACTGGGGCTGTGGTAGATTCTGACCCTTGGCTGAAGTGGGGAGGGGGCTGCTTAAGGTCCAGTCTCCTTAGTCCTGCAGCTTGCTAAAAACCATAGTCCCAAATGAGGTTTAATAGCAATTGGTGTTGTGTCTCATGTTGGTCTTCTTTTCCGAAACTTCAACCAGTGAATCTGGCCTTGCTTCTCATGTCATTTTGAGCACTTTTTTGTCCTTGTCATCCCTCTAAGTTCCTAGTCACCAGTGCTGGCTTTTGACTTCAGAGTCCAGAAGACCTATGATTTCACACTGGTTCACTGCTGTGTTTTTGTTGTTGTTGTTCTGTTGCTACTACGCTGAGATATTTATTTTATTTTGGAGCCCAAAAATATTTGTATTTTACCTATAATTGCTGTGTCTTTGGAGCTGAGGAAATATGTCAAAATAAGAACTTACTGAGATATTTTGATAAGACATCTGTAAAAAATATAAAGAACAATATAAAATCTAGCTGATTTTGACATTTTATTCTAGAAAGTCTTTGCTTAATTCTAAGCAATGAAAATTAAAGTTTAAGAGTCAACAATAGCTACCATTTATTAAATATCCTATACACTAATCATTTTATTTGACACTTCACACTTACCACATCACACTTTGGTATCCCAGATTCATAGTGGAATTATCCACTTACTTCCAATGAGGAAGGCAAGGCTTTGAGAGTTCAAATACCTTTACCAAAGTAGCTTAGCTAGGAAGTGAGGAAACCAGCAGTTGAGGCCAAATTATCATAAGTCCTACGTCTTAGAACTTTAAAATAGGAACACTCTAAGTTTTTTATAGATCTTAATGATTAAAGTAGCTAAAGACCTAATAGATTAAACTCCAAGGAAATTATATTTTACTTTGTCTTGCATATCATTTCTGCATTAATCTTAGTAAAACACAACACTCCTTTAACATCACTCATGTTTCCCTATTTCCATAGTGTCAAATTTAAAATCTCACAGCCTTGTAGTGAGTGCAGAGGTCCAGATCCACAGCCCCCGCCTTGGGCGGCTGCAGCCTCACTGGTGCAAGTCTTCTGCCTGCTCCCTGCCCACAAGAGCCCAGGGAGACCCAGGTCCACAACCCTGACTTGGGCAGCTGCAGCTGTGCCCAAAACGATGGGGCTGCTACCTGCTCCTGGCCCCCTGGAGCATGCAGCCCCGCTGCACTCCCTCACAGCCTGGGCCCCAGCCCAGGTCCTTGCTGGGCCCAGGCCAGTGTCCAGGGCAGAGGCAACGTCTCCCCAGGCTCCCTTGGTGGCTCCAGTGCTCAGGGGCAGCGCAGAGCTCCCCCTCACCTGGCTTGGGGCCCTGCCCAGGGTGGGCACCTCTGGGAGTGGATCACAGGCCTCGGGCCGGCAATTGGGAGTGATACTGTGCAGACCCTTATGGGGCAGACCCTGGGGATGCGACCCTGGGCGGGCTTGTGCAGACAGCCTCTTGCAGAGGCCCAGGAACCCAGTGCTGTCTGTGGGGTGGGCATGGCGACCGTACCTCTGGCTGATCCCCGAAGTGGGCACCACTCTCACTTCCCCCGAAGCGTGGCCCCAAGCACTGCCTCCTCCCTTCACCCTCCCTGCAGCAGTGGCAGGAGAGGGCAGTGACTTGGGGACAGGGTCTGGGGCCACAGAGGCTCCGGGCCTGGGGGTGGGTCATGCCCGGCTGTGTAAGGGTGACGGCGGTGCAGTCAGCTGTCTCCTGGAGGTAGGGCACGGGAGACTCACCACTGCTCCTGCAGCCACTCCTGCTGCCACCGCCCATGCCTCCCCACTACAGACGGCCTGCTGCTGCCATCAGTAGCATGAATTATCTTTAATATGCCTTGCTCATTATTTTCTCTATACCACTTTTTATAGCATAGTACAGTGTTTAGGGCTCTCTCTCCACCTGCTTACCTTTCAGACCCAAGCCTCTTCTAGGAACTTCACTTTCTTCATGAATCTTTATCTGACTGCAGCAGTTTACAGTGAACCTCCTTTTTTAGAACATTAGATGTTATAGTTAATGTCACACATTTAGCACCTATTTGTGCTTTATGTTTAAGTTTTGTTACTAAGATTGTGATTTCCCTGATTGTTTCTATACATCTCCTAATTATCTCTGCAGCATTCTTAAGATGTGGTATATGGAAATAACTTCAGAAATTTCAACTTATAACCAGTAGCTTGAAGAAATAAAGGATGTCTTCTCATTCAATTTGAATTTGTGTAGCAAGTCATTATGACTTTCTTCTCAGATATGACATTTATCATTAGCTTACTCCTTTTCATCTGAGAAGATCAATATGACCTATTTCAAAAAATTAAAGTAAATTAAACCATAGTTATTTTCCTGCTCCCATCTTCCCCAGATACTCAGCCATGCTGATCACCACAATATTTGGGGTGGGGTGAGAAAAGTGAGTCTCTTGGGCAGTGTCTTACATGGCTGGTGGAGCCGAGTGCCTAATCATTCTGCTTTCCGCTGTGAGAGAAATTGGAGGGTTATGGAGTTTCTCTTGTTGAGCTGTACTGCTTTGTGGGAGGAGTGATGCAGGTAAAATGAAACTTTCTTCTTACCCTCTTCACTGCATCTATTCTGGATTTTTTGCCTCAGTGGTGTACTGAAACTTTTCTGCTGGATTCCTAGACTCCCACAAAGGTACTCTTGTCCATAAGTTGTGGTCAAAATTGATGCTTCTTGGGGGCAGATGACAGTAGAAAGCACCTCTTCTGCCATCTTGCTGATATTACCTTTGTCACATTTTACTCTTAACAAGCCCTTGATGAAAGCTTTTATATTAATGAGCTTGTAAATTTTTTGGATATAGATAATGCCATTGCATTATTTCAAGGTGACTTTTTGTAATCTGCTGTGGTAAGTCACACAAAATAAGAACACAGTAAAACTGTAAGACATAATCAGATAACATATATTCATTGATGCTCAATTTTACTGCACTGAGTCATCTTTGAACACAGTGGTGCTTTGTCAGCTGTCTTCTTGTGGAAACAAATAATACTTGATGCTAATTTTGTGGAATACATTTTCCTGTACTTTTTTTTTTCAGATGGATGATATTCCCCTTGGCTAATAAACGGGTATAAGTTACCTCAATATATCAGTATATTAAGTCTTTGGTCATAGAAAGTTTTTATTGACCCTCAACATTGGTGTGGACATTATAGAAATATTATCAAGTTAGTCCCCGTGCTTTCAGTAACTTTTCATTCAGGTTACTTGTGTTAAGATCTGGAATTTTTACTGTCTTTTGAAAAGGTCCTATGACAGCTGGTCCCAGTCATACCAGCTTTTTTTCATCTTGGATGTGTGAAATTATTTTCCAACTCAGTGACATCTTGCATACTTTTCTCGTTTGCAGGTGGCACCATAACTGGTTTTCTCCCTCCCCACACGCTTTTCATGTCATGATTTTTTTGCATGTATTGGGCCTTGACATTTCTTCAGAGAAGAGTTCATTGATCTGCTCATTGTAAATTGTATAACACAGCTAAAATCTTTCATTGTACTTGTATTAGTCTGTTCTCATGCTGCTAATAAAGACATATCTGAGACTGGGTAATTTATAAAGAAGAGATTTAATGGACTCACAGTTCCACGTGGCTAGGGAGACCTCACAATCATGGCAGAAGGCAAAGGAGGAGCAAAGTCACATCTTACATGGCAGCAGACAAGAGAGCATGTGCTGGGGAACTCCTCTTTAAAAAAGCCATCAGATCTTGTGAGACTTATTCACTATTATGAGAACAGCCTGGGAAAGACCCACCCCGATGATTCAGTTACCTCTCACTGGGTCTCTGCCACAACACATGGGAATTATGAGAGCTACAAGTCAAGATGAGATTTGAGTGGGGACACAGCCAAACCATATCAGTACCTTTTCATTTTCATTTTAGATTTATTACTGTCCATGTCTGTCTGATTCCCTATTCAGACCAAGAGCTCTCTGAAGATAGAAATCCTGTTCCTTTTTGTTCACTGATAAATTTTTGACAGTTAGCACAGGGACTGGCATTATAGTGGATGCTGCTTATGAAGTAGTCAGAGAGAATCCAAGCACCTTTCTGTTACCAGGTTCAGAATTCCTCTACCAGACTTAGAATTCCTCTGCTGACATTATGTTGCAGGAAAATACAATACCAATATAAGGGAGTATGCATTAAACTTTTCAAAGTTTAATTGTGTGGGTTCCTCCCCTCCACAACCCCCCACATTTTTCCAGATTTTTTTTTTTAACTGAGGGTATGAGCAAACTTTCAAACAGAAAAATGTTAAAGGTCATAAATAATTTAAAAAAACTAATCCGAGCAAGACTTGGGTAGTATCATGGTTTTTCATTGAAGGAAAAAAGCTTAGAGTCTGTTCTTTAAAAAGTGTGTTTTAAGGATAGCATTTATAAAAGTAAAATTGAGGACATACAGTAAAACCCAAATCTCTTTACTTTAATTCAGTTTACTTTCACTGTTGCAGTATATCATTATAAAAAGGTCTTTGATCAATTAGATATACTTCTTTTTTATTTGCATAAATTTAAAATTTGAGTTAAACAAGTAGAAAAAGACAGGAGACAGTTTGCCGAGATTTTTTTCAGAGATAATGTGGCTGTCTTTTGTGGCTCTGGTTCTAGGCAGTATGAAACTGTGGTTCCACTTGAAGATTCTATTGTGACTGAGGTTACAGCAACTCTACAAGAATGGGCAAGTTTGTGGAAACAGTTGTATGTGGTAAGTAGTTGATTACTGGTTTATTGGATCATTAAAGTTTAGTGTACCAAGTAAAAATATTAAACTATGCTAAGTATGCATTTTAGATTTCTGAATATTTGCAGTTTATCAAACATATGTTCTTAATATTTACTGAAACATAGCAGACTGAGTTTTTTCAACCTGAGGAGAACACATTATTATTCATATGCCTGTAGTTTCTCTCCTCCAGTCACTGGAATATGTTACATAACACCAGGGATCTTAGCTGTCTTACTCATTGTTGTGTCCCCAGATGCTTTATAAAACAGATATTTACAGAACAAATGAACCAACTTGAGACTTACTTATTTTTATCTTTTGTGAACCCAGTGGTGGGTATAAAGGCCGATAAATTGTGTTAACAGTTTTTAACAGCTACTAAGCTTCAAGGATATGTCATATCTGACACTTTGCTGGCCCAAAAAATTAATAGAAAATCTAATAAAAGCCAGGCATGATGGCTCACACCTGTAATCCCAGTGCTTTGGGAAGCTGAGGCAGGAGGACTGCTTAAGGCCAGGAGTTTGAAACCACCGTGGGGGCCACCATCTCTGCACAAAATAAAAAATTTAGTTGGGTGTGGTGGTGTGTGCCTGTAGTCCTAGCTACTTGGGAGGCTAAAGAGTGAGACCTTGTCTCTTAAAAAAAAAAAAGTAATAGTAACCTAATAAAAAAAGTAATAAACTTCTCAGGAAACTTAGAAAGTAGAGAGTGATAAGATGTAGAAATAATCATAATATCTACACTAAAAGTAAGTGACAGGGTTTGGGCTCTGGACGATATGGAGTAAACACATTTTACTTTACTTCTACTAATCACAACAAAAAGCCCTGGGTAAAACACATAATTCACCTACTGGAAAACTCTGAAAGTCAGAAAAAAGAGAATGAACTACCAAGGGATTTGGGGGCTCAAGGATCAAATGAATTCTCTCTCTCTCTCTTTTTTTCTCCTTTCTGTACCTTCATATATCCTGACCTGGTCTCTAGAGAGGCACACAACTTGGAAATGCTAGTGGGTAGAAACCAACAAACAAAAGAAAATTAGTGCCAAGGAAAGCCTGTTCTCTCTAGCCAAAGGATAGCCCCAAAAGACAGAAACTTTTAGTAATACTTTACTGTTCTCTAAGAGAACAGCACAATAAAAGCTGTATTTCTCTCCTACCCTAACAGGCATTTCAGCAGTGGAATCCATAACCAGTACTGTTTTATACATACATCCTCCCCCTCCTACAGTAACAAGGGGATGCCCCTCTCCAGTGGAGTCTGTAGAATGAACTGGAAAAATCTGGAAAAATGTAGGGGTGGGTGGCAGGGAGGAACCCAGAAAATTAAACTTTCACCCCCTACCCTATAGTAATGAAGTGGTGCCCCACCTCAGTGGAATATGAAGTAAGGAGGAGGTAACTTTCCATGGAGAAACCTGTGGTTGGAACTCTTGATTTCTACTTTCCTTGTTGTACTCTCCCCAGCTGAGCCTGTGGGAAGACTCTGACTTCCACCCTCCCTTCCCCGCTGCATTGGTGAGGCAGACCCTGTGGGATAGTACCCTGTCTTCCATCCTTGCCCTGCTAAAATGAGGCAGTGCTTGTCCCCACCCAAACTCAAACTGAGGAGATAGTAGGGTGAAGTTACGTCATCTACATAACACAAATGAGGGAAATCAGAAAAGCACTGCAGAGATTTTTGTAACTGGATTGATGTTCAACCACAGCCCATAAAGATGAGAAGGTTGCAGTTTTAAGCAGGTTGACTACTTGCTAAAATAGATGATTTAAATAGGAACCGGAGTGTCATAGTATAATAATGTTCAGGATATGGCCCAAAATTACTTGTCATATGAAAAATCAGGAAAATAGAAACTCAACAGATGCCAATATTGAGATGACACAGATGTGGAATGATTGACAAAGACTTTTAAACAGCTTTTGTAAAAATGCTTCAACAAGCAATTACAAACACTCTTGAAACAAACAAAAACATAGACGACCTTAGGAACAAAGTAGAAACTATAAAGAACCAAATGAAAATGATAGAACTGAAATCTATAATAACCAAAATTAAAAAAATATTATATGGGCTCAATAGCAGCCTATAGAAATTATAGAGAAATGAACAGGTCAATTTGAAGATAGCTCACTAGAAATTCTCCAATACAAATAATGGAGAGAAAAATAGAAAAAATGAGCTCTGCTTCCAGAGACCTGTGGAACAATAACGTAAGATGTAACACTGTAGCCTCAGAATACTAGATAGAGAGGACAGGATGTGGAGCCAAAAAAAAATTTTTTTTTTTTTTAAGAAATAATGGCTGAAATTTTCCAGTTTGGCGGAAGACATAAGTGTTTTACATTCGGGAAGCTTAGTGAACTCCAAATGGGAAAACCCCAAAGAAATCTATACTCAGACACATCATAGTCCAAATTCTGAAAATTAAAGCCAAAGAAGAAATCTTGAAGGTAGCTAGAGGACATTAACACATTAGCTGTGTCAGCAATTTGAGTAACAGGTTTCTCATCAGAAAGTATGGCAGACAGGAAGTATCCCATCATTTTTCAACTGCTTAAAGAAAAAAACAAAACAGATTACCCTGAATTGTGTATGCAGCAAAAATATGCTTCAAGAATGAATGGATAATCAACCCATATCAGAAGGAGGAAAGCTAAGAAAATTTGTTGACAGCAGATTGGTTCTAAAAGAATGACTATAAAGGAAGTTGTTCAGAAAGAAAGGGAGTGATAACAGGATGCTTGGAACATTAGGAATGAAGAAAGCAATGGAAAGGGTAGATTAATTATCTCTTCTGTTTTTAAAATTATGTTTGATAATACAAAGCAAAAATTATAATGTTGATACAGTTCTCAGTGTATGTTGAATTAATATTTAAGAAAACTGTTGGCTGGGTGTGGTGGCTCATGCCTGTAATCCCAGCACTTTGGGAGGCCGAGGTGGGTAGATCACCTGAGGTCAGGAGTTTAAGACTAGCCTGGCCAATGTGGTGAAACCCTGTCTCTACTAAAAATAGAAAAATTAGCTAGACATGGTGGTGCATGCTTGTATTCCCAGCTACATGGGAGGCTGAAACAGGAGTATCACTTGAACCTGGGAGGCGGAGGTTTCAGTAAGCCAAGATTGTGCCATTGCACTCCAGCCTGGGCGATGAGAGCAAAACTCCATCTAAAAAAAAAAAAAAAAAAAAATTTATAAAGTGGAGAGGGAAAAGGACATAAATTATAATAGGGTAACTACATTCCATTTTAAGTATTAAAACATTCGGCTGGGCACGGTGGCTCACGCCTGTAATCCCAGCACTTTGGGAGGCCGAGGCGGGCAGATCACGAGGTCAGGAGATTGAGACCATCCTAGCTAAGACGGTGAGACCCTGTCTCTACTAAAAATACAAAAAAATTAGCCGGGCGTGGTGGTGGGTGTCTGTATTCCCAAGCTACTCGAGAGGCTGAGGCAGGAGAATGGCATGAACCCGGAAGGCAGAGCTTGCAGTGAGCAGAGATGACGCCAGTGCACTCCAGCCTGGGTGACAGAGCGAGACTCTGTCTCGAAAAACAACAACAGCAGCAATGAAAAATTAATACTGGTAGGCTGAGCAGCTACATATGTATATTGCAATCTCTAGAGCAATCATTAAAATATTAAAGTGATATAATAAAAAGTACTGTAAAATCAAAATAGAACACTAAAAATGTTAAAGTAACCTACAGAAAAATAAGAAAGGGGAAATAGAGGCAGGTAAAATAGAGGGAGCAAACACAAAAGTAAATACCAAAATGGCAGACTTAAATCCTAATATATGAGTGATTACAAGATAGAGTTTAGCAGAATTGTACAATTAAAAAAAAACTATATGTTGTTTATATGAAACTCACTTCAAACTCACTTGTCTATATGATGATGTAGGGAGGCTAAAGGTTACAGATAGAAAAATATATACTATGCAAACATTAATAGAAGAAAAACAGGGTAATTATGTTAATAACATGTCATTATATTATGAATACTTTTTCCTTAAATAAATATTAATTATACTAATATCAGAAAAATTCAATATCAGAGCAAAGAAAACTACCAGGGAAAAAGGGACATTATAAAATGATAGAAGGATCAGTTCACTGGGAAGACAAAATAATCTTAATCTAACAGAGGTGCAAAATAAATAAAGCAAAACCTGAAAGAACTGAATGGAGAAAAGAGAAAAAAGTCACTGTTATGGTTGGGGATTAATAACGCATTCTCTTAGTAATCCGTATAACCACTAGGCAATAGTCATCAGGAATAGAGAAGAACTGAACAGTGCAATCAACCATAGGCTCTAATTGAAATTTATAGAATACTTAATAAAATCAGGATACAGATTCTTTTCAGTCAAACATGTTCATTCACCAAGATAGACAATATCTTAGTTCATAGAACAAATTCGACAAGTTTGTAATAATTGAAGTCATACAAAGGATATTCTAACCATAATGGAAACAAATTAAAAATCACTAACAAGAAAAAAAGAAAACAAGAAAACCTGAAAAATTAACCCACTACTAAATGATCTGTGTCAAAGAGGAAACTGTAAGAGAAATAAAAGCTATATCAAAATGAATTTAAATGAAAATATATTAAAATTTGTGGGATACTGCAAAAGCATTGTTGAAAGGGAAATGTATGCTTTAAGTCCTAATAATAGGAAAAAAAGCAAGGTTTCAAATCAATGATTGCAGCTCCTGCTCTACTGTAAGAAACTAAAAAAGGACTCCAGCCTGGACATCACAGTGAGACTCTGTAAAAAAAAAATAATAATAATAATCCAAAGCAAGCAGAATGAAGGAAAAAATGAAGAGCAGAAATTAATGAAATTTAAAAAATAGAAAAGCAATAGGGAAAATCAAAGCAAAAACTGGTTTATAAAAGATTAATAAAATTGATAAACACCTACCAAAACTGAAAAAGAAAATGAGGGAAAATACTAATTACCAATTTATCAAGAGTAAAGAAAGAGATATCACCACAGACATTAAGCAGGCAAAAAGAAAATACTGTAAACAACTTTACATACATGATAGTTTAAGATGAATAGGTCAAATTCTAGAAAACCATAAATTGTCAAAACTCACCCAAGACAAAATAGATAATCTGAAAATCCTGCAACTGTTAACATAATTGAATTTATAATTAAAATCCTTCCAAAAAGAACTATCCAGGCAAATAAATAACACTAGTTTTATACAGAGTCTTCTAGAAAATGGATGAGGAGGGAATACTTCCTAATTCATCTTATGAGGCTGCTATTACCTTGATATCAAAATTAGACAAAGACAGTACAAAAAGAAAAAAATCTGGAGTATCTCTTATGTTTGTGACTATAGACACAAACATCCTCAATAAGGTATTAACAACTTGATCAATATATAAAAATAATAATATACCATGGCCAGTGGGGTTTATTCTGGTAATACAAGGATGGTTCAGTATTTGAAAATCAATTAGTATAATCCATTATATTAACATTCTAAAGAAGAAAAACCACTTGATGACATTAGTTGATTCAGGAAAGTATTTTAGAAAATTCAGCACCCATTCATGATAACAACTCTCAGTAAACTAGCAGTAGAAGCAAACTTCCTCAGCTTGATAAAGGATATTTATAAAAACCCACAGCAAATGTGGTAATGATGATAGACAGTCTGCTTTTGTGAACAAGGCAAGGATGTTAGCTCTCAACACTCCTATCAACACAATATTAGAAGATTTAACCAATGGAGTAAAGCAAGAAAACGAGAGATATACAGATAGAAAGGAATAAATAAAACTCTTCCTGTTTGCAGATTATATGGTTGGCTGCATAGGAGATCTCAAGGAATCAACAAACAAGAAGACACTAGAGTTTGAAAAGAAACCTTTTAGAATTAATAAACAAGTTTGTGGTTGCAGATATCCAAACACATACCCACAGACACACACATACACACACAAACACACACACACATTCATATTTCCACAAATAACAATGAATAATTGAAAACTAAAATTTAGAACACAGTACCATTTATTAGTTGCTCAAGAAAAAATGAGGCCAGGCACAGTGTCTCATGCTTGTCAGTACTTTGGGAGGCTGAGGCAGGAAGACTGCTTGAGCCCAGGAGTTTGAGATCAGCCTGGGCAACATAGCAAGATCCCATTTCTACCAAAAAAAAAAAAAAAAAAGGAAGAAGGAAAACAAAGAAACACTTGGGCATAAATCCAACAGAACATGCACAAGATCTGTATATTGAAAACTGCAAAATGCTAATTAAAAAAGACCTAAGTAATGGAGAGGCAGTATGCTCACGGATTAGAAAAGACATATTAAAAATATTTGTTCTATCCAGACTGTTGATCTGTATATTTAATGTAATTCCTAAAACATTCCTGGCAGGATTCTTTTAGATATAGACAAGCTGATTCTAAAATTTATAGGGAAAGTTGAAATTATTTTTTTAAATTAAAAATAAAATTTCTAGGGGAATGCAAAAGAACTAAAACGGTTAAACAATTTTGAAAAGAATAATAAAGTTGGAAGAATCACTCGATCTAATTTTAACACTTACTGTACAGTAATCAAGGCAGAGTGGTACTGGCAGAGGGATAGACACTTAAAGGGACCAAGATAGAGCCTGAGATGTAGATTCACACAGGTATGCACAACTGATTTTTGACAAAGGTACAAAAGCAGTTAAGTAGAGGAACGATAGTCTTTTCAGCAAATGGTGTTGGAATAGTTGGATATTCATAGGCAAAAGGAAAAAAAAACCCTGCCTAAGTATCATCCTTTTTATAAAAAGTTAACTCAAAATGGATTATAGGCTCAAATGTAACATGTAAAACTAAAACTTTCGGAAGAAAATTTTAGGAGAAAACGTTCATGACCTAGTCTTAAGTGGAGACATGACACTAAAGGAAATGATCCATAGAGTAAAAAGGCAATACATTGGACTTCTATCAAAACCAAAATTTTTGTTCTTGAATGACCCTGTTAAAAGGATGAAAAGGTAAGCCATATACTGGAAGAAAATATTTGAAAATTATATATCCATCAAAAGATTTGTATCTAGAATATTTATGGAACTCTGTAAATGGAACAGCAATACAACAACTCAGTTGTTGTTGTTGGGCAAAATACTTGAATAGGGACAAGGAGGATATGTGGCTAGCCAGTAAGCACATGAAAAGATTTTTCTACATCATTAGCCAATAGAGTAATGCAAATAATTGCTACAATGAGATACTAATATATACCTGTTAGAATGACTGAAATAAAAATTACTGCTAATACCAAGTGATGCCAAGGATGTGGATCTGCATCTCTCATACATTGCTGGTTAGAATGTAAAATGGCACACCCACTTGGAGAAAAATTTGGACTTTTCTTATAAAGTTAAACATATACTTAATATATGACCCAGCCATCACATTCCTGTGTTTTTACCCTACAGAAGTGAAAGCTTCTGTTCACATAATAGCTTTTACATGGATGTTTATAAAAAGCTTTATTTCTAATAGCATAAACTGGAAGCAATCCAAATATCCTTCAGTAGGTGCATAGAAGAAAAAACTGTGGACTACTACTCAGAAACAAAAAGGAGTAAATGATTAATACATCCAGCAACTTAGAGTGATTGATCTCAAGGGCATGATGCTACTTAAAAAAATGTACCTTCAAAGGGTTGCATACTCTATGATTCCATTTATATGACATTCTCATAGTGACAAAATTATAGCAATTAAGACAGATTTGTGTTTGCCAAGAGCTAAGGTTGAGGTCAGAGTGTGACTGTTAAGGCTTAATATGAGAGAGTGTCTTTATGGTGATGGCACAGTTCTGAGTTCTGATTGTGGTGATAGCTATTTGAATTTACACATGTGGTTTCTTTGTAATGGAGTTAATAATATTGTAACAATGTCAGTTTCTTGGTTTTGACAGTGTACTGTGGTTATATAAGATCTTATCAATGGATGAAGCTGGGTAAATGGTATATGGAATTCTCTGTATGTTTTTGGCAAGTCCTGGTGAATATCAGAGTCATACACACCAGAGGTTTAAAAAGGAATGTTTGCCAGTTATTCAGTAATTTAGGACAAAAATTGTCAATATGATTGACATTTTCTTCCTGATATCACATTCCATATGAACAAAGTTAAATTTTAAGCTTCATAGAAACAAATAGCTTATTTGTGACATAGATGGTCACAAAAATTTTTGTTAAAACTAAAATATTTTACTAATAAAAACAATAATGGTTTTAGACATTTTTAGCATCAATTATGCTATTATGCTATTATGAATAGCTATTATGCTATGCTATTATTTATGCATGAGATTTTAATTATTATTGGCAGTGTTAACTAAATTGACTCCAAAAACAGTAATGTAAATTTGAAGAATCCTTTTTGGTATTAATGTATACAGTACATTTTTGGATTTGATGTTAATGCTACAGAGTTAACATAAGAGGGTCTGAATTTACTTAACTTGGCTGTAGTTTAGAAACTGATAACTGCAGAATCAATAACTGATTACTCTAAAGTCAAATAAATTATTCTAAAAGAGATTAACTAATTTTGTTACTGTGAATGTGAATATTAAAGGAGAAGCAATTTTTTTTTGCTTTTGGAAAGCTTTTAGGTATGTTTCAAATAACTTTCATATGTTAGTCTACTTTTTCAACTACAAATTTTTTGAAATCTAAACATAGATCAAATATTTGTGATGAAAATTTAGCATTTGAAGTGAGATGTGCTGTAAGTATAAAATACATGCTGGAGTTTTGAGACTTAGTACAAGGAAATGAGTGGAAAATATTCCATTAATAATTTGTTATGTTGATTATATGTGGAAATGGTGATATTTTGTATATATTAGGTACATAAAATGTATCAGTAACATTTAAGAAACATGCTGTATGTTAAGAACATACTTAACTGTTTAGCCCATAAAGGAAAATAATTTCTAAAAATTAGAATAAATAAAATCCCTAGGGGAAGGTATTTAGCAACTTAAAAAAATAATGCTAAAGGTGAAAGTATGGGGATCATTAAAAGATTAGTGGTTACCAGGGGTTGGTGGGTAAATGGGAATGGATGAATAGGCAGACCACAGAGGATTTTTAGGGCAGTGAAAGTACTCTGGTGAATCTCTGTTTTGTAAATATCTACATTGATGCACTGTTTGCAGTAGCAAAAATAAATTTTGTTTCTCTAAATATTAAAGCTATGGTCCAATTAAGACATTGACGATTAGTGCTTACATGTGAAGAGCCATTAAAAAAATTTAAATAGTACGTTATATAATAAAGTGAAAATTTATGTACAGATTATATGTAAAGTATAATTTTACCTGTATTCTGAAAACATATTTGGAAAATGATTAAGACAATGTACCAAAATATTAATGGAGATTACTTAAGGGGCTAAGGTGTTAGATGTTTTCTTTTTCTTATCTATTTTCAAAGTTCTCAGTTGTGAATATATATTATTTTAATTGTTATGAAAAATAAAACTTTTATTTAAATAACGAACACAGTGGATGATACTGTAGAAACATATAATCAGTATTAAGTGGTTAAGTAGTGTATACAAGTGTTTAAGGTAAGGGATTATACTACTTAATTTGCTACGTTTACCTTTTATCACATTATCAGCAAGTGTTTATTCAATTCTTTGGTGGTTTTGTGGACTAGAAGAGGGCTTTAGATCTGGGCTGGAATCTGGGTCTATCCACTTCTATGATAGGCTCATTATTAGGTGTTAGTTTCTTATGCTATAAATGGATGTTATAAACTTATTTCAAAGAGTTGTTAGAGATGAAATGAAAAAACATATAAATCTTCAAGTGGTCAATGAATATGTGTTGCATTATTCTGTTTTTGATATGAATTATATGTCTCTCCAGATATGCATAATTGATCTCTATTTGCTGATATAGGTGATATTTAGCATGTTAGCAGTTCCATTCACTTAAGCTTCTCTGTATATAGAAATAAATGGACACAATGAAATGGACTTCATTTGTATAATGGGATGTTTGGAAAAGAGTGTATTATATGTATTTAAAGCAGAATAGAAAAACCCCATTCCACTGAGGCAGTTAAAACCATAATCTCTGTATCCAGTAATCTTGTTTTGATGAAAAACAGATTATCTGAGAACCATCATTTGTGGAAAATGTTGACTTTGTATTATGCATTCCTGTCAGAATGAGATTTGTCATTAGAGATTGAACTCCTTGTTCTCCTTGTTCCCTCTTCTCAATACTGCACTTGACTGGTCTTATAAAAAAGTAAAAGATTGTCATATTTTAAATAGTTATTTATGTTTCACATACTATTTTTTAAAAGCCAAAAGCACACTGGAGGTCATGCAAAGAAGTTATATTTTTCCCTGTGCCAAGATAGTAATTAAGGCCAAGTACTAATGTAAGCTAGAAAAGGAATTTATTACCCAGAATCATCTTTATTCTTCATTTTTAGAGTTATTGTGGCAATAAGAAAAAGGGAATTTTCCAGCAACTAGGAAATCTTCATCAAAAAGCTTTGTAGGCGGGGCATGGTGGCTCAGGCCTGTAATTCTAGCACTTTGGGAGGTTGAGGTGAGCGGATCACCTGAGGCCAGATGTTCGAGACCAGCCTGGCCAAGATGGCAAAACCCCATCTCTACTAAAAGTACAAAAAATTAGCTGGGCATGGTGGCAGGAGCCTGTAATCCCAGCTATTCAGGAGGCTGAGGCAGGAGAATTGCTTGAACCTGGGAGGTGGAGGCTGCAGTGAGCTGAGATCGCGTCATCACACTCCTGCCTGGGCAACAAGAATGAAACTCCATCTCAAAAAAACAAAAACAAACACAAACTAACAAATAAAAACCCAAAAAAGCTTTGTAGTTGTTTCCTATCAACTTAAACATGGCATTTTCTGTGAGAGAATTTAACATTCAACTAGAGTATCCTGTTAAGATGACATTTAATAAGATAAGGATAAACTAAAAGGTAAAGGTATGTGTGTTTGCATTAATTTTGACTGTGAATTTTTCCTCAAGTATACAACTGAAGCGTTTTATAATTGTAGATAAATTGCTTCAGTCATTTTGTGTGTACTACTGTAGGGTGACAATATTATTAGAATTTTTGCTTTCCTATTAAAAATTCACCTTTATTTAAGTGGGTATGTATGATGAAGTTTACCATATAGTTTGTTTTTTGTAATGAAACATACTTTAATATAATACTTTAGTATTTAGTATAATACTTTAGTATTTTCATTTTATAGGAAGAGATTAAACACTCTACTAGGGCATAGTTACTGAAGATGACATGCTTTGTAACAGTTCTATTTTGTATTAATATAAGAGATTATGTTTTATTTTTTAAAGAGTCTCTAAGAAATGAACAATTTCTAGATTTTATGAGAAACAAGACACAGTTCTCTGAATTCTGCTGTATAATCCCTTCCTTTAAATCCCTGGAAGATTAAATTTGCAAATGGAAGATGGCATAGCACGTTGAGACCCCTCATAACAGAATATGCAAAATTCCATTATTCATTTTTATGGTTATCCCAAGAATATTGATTTGTTAAAGATTAAGAACATACATTTTTGCACCTTTATATATTCAGATTATGTATAAGAGGAATTTAGGGGAATATCATATAGTGGCTAAGTGCACAGGCTTTGGAAACAGATTTCCTGAATTCAGATTCAAATGTCACAATTTGCTAGCTGCATGATTTTGAGCACTTTAGCTTCACTGTAGGGGATAATGGGACCCACATTCCAGGGTTGTCATGTTGTTTAAATGATATAAAAAGTTTAGGGCCAGTGTAGTGGCTCATTTCTGTAATCCCAGCTACTTGGGAAGCTGAGGCAGGAAGATCATTTGAGCCCAGGAGTTTAAGGCTGCTGTGAGCTATGATTGAGCTACTTTGCTCCAGCTCTGGGCAATAGAGTGAAACCCCATCTCTTAAAAAAAAAAAAAAAAAAAAAAAGGCTTATAACTGTGCCTTGTGCATTTTCAGTGATTAAATGCTTACTCATATTTGACTTTTGTTGCTATTTCATAGGAATGGGTATTTACTGTTGTAGGAGTCTGTTACTGAAGAAGGGCTTTGACGTGCTTTAGCCCTACTATTTTTCAAATATATACTAGTTCCCTATCTTACCCCACCCTCAACTTTTTAATCTTTGGAAGATAATGCCCGTTTTTTGCTGCATTAAAGATATATTTTGTACATAACAAGATATGATAGTTTCAAAGATTTTTCTCTCAATGTAATTAAAATTAGTATTTTAACTATGTAAGGCTATCTTTTGTTTTTTGAAGATAACTTTTAGTGTATTTCATCTTAGCTAGGTTTACAATCTAAAAGTATATTTTGGCAGACACCCTAGTGGCTATCCAGTATCCAGAATCTTCTTCCTTGTTAAAAGATCTCAGAACTGTTTAGGTAGGCAGTGTGTACAGCTAAAAAGTATTCATCTTTCCTGACTCCCTTGAAGCTAGGGGAGGTT
The DNA here is from genome assembly GCF_000001405.40 of Homo sapiens. Lineage (NCBI taxonomy): Eukaryota > Metazoa > Chordata > Mammalia > Primates > Hominidae > Homo > Homo sapiens. The sequence goes on from NC_000003.12 coordinate 50,946,641, forward strand.
GTATGATACACTTCTGGCTATAAGAAATAAGAAGTAGTTTGTACAAGGGATTTCTGGAAATGCCATTGTTTTGCTTGTAGCAGACTGCATTGTCACAAGATTGTTTTCTTGTAACTGCATTAGCATGCTCATTAGCCCATCGTCCTTCATCCTTCTCTCTTTTTAGTTTTGGGTAAGCTTATGATGCAGTTGCTGTCTTATTACCAGGATATGACAACTACAAGGTTAAAAATTTTATTCCAGGGATGTCAGGATGCAACGATGGAAGATGTCTAAAACTTTGTTCACATTGTACAGTCACTGTAAAAATCCTATTTAACTTCTAAACTTTTTATGTGAGAAAATAGTTAAATCCTGTTAACAACAGGATAAAAAAACCAAACACAAACCTAATTGATCTATGAGATGTCACTGAGGAATAGTGAACTGACTCATTAAATGATTGATTCCCACTACTTTTAATTTACTAGTTTTTTTTTATGTGATATAGTGAGCTTACCTTCACTACTGTCTGTATTGAAATAGAAATTGATTCTCAAATTATTTATATAAATATATGTTTTAAAATTGACTTTTTCTTCAAAATGTGATTTATTTTAATTTTGTAATATATAGCTTTCACACCAGACATAGTCAACTTATAATAGTTTGAAAGCATTTAGTCCCCAAGAAGACATGGTAACTACAGAAGAGATAACCTAAGTAGTCAAATTATTTAGAGTGATTATATGCCTTTTCTACTTGACTAGATTTTCAGTGTGAAGTAAATTTCCATTTCAGTTGAAAGCATTTGCAGGAGAAATAATTTATCAGGGTTCTTAGATTACTTTTATGTCATCATTGAGGAATTGCGTTAATACAATAAGATAGCATCAGTATAGTTGTATGGGAACAAAATGTTAAAATTGGATTGTATCTCACATATTCACAAATCCTATTCTAGGCTCCTGAACTACTCCCACTTTCCAAGCAAGATATGCTAATAAACTGAAACTTGTGTGGTTAGCATTAGGTCAGTTAATGAAATATGTGGAATATCTGCACACTAAAGGCTAGACAACACTACTGAAAGAAATTTAAAAAGACCCGAAATAAATAGAGGAGATATGTCATGCTTATGGAGTGGAAGACTCAATATGGTTAAGATGTTAGTTCTCTCCAGTATTGTTGTGTAGTGTCAACATAATCCTAATGAAAATAAAAAATTTCTGCAGTTTTTCTTTTTTTTTTTTTTTTATGGAGTCTTGCTCTGTTGCCCAGGCTGGAGTGCTGTGGCGCTATCTAGGCTCACTGCAAGCTCCACCTCCCAGGTTCATGCCATTCTCCTGTCTCAGCCTCCTGAGTAGCTGGGACTGCAGGCACCTGCCACCACGCCCAGCTAATTATTATTATTATTATTATTATTATTATTATTATTATTATTATTATTATTTTGAGGCAGAGTTTCGCTCTGTTGCCCAGGCTGGAGTGCAGTGGCGCGATCTCGGCTCACTGCAAGCTCCACCTCCTGGGTTCACGCTGTTCTCCTGCCTTGGCCTCCCGAGTAGCTGGGACTACAGGCGACCACCACTGCACCCGGCTAATTTTTGTATTTTTAGTAGAGACGGGGTTTCACTGTGTTAGCCAGGATGGTCTCGATCTCCTGACCTCGTGATCCACCTGCCTTGGCCTCCCAAAGTGCTGGGATTACAGGCGTGAGCCACCGCGCCTGGCCTCTGCAGATATTTTTTGTGTGTAGAAATTGATGTTGAAGTTTTAATCTTTTTTTTTTTTTTTTTTTTTAGTCAGAGTCTCGCTCTGACTCCCAGGCTGGAATGCAGTTGCAAAATCATAGCTCACTGTAAGCTCCAACTCCTGGACTCAAGAGATCCTCCCATTTCAGCCTCTTGAGTAGCTGGGACCGCCAAACCCGGCTCTTTTCTTTTCTTTTCTCTTCTTTTTCTTTTCTTTTCTCTTCTTTCTCTTTTCTTTTCTTTTCCTTTTCTTTTCTTTCCTCTTTGTTTCCTCTTTTATTTTTTTCTTGAGACCAAGTCTCACTATGTTGCTCAGGCTAGTCTCAAAACTGCTAGTTTCAAGTTATGTCCTGACTTGGACTCCCAAAGTGTTGGGATTACAGGCATGAGCCACCACGTCCAGCCTGATGAGTTGACTCTAAAATGTGTATGGAAAAAGTAAATGACTAGAAAAAACTCAGAAGAACAAAGCTGGAGGTATTTGTGTATGTGATTTCAAGACTATAAAATATAGTAAGACTGTGGTATTAAAAGGATGGACATATAGATCAATGAAACAGAATAGAGACAATTCAGATATGGCTAATTTTAGGTAAAGGTGAGATGGCACTTAAATGAGGAAAAGGAAGTCTTTTTAACAAATGAGGGTAAATGAATATTCATATGGAGGAAAAAATGAACCCTGTTCCTTACCTTACACCATGTACTAGAACCAAAGGATTCCCTAACCTTAGGATAGGCTAGATTTCGTAGGACATCAGAAGCACAAACTATAAAAGAAAAAAGCTGACGTTTTGGACTCTATAAAAAAAAACTTGTTCTTTGGAATATACCACAGTGAAAGTGGACACTAATCCCAGAGTGGGAGAAAATATTTATGTTTCATATATCAGGAGTCACATCAAGAGAAAAGAACTCTTGACTCTTAGAATTCAATAACAAAACAACCCAACAAAAGAAGGACAACGGATTTAAATAGACAGTTTATAGAAGAAGAAAAAATAATGACCAATGAAAAGATACTCAGCATCATTAGTCATCAGGGAAATGCAAATTAAAAATTTATCCATTTCATTGTTGCTTGACATTAATTTTAGTCTTTACCCATGTTTAGGAGTGAGATTGGGCTGTGATTTCCCATTCTTCAATCCTTTTGTCTGCTTTTGTAATCAGTTTTAAGTTTGTGATTATCTTTTCCTTAAACATTTGGTAGAATTCACCTTTAAGCTCTCTAGGATTGTGTTTTCTTTATATTAGTCATTTAAAAATTATTGATTCGATTTATCTTATGGTTTGGGAATCATTCAAGGTTTTTGATCAATTTTGATAATTTATATTCTAGGAATTTTTCCATCTTACCCAAGTTTTTAGTGGTAAAGCCATAAAATTGCCTTCTCCCATACCCATAGTTATTTCCCCTTTACATAGCTAGTGTTTATTTGTTCTTCTTGCTCTTGCTAAACTTGTGTCTATTTTAGTAACCTATATAGGAAATATCTTTTGGCTTTGCCGATCCTCTATTATAGTTTTATTTTTTATTTAACTTCTGTTCTTTATCTCTTTCTACACTTTTGTGGGTTTATCCAATTTTTTTCCAGCTTATAAGGTTAGATACTTAGCTCATTTATTTTTAAATCTTTTTTTTTTTTTAGTCATGTCTAATCTTGCTGTTTAAATAGCAACAAGTTCATATTTTATTTATTACACTTTTCATTGCTGGAAATTCTATTTGGTTATTTTTCAAGTTTGTGTGGTTCATTTTGACAGTCCTTTCTGCCTGTTATATACTTTCAGTGTCCTCCTTTATTTCTTTAAACATATTATAAGTACCCATTTTATATTCTGTATCTGATGATTTCAATACCTTCAGGTTTTGTTGTTCTGATTCAAATTTTTAAAAATCTACTGACTCTTGCTTTTGTTCACTTGTTTTAGTTTTGTTTTTGACATGTTTTATTTTGAGCTAATGTCCCTTGGAACTCTAAGTGTAGTAATGCCTTGAAACCAGAATTAAAACATTTCTCTGGGAAGATTTGCATTTGGTGGTTTTACCAACTGCCTGAAGTATTACCTACCTGGAAACACATTAAAATTTAGATTGAAGTTTGTTAGGCCATAAAGTAGTAGTGTAGATTTCTTCTTTAAACCCACAGTAGTGCTCATTTGCAGTTAATATTCCTTTTTGCCCTTTAACCCTGAGACCCAAGCTGAGACCCATACCTAGCTTCAGTGCCTCTATGCCTGGTGGAATTTTCCCCTCCTAATTCTAGGAGAGTACCTACCTTCTAGAATTCCAGCCTTCCAGGGTTTGATACCTCCTGCTGCCTAGCTTTTGCCTAAGACCTGGCCTCCTGACCCACTTTACCCAAAACCCAGGGATTGGCAGGTGCTCACAGGGCAAGTGGAAATCTGATGCTAAAATGCAGTCCTCCTTATTGCAATGTTACAGTTGTTTAGGTCTTACTTTCTACTCAACCCGATAGTAAGTAAGTTTTACTTTCATTTTGATGTTAGCCAACATTTGTTGATACATTTTATCAACAAATATTGGAGAGAATCTCCAATCTCCAAAAGAACGGAGGGAATCTCTCTCTCTCTCTCTCCTGTGATATTCCTACATCTTAGAATAAATATTGTTTGCTTTTGAAAGCTCCTATTTCTTTTAAAACAACACTCTGAAAGGGTTTTCTTCCCTCTATTAAGAAGTAGCCCTCATTTATTGATGATTTACTACAGACACAGCACTTTATACACTTACAGCTATTTTGTTCTCACAGTAACCTTGTGAGATGGGCATTGATATCCTCATTTAGCATTGGTGAGTCTCACACCTAGGAAGTAACTAAAGTGACTTGGTAACACACTGCCTCCTTCCTTCTTTCTCTCCTATCGAGATTTCACTAGATAATAGTTGATGGATGTACAAATTTGGGTTATCCTTTTTGCCTCAAACCTTGTCTCCAGCCAGTTCCCAGGAAGATTCACTGTATTACTATGTTGATTAATCCTCATTTCTTTTCCACATTTGGCTTCCTGTGAGTTCACAAATGAAAAACCAGTATTTTTTTCCATATGAGTTCTTTATGGACTATGTCATGGCTTTTCTTTAAACCTATTTAGGGGCAATATCAATGTAAAAATGATATTGAAATCTTGATTTACAGGCAAGCATTTGGTCCTGATTCATCTACATCAGTGGAACAGGGGACATAAAATAGTGTTTAAAATTGCATAATTCTATCTAATTTGCTGTTAGAACTTTTCTTTCATTTATAGTAGGATTACTCAGACTGTTTTGGGTTGTCAGTTCTCTCATAATTAGTTTTAATTTTAGCAATGGTGTTTTAGACTGTTATCCTGGTTTAAAACAATCTTGAGAGAAAACACTGTTAAAGGAGATTATACAATGCTAAGACTGAAAAAAAAAATAATACATAAGACCTCACTACTTTCATGATGGCGTAATGCACTTGATTTCATTTAACTTACCTTTTGATGCCATTATGACCTGTGGCAGTTATATCACAACATTCATTTCCAACATTGTCTAAAAATGAGGGCATCCTTCTGTGTAAATGTAGTTTGGGCCAACTTATTAGGCTTCTTTTAAGCACATTTTCGACAGAAATATACTTAATATTTCAGACAAACAGTGGTGGGTTGACTGGGTAGCTTTAGTTCTCTCAGAAGCTGCCCCAGTGGAGTTGCATGTCCTCTTATATTTGTGTGCAGAGAATTGGAAGAGCAAATTATACCCAAGGACATTCTTTCAGTGAGACAGCCAGCTCTGAGGCTTGCTCTCTAAATCTGAATTATGACAGCAGCATATTAAAAAGGTTGGAATAGTATAATACTTTCCTAATTCCTGGGAAATGTTTTTACGTAACAGGACCTGAAAGTGATTGTTTCAGGTGTCAAATGTTCTAAAACTTTGGATCAAAAACATGCAGGAGCACAGCAGTGTTTAGAGATGGCTCAAAGGGTATTAATCTGTTTTTTCACCAAAAGATGAACCTAGGGGCTAAGAAACTAAGAAACTGTTCACAGAAAAAAAAGGTATTTCAAAGAAAGTAAATGTCTGGTTTTCTCAAAATTCTCTCCTAAAGAAGGACCTGGTTTTTAGAAACCTGTCTTTAGAAATACCATATATTTTCATGCTCAATAAATACCTATTTACTAACTTATTCCCATGTAAAGGATTTGGTAGTGCCTCCTAGAATGGCCAGCTTCTTCATCCTCCCTTGTCACAACTTCCACCCAGGAGAATCAGTGTCACTGGGTTCCATGAGAGGCCATAATTATAAGGCACAATACCAGTTTAATTGTATGTAATAGTTGGAAGGAGTGGAAAGTACATAGGCTTTTATATTATATACTTGTGCTTGGATCCCAACTCCCCAAATTTCTAGGTTTGCGTGTTAGTGCAAATTACTTAAACACCGAGTCTTAGTTTCCTCATCTGTGAAGCTGAGACAAGAGCCAGTATGTTGGGTTATTGTGAAGATAAATAACAAATAAATAACAGTACATGAAGGCCCTTTCCTGAGTATGTGGCATGTATGAAGTACTGAAGGTTAATGAAACTTAAGTGATTTTCTTAAGATTTTTGCTAATTGCTTATGTGACTCTTATCTTCCTTAGAAGATGTCACAGTTCCTAAAACCATTCTCTGACTTTCTAATCCCTAACTAAAGATTTTAGAAATTTTTTTCAGTTGATGCATGTTGTTTTCTTGAAACTTGATAATCTTTCTTGTTTAATTTTAGAATAAACACTCTTTTGAAATTAAGCAGAATCAAGCAGACTATAGGGAAAAGAAAAAGACCCCAGTCTTAAAATGTAATTTTAAAAATTCAGATTTCTTCCTATTTAGAAAATGATGTTTGGTTTCTAGGATAGTCCACAAGTGAATGAATGGCTGCTTGATCTACTACATTTCCCAAAACCAAAAAAGTGAAGAAGATAAAGTCTTCACATTAGAGCAGTATTCTGAGAGTGGACATAGCAGGGCTTGTGTCCTTCCTGGCTTCCAAGAGAACCATAGAAGACTATTGTGAATTGTCTCATTCCACTTTCCACACCTAGTTATACAGCCTGCCAATTGAGAACTCATAGGAACAGGAAAGGTTCATTTCTTAGATGGCTGGAAACCTCAGAAAATTCAGTACATTGAATATAAAATGCATGTGGATGACTCTCAACTGAAGAATGTATTTCCTTAGGAAATACAATAAATATAATTATGTATACAAATACATAGATAGGTTCTTCCTAGGATATTTTGGGAGGAATGAAAAAAATGTGTTAACGTTCGTCTGACTATTGTCATATTCTTTAATTCTCAGCTAAAATTTCACCTCCTCACATTAATTTTTGCAGAGTGGGCAAAGAGAGTGAATTTGGATGTGAGAGGCAACAAATTGGTAACTAGCACAGTTCATTCTTTTCGCTGTTAAGCTTTCACGTGCACTCTTCTACATATATTTGAATTCTCACACAACAAAACAACTGTATATCTACCTATTTTTTAATTTTTAAAAGTCATTTTTTCTGGTAAAATATGACATAAAATTTACCATTTCAACTATCATTAAGTGTATAGTTCAGTGGTATTAAGTACGTTCACATTGTTATGCAATCCCCACCATTGTTATGCAACCCCCACCACCATCCATCTCTAGAATTTTTTTTCATTTGCCAAATTCAAAGTCTATTCCTATTAAACATTAACCCCACGTTTCTCCCTCCCATATATCCTGGAAACCACCACTGTACTTTCCGCTTCTATGAATTTGACTGCTCTAAGTACCTTATATGAGTAGAACCATATGGTCCTGTTGCGACTGGCTTATTTCACTTAGCATAATGTCTTCAGGGTTCATCCATATGGGTTCAGGATGTGTCAGGATTTCCTTCCTTTTTAAGGCTGAATAATACTCTATCTTATGTACAGTGTCAGTGGAATCTGAGTTTCATATAGATAACAATACAGAAAGAACCAGGATTTGGGAGTTAAATATGTATGCTTGGGTTTAAATCCTATCTAGGTCACTCACATGCTCTATGACCTGATGGAGATTTGTAATTTATCTGAATCTCAGCTTCCTCATCTATGAAATAATGAAAATAAAGCCTTTCTGATGGGACTGTTGTGTGAATTATATTATTTATATAAAGTACCCAATATAGTGACTGGCCCGAGGAGAACAATTAAGGGTAAAAGTTCGTATGCTTGTTAGCTGCATGTATATTTTCTTTGGAAAAATGCCTGTTCATGTCCTTTATTCACTTTTTAATGAGGTGGTTTTTTTTCTTGTAAATTTAAGTTCCTTGTAGATGATGGATATTAGAATTTTGTCAGATGCATAGTTTGCAGATATTTTCTCCCAATCTATAGGTTGTCTGTTTACTTTGTTGATAGTTTCTTTTTCTGTGCAGAAGCTGTTAAGTTTAATTAGATCCTATTTGTCAATTTTTACTTTTGTTGCTATTGCTTTTGGCATCTTTGTCATGAAATTTTTGCCCATTCTTATGTCCAGGGTAGTATTGCCTAGGTTGTCTTCCAGGGTTTTTGCAGTTTTGGTTTTACATGTAAGTCTTTAATCCATCTTGAGTTGATTTTTTTATATGGTGTAAGGAAGGGGTCCAGTTTCAATCTTCCATGTATGGCTAGCCAGTTATTTCAGCACCACTTATTGAATAGGGAGCCCTCAGTGTCACTGATCATTAGATAAATGCAGATCAAAACCACAATGAGATATCATCTCACACCAGTCAGATTGGCTATTTTTAAAAAGTCAAAAAAAAGTAACAGATGCTGGCAAGGTTGTGGAGAAGACAGAACACTTACACACTGTTGGTGGGAGTGTAAATTAGTTCAACCATTGTGGAGAGCAGTGTGGCAATTCCTCGAAGAGCTAAAAACAGAACTACTATTTAGCCCAGCAGTCTCATTGCTGGTTATGTACTCAGAGGAATACAAGTTTTTCTGCCATAAAGACACATGCACACAAATGTTCATTGCAGTGCCATTCACAATAGTCAAGACATGGAATCAACCTAAATGCTCATCAATGACAGACTGGATCAAGAAAATGTGGTACATATACACCATGAATACTATACAGCCATAAAAAAGAATGAGGTCTTGTCTTTTGCTGGAACATGGATGGAGCTGTAAGTTATTATCCTTATCAAACTGATGCGGGGACAGAAAACCAAATACTGGATGTTCTCACTTATAAGTGGAAGCTAAATGATAACACATGGACACAAAGAAGGGCACAACAGACACTAGGGCCTACTTGAGGGTGAAGAGTGGGAGGAAGGAGAGGAGCGTAGAAAGAATAACTATTGGGCACTAGGCTTAGAACCCGGGTGATGAAATAATCTGTACAACAAACTCCTGTGACATGAGTTTACCTATATAACAAACCTGCACGTGTACCCCTGAATGGAAAACAAAAGCTAAAAAAAGGGATAACAGTTGATTGCTTACCACTAACTCTCCTGAAGATGCTTATGTATGCCTGGCCCTCTTTATGTCCTTTGAGGATGATGGTACTTTTGTTGAAATTATCATTTCAAATCAGTATTTGGAATTTTCCCTTTACCCACAGCAGAGCCCACCTTGACTGTGATGCTGAATTTTTACTGAGGTCAACTGCTTCTTATTTTCTGTGTGCCACATTTTTTTTTTTTTTTAAAATGCTGGTCAGCCACCAGCCACTGTTTGATTTGCATTTAGTTCAGAATTTGAGAAGTCAGCTGTTTTCTTAGCATTCTGCCATATATCAAGTCTATCTGAACTTCATATTTCATTTTATAGAAGATATTTTAGAGAAAGTTGTGGAAAAAGGAAAAAGTCTGTGGTTGGAGAGCAACTCCAATAAGAAATACGAAACTTTAGTACCAGTGGACCAGTTGTTAGAAGCACAGGTATTTTAAGAACCGCAGATTGTCAAATCAAGATTCCTCATGTCTTCACTACAACTCCTTGTGTAATTGGATGCTTTATTTTTACCTTGTGAGTAACACTATTGGGCTTAATTCATTTTGGCTGTTTATAAGATTGAATTAAAACAAGCAGCCTAGTATTTAAATTTTGTGAACTACAGGTTGGATTTTGGTGGTGATTATACCACTACATACTTTTGTCAATTTCAGTGCTTTGGCATCCATTATTCCATTTTATGTTCACTACATCCCAGAAGGTGGGCAGGGATGATTGCTTTTTCCTCATTCTCTTTGTTTTATAGATAAGGAAATGGAAGATTAGAGAAGAGGAGTGTCATGGCCAAGCTGAAGCACATAGATTTTGTCTAGCTGAGTAGGCAAAATGAAACTAGAATCTAAGTGCCTTGCTTCGACTCCAAGGTTTCCATTTTAAGAAAGTTAGGTCCTATTAAAATGAACAAATTCACAGTACTTGTTAACCATTAAGTGTAAAGATTTAAAAATGGAAAAGTGGATGAGTATTGTATTTTATTTTATTTTATTTTATTTTTGAGACAGAGTCTTGCTTTGTCGCCCAGGCTGGAGTGCAGTGACGCCATTTCGGCTCACTGCAACCTCCACCTCCTGGGTTCAAGCGATTCTCATGCCTCCGCCTTCGCTCCTGGCCTCAAATGATCTGCCTGCCTTGCCCTCCCAAAGTGCTGGGATTACAGGCGTGAGCCACCGTGCCCAGCCCCAGAGTATTTTATATTAATCAGTTTTTCACTGAAGCATCTGGTCAATGCTAAGTCATGGACAAATTGTAATATTGTACCAGCCCTTTCCTATTATATTTGTATATTTATTTGAGATGTTTAATATTGTAAGAAAATTTTGATTCATAATATTGCAAATAAATAGCTGTTGTCTAAATACAGAAACAATAGTTTTCTGCCAACAAAGAGGAAAACATTTAGAGCCAGGTACTGATATTGAAGTTCATTTGGTTTCAAATTGATATTTAAGATAAAATAACTTTCTTTTAAAAATGGAAATTTAATGAGCATTAGATTTCATTTCTAATTACTACCTTAGCTTCTGTAATCTAGCACTACCTAGTTGCTATTCCAGATCTTGAAATTTTTAGGACTACCTTACTCTGAAAGTTATTCTGCTAATCTATCAAAACCAAATGCCAGGAGACTTCCACTGGATGTTACTACCGCTAGACACAGTGCCAGCTTCTTTTTGTCTCATCATTCTGTGCACTTACATAACAAAACTTTGTTAAAGTAGAACCAAACGTTTCATGGAGGAATTGTTATTTAGGCGAATAAGATTTCTGTTTACTAAATCTATGACACTCAGGTAAATATTGTAAGGAATGCTTACACTGTTGAACACCAGCCAGAACACATTAGACAAGTTTTTAATCCAGAAACCTTCTGGTACATGACAGATTGTTTGTATTATTCTCTAGCAAGTGTTAGAATAATTCTAGTTCTCTTCATTTGTTCAGACTTCACTAGGTTAATTGAGAAGGAAAGATTGTTAAATTATTTAAATTAACTAAAGCCAAAATTTCCACTCCACAATTTCCCTAGTTTATTCTATTTTTTTCTGTTTGAAAACTTATTTTTTAATTTAGTGTTTTTTGTTTTTCTTGGCTTCTTAAGTTGGTTTCTTTCTGTAGATTGCTCTTCTTTTTCTCTCCTATCCTGCAGACAACAAGTATTTTGTCACCCATAGCAATTCTTCCTTTGATATGTCTTCTAATTTCTCCTGTCTTTGTCCAGTCCCACTGCTATTGTCTGGATATTCACCTCCTCGGATAAGATTTAGTTTGTTTCTTCCTCCAAACTATTTCATGTCATTCTTCTTTTATTATGTTATTCCTCTGCTCAGAAGTCGTCCTTGACTGGGGTTGTCTTCTGCAGAAAGAATAGCTGCACCTTCAGTTCTCATTCTGTATTCATTGTCCCTGCTTGCTCAGTCTTGCAGTTTCGCAAAAATTATGATTTCCAAAGTATGATGAGCCAAATCATTCCACCAAGCCAGCATTCTCCTATTTCCAGCTACCTATTGGCTTGTTAGTTATATCTGCTTGTGTGTACCACAGGTGGCTCAAGGCCAACATGTCTTTTCGGCCTCTGTGCCCTCTCATCTTTTTTATGTCACCAGGCTCTTGCAAGGATCAACTACGATAATACATATGTAAGCCCTAGATAATCATTGCTCCAGATGCACTTCTAAAAGGGTATGCAGTTAATGGTGGGCAGTGCTGAGCATAACAGAAGCTGAAATTTATATTCTCTTCAAAGGACACTGATAATTTATTTTTTCGTTTAACAAATATTGAATGCTTTCTATGTTCAGTACATTACAAGGTTGCTCCACGTTGCTGCTGGGCTACAACAGTAAATAAAAAGAAAATCTTTGCCCTTTTGGAGCTCACTTTCTATTGTGGGAAAACAAATACAAGAAATATATTTTAAAGAAAACTTCAGTGAGCCCCCCCAAATGAAATGGATTTAATATATTGTGAGATATGTGTTTCACATTTCTGGTTATATTAGGCATTGGGAAGCATTTTTTGCCAAATAATTTTGCAATTTACCTACCCATAAAATTCATTCATTTTAAGTATAGATTTACATGATCTTCAGTCAATTTACAAAGTAGGGCTACTATCACCACATCCAGCTTTAGAATATTTCCATCACCCCAAAAAGATCTGTCATTCCCATTTGCCGTCATTCCTCACTTTTGCCACATTTCAAACCATTAATCTGCTGTTTCCGTAGATTTACATTTTCTGTGCATTTCATCTAAATACAGTAATATACTGTGCAGACTTTTGCATCTAGCATCTTTTTAAATAATAGACTGTTGCATTTATTGATGAATGGGTTGATTTTATTGTATATAAAGTGTCCAGCATGATGTTTTGACAAACATTTAAGGTGAAGAGATTACTACTGTCAAGCAAATGAACATACTTTATCATCTTACATAGGTACCTTTCTTTTTTTTTAATAATGAGAATATCTAAAATCTACTCTTAGCAAATTCCCAGTATAAAATACAGTATCATTAGTGATAGTCTTCATGTTATACATTAGATCTCTACACTTATTCTCCCTGTATAACTACAGCTTTCTACCTTTGACCTGCATCTTCCCATTTTCAATCCCTAGTAATCACATTTTACTCTTTTTATGTTGTGTGTGTGTGTGTGTGTGTGTGTGTGTATATATATATAAAATTTATTTATTTATTTATTTATTTTGAGATGGAGTCTCACTCTGTCGCCCAGGCTGGAGTGCAGTGGCAAGATCTTGGCTCACTGCAAGCTCCACCTCCTGGGTTCACGCCATTCTCCTGCCTCAGCCTCCAGAGTAGCTGAGACTACAGGTGCCCGCCACCACGCCCGGCTAATTTTTTTGTATTTTTAGTAGAGATGGGGTTTCACCGTGTTAGCCAGGATGGTCTCGATCTCCTGACCTCGTGATCTGCCCACCTCGGCCTCTCAAAGTACTAGGATTATAGGCGTGAGCCACCACGCCCAGCCCTCTATGTGTATATTTTTAAGATTCCACATGTAAGTGATTTCATACAGTATGTTTCTTTCTGTGTCTGGCTTATTTTAGTTAGCATAATGTCCTCTAGGTTCATCCATGTTGACTTCTTTTACTTAGCATAATGTTTTTGAGGTTTATTCGTGTCATTGCATGAAATCAGTAGTTCATGCTCATTTATTGCTGAATTGTATTCCATTCTGTGAATAACATTTTATCATTCATTGGATTGTTTCCACTTTTTGGTTATTATGAATAATACTGCAATGAACATTTGTGTACAAATCTGTGTGTAAACATATGTTTTCCTTTTATGGGGGTAGATATCTAGGAGTAGTATTTCTGGGTCATATAGTAAATCTATTTTTAACTTTTAAAGAAACTTTCAAAATGTTTCCCAAAATGGTTGTACCATTTTATATTTTCACCAGTAATGTGTGAGGGATCTATTTTTTCCACATCTCTGGCAACTCTTATCATTGTCTCCCTTTTTAAATCATAACCATTCTCTGTGTGAGAAATGGTATCTCGTAGTTTTTATTTGCATTTTTCTAATGGCTGATGATTTTCAGCATCTTGTCAGTAGTTTATTGGCCATTTATGTGTCTTTCTTGGTGAAATGTCTACTTGAATCTTTCACCCATTTTTTTTCCATTAGGTTGTTTGTCTTAGTTATAAAAGTTCTTTATATATTTTGGAGATAATCCCTTTATCAGAAGTATGATTTGAAAATATTTTCTACCAGTGTGTGGCTGTTCTTTTCACTTTCTTAATACATATTTTAAAGTGGAAACATTTTTAATTTTGATGAAGTCCTAGTTTATCCATTTTTTAAATGTATTGTGCTTTTGGTGTCATACTTAATAACTCTGTCTAACCCAAGGTCACTCTATATTTTCTTCTAAGACTTTTATAATAATAGCTTTTATATTTAGACCTATAATCCATTTTGAGTTCATTTTTTGTGGTGGTGTGAGATAAAAATCTAAATTAAGTTTTTTCCTAGTAAATGTGCAATTGTTCCACCATCATTTGTTGAAAAGACTATTCTTTCCCCGCATTGAGTTGTCTTGGCACAGTTGTCAAAAATTAATTGACCAAAAATATAAGGGAAAATTTATGGACTCTAAATTCTGTTCAGTTGATCTATATTTCTGTCTTTATACAAATACCACATTTTCTTGATTACTGTAGTTTTGTAGGTAAATATAGTAAGTGTAGTTTTATAGTAATTGTAAAACCAGTTAACAAGTGCGAGTCCTTCAGCTTTGTTCTTCTTTTTCCATATTGCTTTGGCTATTTTGGGTCCTTTACATTTTCATGTAAGTTTTAGGATCAGCTTGTCAAAAAATTTGGGAAACATAAGTTTTTTTACAATTATAGTTGGCAGATTTTTTCTGTCAGAGTGATGTTACACTGAGTAATATCTTAGATTGAGAGAAAAATGGTAAAATATCAAATGAGGATACATGCAAAAGAAAGAATGCAGTGAGAGGAATAGGAAGTTCTAGGGCTGGTGGTGCATTGCTAGTTTATAAACAGAATGGTTAGGGAAGTCCTTCATGATATGGTGACTTTTGAGTAGAGTCCTGAAGAAGATGAGGAGTTGAAACTTGGTGATATCTGAAGAAAGTGGTTTAGGCAGAGGAAGAAGAAATTCAAAGGCTCTGAGTGAGGAACATATTGGACTTATTCCAGGAACAAAGATTAGATCATTATATGTGTAGCTTTAGGGAAGTGACAAGGGAGAAGGTGGTAAATGAGATAAGAGGACTTTAATTAGACTTTTGAACCTTATTTCTCTAAAGGTTAAATGAAACAAAAGTTAACGAGTACTTATATAGGGACAATATGGTTCTTCCAAAGACAATGCAAGCATTACATGATATAATTTATCCCCTTACCTATCTTGGTTTACTCCTTGGTCTTACTAAATCTCTGATCTGTTTAGTATGGTATGTATGAAATGGCTTCATAATTTTAATAGAAAGGAATTATTAATTTTTAAATATTATCTGAGCCTTCTTATGGGGAAAAATTCATGCATAATCTTGTTTAGTTCGTAGTACACAACTACTAGAAGTTACGAAACCATCCATGTAACATGAACCACTTTTTTTTTTTAATATATATGCTTTAAATTCTGGGATACATGTGCAGAACGTGCAGGTTTGTTACATAGGTATACATGTGCCATGGTGGTTTGCTGCACCCATCAACCCATCATCTACATTAGGTATTTCTCCTAATGCTATCCCTCCCCTAGCCCCCAGACCCCACAACAGGCCCTGGTGTGTGATGTACCCCTCCCTGTGTCCATGTGTTCTCATTGTTCAACTCCCACTTATGAGATGAACCACCTTTTTGCAACAAAAGATGTAAAGGTATATTTTAGGAAAGTCATGATAGCTTACAATGCATATTGAAGTGAAAGTTCCTCTTCTGATACCTATCTAAAGGGCTGTTATTTAGTTCCCTGATTTTGGTATTATAGTAATGCTTTTGACATTTTACATCTAGGCAGATCTTGTGAGGTACTGTATCATTACTTTGTGTGGACTTCTGTTTCTCACTTCCCAGTTTTCATGAGGACTAGATACCTGCCATGGAACACAGTTATATTCCTAGGTAGATGTAGAGAGCTAGTTAACTCTAAGAGCAACAATGGTTTACACCACTTTTCTTTCTTAGAGCTCAAATAAATCCGTGTATACTTTCAGTATTTGAATATTTTTATAAAAATTCAGAATACTGTTACTAGGTAAGGAGATAATTAGATCCAGTGAGACCTGTAGCTTAGAGAACATTACTAATGGCTAGGACTCTTTTTTATTTTTTCTTCTTGTTCTTTCTTATACATGCTTTCATCTCTTCTAGGTTCTACCTAATTCTTTTCAGTTATGGGTCTCTGCAACCATATGCAGCGTATGTAAATATTCCTCCCTTTATGCAATGCTTTAGAAATTAACCTCGATTTTAAATGCAATAATTAAACTTACTTTGAAAAGAAATTATTTGGGCCAGGCGCAGTGGCTCATGCCTGTAATCCCATCACTTTGGGAGGCCGAGGCGGGTAGATCACCTGAGGTCAGGAGTTTGAGACCAGCCTGGCCAAGATGGCGAAACCCTGTCTCTACTAAATATAAAAATTAGCCGGGTGTGGTGGCACACACCTGTAATCCCAGCTACATGGGAGGCTGAGGCATGAAAATTGCTTGAACCCAGGAGGTGGAAGTTGCAGTGAGCCAAGATTGCACCATTGTACTCCAGCCTGGGTGACAGTGAGACTGTCTCAAAAACAAAAACAAAAAAATAAATTGTTTGCTGAATCTTCTTGCAAAACATTATAATGTATATCCAGACCATCTTACCTGTAAGTCTTGTTTCTTTTGTCAGTGCCTGAAAAGTTTTGCATAAAATTTGTACTTCTGTTTCTGTCCTGTCATTCTGATTACTTCTAGTAAATATGACAGGGTGGTAGTGTTCTTTATTTCTCTTCTTGTGGTAGCCATTATATTTATATTGTTTCATGAACTTAGATGTGAAACAAAATATTCAAATTGAATCCAGATATGTAAACAGAATAACACATCATGACCAAATATTGTTTATCTGAGAATATAAACTTGATTTAATATTTAAAAATCAATATAGACTTCTGCTTCTGCCCACGATAAAGTCAATGGGACTGTATATACCCAGACAGTATATATACCTTCCCACCTGAACAACAGCAACATCACAGATAAAATATACTAAATAATGGTTTTAAAGAAACTGGACATCAAGCACAAAGGATAGTGATCCTTTAGACACAGGAAATAAATAAGGTGAGCTGTAAGATTGCTTCAGCTTACTGCATGGAGCATCTCCTCTGCATTGCATTGCAGGGAGATGGAATTCAAGGGAAATCCAGTGGGTTCACTGAACTGAGGAGACAGAACTGAGATTCTAGGGAGAACAAGGCAGTTAGAGTTGGCCGGACACAGTACTGAAGAGGAGAGAGCTTCAAGAGACCTAGAGATCTGTAGAAGGTATCCTCTGTGTATTCAGCAGTGTGCTCATCAGGCATCATGTGAGGAAACTACTCAGGGCTAGGGAAACACTCATTAGAATGGATTTAATAGTACAGTGCCTGCATTTACACTGTGCTGCAGATAGTGTCTGTTCCTACAGTGCACACTGAAAAAGCTCATTATTCACAGAGCGTCAGGTAGAATACTCAGGAAGGACTTGCTTCAATAGTGGGGAATTATCATCAGTAGATTGAGCACTGTAAATCATAAAACAACTGATGAAAGCAAGACCAAAAGGATCAAACTATTTCCAAATGGTTTAACTGCATACCAGAATAAAACTCAGGGATAATTATAGAAATTTAGAAACACTCAGCACTTCAATATGATTAAAAAGAATAATAATCAATATTTGAAACCAACCCTGAACTGACACAGATATTGGAATTACCAAACAATGATGTTAAAGTGGTTTTTACAACAGTATTCAATATGTCCAAAAAATGAAATAGAAGCTGGATGGTATTTAAAAAACACCCAAGTTTGAATCTCTAGAGGGAAAAATTACGTCTGGGATAAAATATACACTGAATGAGATCAATGGCAGATCGAAGAAAGGAGGAGAAAAGATTAGTGAACTTAAAGACTTAGCAATAGAAATTCTCAAAAATGAAGCCCAAAAGTGATAAAATAAACCAAAATAATGAAAAGAGCATGAACTAGCTGTGCGACAACTTCAGGCAGCCTAATATACATGTAATTTTGAGTCTCCAAAAAGGGACAGGAGGTAGATGAAATAGTTAAATAAATAATGACTAAAAAAATTAGATTTGATGAAAACTGCAATCCTACAGGTGAAAGATGTTTAATGAATCTCAAGTAGAAGAAACAAAAGAATATACATCATAATAAAAAATGAACACACTATAATCAGTTTACTCAAAAGCAGTGGTAAAGAGAATAAAAAATAAGGATAACAAGAGCTCTCATCAGAAACAATGTAAATGAGAGGACAGAAGAACAAAATCTGAAAGAAGAACTTAGATTTCTATACCCACTGAATTATCTTTAGAAAATGAAAGCAAAATAAAGATGTTTTAGATATAAACTAAGCTGAAAGAATGTATTACTAGAAGACCTGAACCACCAGAAATGTTAAAGGAATTTCTTCAGGCAGAAGGAATCAATAAAAGTAATAGAGTTCACATCATATAAAGTATGTTCTTTGACTACAGTGGAATTAAATTAGAAATCAATATTTAAAACATCTGGAAAATCTTAAAATGTTTATAATGTACATACATCTGAATAATTCATGAGTCAAAAAAGAAATGACGATGAATTTGACTAGAATAAAAATGAAGGGTATTAGAATTTGTAGGATGCAGCTAAAGCAGTAGAGAAGAATTTATAGTTTAAATGTCTATATTAGAAAAGAATGATCTCAGTGACCTCAGCATTCACCTTAGGAAAACGGAAAAAGAGCAAATTAATTCCTAAGTAAATAGAAAAGGAGAAATAATAAAGATCTGAGCAGAAATACATGAAATAGAAAAACTGAATAGAGGCTGGGAGAGAGAGAATGAGGGAAGTATTGTGAAAAACTTTATGCCAATAAATTTGACGAATTAGATGAAATGGACAAATTCCATGAAAGACGTAAACTACTAAGGCTTACTGAAGAAATAGGTGATCTATTTCTGTATATAATAACTGTAATATATCTATCAAATAAAACTAATTTTTAGTTTAACGCTTTCTTACAAGGAAAACTTCAGTCTCAAATGGCTTCCCTTTAGAATTTTACATGTTTATGGACGAGATTGTATCAGATCTGTGCAGGTTCTTCCTGAAATTGAAGACAAAATCAAACATTTTTTAATTAAACATTTTTTAGCTTAAAAATATTTAATTGACAAAGATTGTATATATTAAAGGTGTACAATGGATGATTGGGTATATTATATACATGTTACATAATGATTATCACATTTGTCAGCACACATGTTGTGCATTAGATCCCTAGAACTTGTTGATCTTAGAACTGAAAGTTTGTATCCTTTGATCAACATTTCCCCACCCTGCAGTCCTTGACAACCACCATTCTACTCTCTGTTTCTAAGAGTTCTTTTTTTTTTTTTGATTCCACATATAAGTGAGATAATACAGATTTGTCTTTATGTGTTTGGCTTATTTCACTTTACATAATATCCTCCAGGACATTTCATTCATGTTGCTGTAAATGGCTAGATCTTCTTCGTTGTGATTGAATAAAATGTTATTGTATATATTCCACATATTTTCTTTACCCATGCATCTACTGACAGACACTTAGGTTGTTTCCACCCCTTGGCTATTGTGGATGAATGAGGGGGTGCAGATATCTCTTTGAGATATTGATGTGATTCCTTTGGGTATATACCCAGAAGTGGGATTGCTAGATTGTATGATAGTTCTGTTTTAATTTTTTTGAGGAACCACTATACTGTTTTTCATAATGGCTATGTTAATTTACATTCCCATCTTTAGTGTACAAGGATTCTCTTTTCTCTACAACTTCATCAATACTGGTTATCTCTTGTTTTTTTTTTTTTTCTTCCTTTTTTTTTTTTTTTGAAAATAGCCATTCTAACACTTGTGAGGTGATATCTCATTTTACTTTTGATTTGCATTTATTTGATGATTAGTGATACTGAACACCTTTTCATACACCTGTTGCCATATGTATATCTTTGGGAAAATATCTATAGACAGATGTGGTAAAAGGCACCAGCTACTTGGAGTTTGAGGCAGGAGAATTGCTTGCATCCAGGATTTCTGGGCTGTAGTGCATTATGCTGATTGGGTGTCTGCACTAACATGGATGTTAGTATGGTAAACTCCTGGGAGTAGGGGATGACCAACTTGCCTGAAGGAAAGGGTACAAGCCCAGGTTGGAAACAACACAACAAAAGTCTTGTGATGATTAGAATCAAACATTTATAATGCCATTTTTTTTTCTGTAACCTTGTAGGGGAATGAGGCAGAATTTCACCTCTTTCCTTTAAAAAAATCTTTTTATTGATACATAGTAATTATAATCAAATTAGTGTATTTAGAATATTTGTTACCTCAAACACTTATAATTTCTTTGTGTTGGGAATTTTTCATATCTTCTAGCTATTTTGAAATATATAATATATTGTTAACTACAGTCACCCTACTGGGCTGTTGAACACTAGAACTTATTCATTTAACTGTATGTTTGTACCCATTGACAAACCTCTTCATTCCTGCCCACATTTTGTAGCCTCTGGTAAACATTCTACTCTGTGCCTCCATGAGATCCACTTTTTTAGCTCCCACGTATGAGTGACAACATGTGATATTTGTCATTCTGTGCCTGGTGTATTTCACTTAACATAATGACCACTAGATCCAACCATGTTGCACATGGCAGGACTTCCTTTTTTATGGCTGAATAGTATGCCATTGTGTATCTACACCACATTTTCTTTATCCATTCATCCATTGACGGATTGATTTTATATCCTGGCCATTGTGAATAGTGCCCTGATAAATGGGAGTGCCAGTATCTTTTAGATTGATTTCTTTTCCTTTGGATAAATACCCATATTAGTCCCTTTTCACACTGCTGATAAAGACATACCTGAGACTGGGTAATTTATAAAGGAAAGAGTTTTAATTGACTCACAGTTTCGCATGGTTAGGGAGGCCTCAGGAAACTTACAATCATGGTGTCAGGGGAAGCAAATACGTCCTTCTTCACATAATGGCAGGAAGGAGAAGAATGAGTGCCCTGTGAAGGAGGGAGTCCCTTATAAAACCGTCAGATCTCTTGAGAACTAACTTACTATCACGAGAAAAGGATGGGGGAACCACCCCCATGATTCAGTTATCTCCTGCTGGTCCCTCCCATGACATGTGGGGATTATGGGAACTACAATTCAGGATGAGATTTGGGTGAGAACACAGCCAAACCATATCAAATACCCAGTAGTGTGATTGCTGGGCCATATGGTAGTTCTGTTTTCAGTTGTTTTGAGAATTCTCTTACTGTTTTCCATAATGGCTGTACTAATTTACGTTCCCACTACAGTGTGTAAGAGTTGCCTTTTCTCCACATTCTCACCAGAATTTTTTTATATTAACCATTCTAACTGAGGAGAGATGATATTTCATTATAGTTTTGATTTGCATTTCCCTGGTGATTAGTGATGTTGAGCATGTCTTCATTTACCTCCTGGCCATTTGTATGTCTTCCTTTTTACTTTCATTTTTCTTTTGAGACAAGGTCTCTGCCACCCAGGCTGGAGTGCAGTGGCACAGTAATAGCTCACTGCAGCCTCAAACTCCTGAGCTCAAGAAATCCTCCCAACTCAGTCTCTGGAGTAGCTGAGGCTACAGGCACACATCACCATGCCTACCTCTGTTTTTAAAAGAAATAGATTTCAGGGGTACAAGTGAAGTTGTTTTCCATGGATGTAGTGTGTAAGGTGAAGTCTGAGCTTTTAGTGTAACTGTCACCTGAGTAGTGTACATTGTACTCATAAGGCTTCATTTATTTGTATAGTTTATTGTAGAATCCCTCTTGGAATTATTTCTACCTTTATCCTGCTTTTGTCCGAGAAGATACTTTCTATGATTTCAATTTTTTTTTTTTTTTGAGACGGAGTCTCTCTCTGTTGCCAGGCTGGAGTGCAGTGGCACTATCTTGGCTCACTGCAACCTCCACCTCCTAGGTTCAAGTGATTCTCCTGCCTCAGCCTCCCGAGTAGTTGGGACAACAGGTGTGCACCACCACGCCCAGCTAATTTTTGTATTTTTAGTAGAGACGGGGTTTCACCATGTTGGCCAGGATGGTCTTGATCTTTTGACCTCAAGTGATCCACGTGCCTCGGCCTCCCAAAGTCCTGGGATTACAGGCGTGAGCCACTGTGCCCAGCCATGATTTCAATTTTTAAAAAATTTATTGCGACTAATTTTGTGTCCTGATATATAGCCCATCTTGGAAAATGTTCCATATGCTGATGAGAAGAATGCACATTTTGTGGTTATTGGGTAGAGTGTTCTATGCATGTCTGTTAGGTCCATTTTGGCCTGGAGTCCAATTTAAGTCCAGGATTTCTTTGTTGATTTCAGTCTCAATTATCTGTCTAGTGTTGTCAGTGGGGTGGTGAAGTTCCCCATTGTTATTCTATTGCTGTCTGTTTTCTTAGGTCAAGTAGTATTTGTTTAATAAATCAAGGTGCTCTGGTTTTGGGGCATGTATATTTAGGATTGTTATAACTTCTTGTTGAATTGTTCTCTTTATCCTTATATAATGACCTCCTTTATCTTTTTCTATTGTTGTTGATTTGAAGTCTTTTTTATCTAATATAAATATAGCCACTTCTGCTTACTTTTGGTTTCTGTTGGCATGGTATATCCCTTTCCACCCCTTTACATTGAGTCTATAAATGTCTTTACAAGTTAGATGGGTTTCTTGTAAGCAGTATATGGTTGGATCCTGTTTTTAAAATTTATTCCACCAATATGTATCATTTAAATGGTGCATTTAATCCATTTATATTCAAAGTTAATATTGATACATGAGGTTTTGTTCCTGTCATAATGTTAACTGTTGCCTAGTTGCTTTGTAGTCTCAATTTTGTAATTGTTTTATAAGGCCTCTGAGTTTTATACTTTTTGTGTTTTTATGATGGCAAGTATCAACCTTTTGTTTTCATGTTTAGAACTCTGTTGAACACTTGTTTTAGTACTGATCTAGTGGTGATTAATTCCCTTAGTGTTTGCTTGTCTAGAAAAGACTTTGTCATTCATGATGAAACTTAGTTTAGCAGGATAAAAAATTCATGATTGACACTTTTTTATTTAAGAACTATGAAGCCGGGCACAGTGGCTTACACCTGTAATCCCAGCACTTTGGGAGGCCGAGGTGGGCGGATCACGAGGTCAGGAGATCAAGACCATCTGGCTAACACGGTGAAACACCATGTCTACTAAAAATACAAAAAAACTTAGCTGGGCATGGTGGCGGGCGCCTGTAGTCCCAGCTACTCTGGAGGCTGAGGCAGGAGAATGGTGTAAACCCGGGAGGCGGAGCTTCCAGTGAGCCGAGATAGCGCCACTGCACTCCAGCCTGAGCAACAGAGCAAGACTCCATCTTAAAAAAGAAAAGAAAAGAAAAGAAAAGAAAAAAACTATGAAAATAGGACCCAGTCTCTTCTGGCTTATAAAGTTTCTGCCGAGAAGTCTGCTGTCAGTCTGATGTGACTCATTTATAGGTGATTATATGCTTTTATTTTGCTGATTTTAGGATTTTTTCCTTTACGTTCACTTTAGATAGTTGGATGACTATGTCTTGCTGAGGTCTGTCTTGCAGTATATCTTTATGGAGTTCTCTGAGCTTCTCATATCTGGATATCTAAATCTCTAGCAAGACTATGGAAATTTTCCTCAATTATTTCCTCAAATAGGTATACCAAAACTTTTTCTTTTTCTTCTCCATTTGGAATATTTATAACACATAGGTTTGGATATATTACATAATCCTTTACTTCTTGAAGGCTTTTCACTTTTTAAATCTTTTTTCTTTATTTTTGTCTGTTTGGGTTAATTAGAAAGACCTGTCTTCAAGCTCTGAGATTCTTTCCTCTGCTTGTTCTAGTCTATTGTCTTCAGTGAACATTTTATTTCCAGAAGTTCTATTTGGTTTTTCTAAAAAGTGTGTATCTCTTCAGTAAATTTTTCATTTATGTCCTAAATATTTTTTTCTGATTTCTTTGTGTTGGTTTTCAACTTTTTCTTAGATCTCATTGAGCCTTTTTTTTTTTTAATTTAAAACAGGGTATCACTCTCTTGCCCAGACTGCAGTGCAGTGGTGCAAAAATAGCTCACTGCAGCCATGAACTCCTGGGGTCAAGTGATCCTTCAGCCTCCCAAGTTTCTGGGACTACAGGCACATACTACCACACTCATCTAATTTTTATATATATATATATATATATATATATATATATATATATATATATATATATATATAATGTGTGTGTGTGTGTGTGTATATATATATATTTTTTTTATTTTAATTTTTAATTTTTTTTTTTTGAGATAGGGGACTCACTATGTTTCCCATGCTGGTCTTGAACTCCTGGCCTCAAGTGATCCTCTGGCTTTGTCCTCCCAAAGTGATGGGATTACAGCTGTGTGTCATCATGCTCAGCCCCACTGAGATTATTTAAAATCAGTTTTGAAATCTTTATCTGGTATTTCAAAGATTTCATTTTGGTTAGTATGATCTATTGCTGAGGAATTAGTGTGATCCTTTGGGGGTGTTGTAATGCTGTTTTTTTATATTTTCAGAATTGTTTCTCTGTTTCCTTCTTTTCTAAATAAACTATTTTTCTTATTTTTGAATTTACTTATGTTGGATGGTATTAGTTTTTCCCCTTGAAGATGTGACTATAATGTATGTTGTATAGGGTCATTAGGTTCTGGATGCTTTTAGTGGTAAAGACTATATGAACTCCTTGTAATAGACAACCTTTGTGGGGTGGTTTTCTTAAATGCTGGTTGTAGTAACAATGCACTAGATGTATGAACAGTCTCACTCCCTCTTGCGGGACCAGGTTGGCGAGGTCTCAGGAAACTAACCTTGTTTCCTGGTGCTGTGCACTTGTGTCAGCAGATTTTATATTGGGTTTTGCAGTTCAACCTGTAGGCCAGTAGGTGGCGCTTACAGGTAAGGGCTGGCTGAGGCAGAAGCAGATGTGTATATGCTAGACAGATAAAGGACTTTATTTACCAGAAGCAGCTCTCTGTTGCCTCAGGAACTGGGCTGGTCTATAGAATACACAGTGGCCTTAGATCCCTGCTCAGTAACTGAGGTGGGGAACAAAGCCAGGCAGATCTGAACCCCCATGCTTACTCTCAGATACCCCAGTGCCAGGCACAAGCACCAGCACTGATTAGACTGGCAAGGGGAGCTCCTGGTGAAATCTGCTGAGGTCCCCACAGGAGGTGGGGTTGCTGCCCCAGCTCCATGACCTATACAGGCAGGAATATGATCCACTTCCCTGTCATGCTCTTGTCCAGTGCTCGGAACACTCAGATTGGACAGACAATGCTTTCTATCTCCAGGCTGCAGTGTAGCCAAGAGCTGTGAAGATATCTATCTTGTGGCTCACAGTCAAAATGTCTTCTTTGTGGAACTTCCTCCCTCATCCCAAAGCACACAGCTCTGTGGTTGTCCTGCTCTTCACTGCAGGTATGCTGCTACTGGGAGGGGCCCTGCATTTTGTGCAAGGCTGGGCCTGATGGGCACACCACCAGTGGGGATGCTGCTGCCCCCTAATCGCCCTAGAATAGGCATCCTCCAGTGTGCCTTTGCCAGCCTCCTGCAGGAGTAGCCATGGCTTTGTGTGCAGTGGTGGGTAATGGTGGGAGAGAAGTCTCCCTCTCTGTATCTGCGCCTGAGCACTGAGGCTGCCTGGCTCCTGGGATGGAACCACACTCTTCCCTTTTAGAACTAAGCACAACATCTGCATTTCCACTGGAAGTGGTGCAGTCACTTCTACCCCACAGATGGGCAGCTCTAAGGCAAGGGAAAGCATGCACTGTGGTCTCTTTTGTCTCAAGGGGTGCCCCTTTGGCGGGTTGCACTCTTGCCTTAGGAACAACATTCCCTGAGGACTGGGACACTGGGAACCCTGAAGCTCTCCTCGGTTCAGCCAGCCCTGTGTGCCTGCTGCAATTCATGTGGGTGCGGAGAAATGTCTGCTAGGACTCCAGTGATGTGGAAACACAAGCACTGAGGTTTCCTGGTGGATTTATTTCTAGTTTCTCTATGCTGTTATATTGGTTATGTGTCTGTTTTTGTACCAGTACCATGCTGTTTTGGTTACTATAGCTTTGTAGTGTATTTTGAAATCAGGTAATGTGATGCCTATAGCTTTGTTCTCTTTGCTCAGGGTTGCTTTGGCTATTTTTTTTTTTTTAATTCCATACAAGTTTTAGCATGGTTTTCCTATTTCTGTGAATAATGTCATTGGTATTTTGATAGGGATTTCACTGAATCTGTAGGTTTTGGGGGAAGTATGGTCATTTTAACAATATTCTTACAATCCGTGGCATTCAGTGTGTTTCTTTTTTTTTTTTTTTTTTTTTTTTGCAGTTCCAACCTTTTATTTTTGCAGACTTAAATTTCTTTTTTTTTTTTGTAGTTTTCTTTTTTTTTTTCTTTTATTATTATACTTTAAGTTTTAGGGTATGTGTGCACATTGTGCAGGTTAGTTGCATATGTATACATGTGCCACGCTGGTGCGCTGCACCCACTAACTCGTCATCTAGCCTTAGGTATATCTCCCAGTGCTATCCCTCCCCCCTCCCCCCACCCCAAAACAGTCCCCAGAGTGTGATGTTCCCCTTCCTGTGTCCATGTGATCTCATTGTTCAATTCCCACCTATGAGTGAGAATATGCGGTGTTTGGTTTTTTGTTCTTGCGATAGTTTACTGAGAATGATGATTTCCAGTTTCATCCATGTCCCTACAAAGGACATGAACTCATCATTTTTTATGGCTGCATAGTATTCCATGGTGTATATGTGCCACATTTTCTTAATCCAGTCTATCATTGTTGGACATTTGGGTTGGTTCCAAGTCTTTGCTATTGTGAATAGTGCCGCAATAAACATACGTGTCCATGTGTCTTTATAGCAGCATGATTTATAGTCCTTTGGGTATATACCCAGTAATGGGATGGCTGGGTCAAATGGTATTTCTAGTTCTAGATCCCTGAGGAATCGCCACACTGACTTCCACAATGGTTGAACTAGTTTACAGTCCCACCAACAGTGTAAAAGTGTTCCTATTTCTCCACATCCTCTCCAGCACCTGTTGTTTCCTGACTTTTTAATGATCGCCATTCTAACTGGTGTGAGATGGTATCTCATTGTGGTTTTGATTTGCATTTCTCTGATGGCCAGTGATGATGAGCATTTTTTCATGTGTTTTTTGGCTGCATAAATGTCTTCTTTTGAGAAGTGTCTGTTCATGTCCTTTGCCCACTTTTTGATGGGGTTGTTTGTTTTTTTCTTGTAAATTTGTTTGAGTTCATTGTAGATTGTGGATATTAGCCCTTTGTCAGATGAGTAGGTTGCAAAAATTTTCTCCCATTTTGTAGGTTGCCTGTTCACTCTGATGGTAGTTTCTTTTGCTGTACAGAAGCTCTTTAGTTTAATTAGATCCCATTTGTCAATTTTGTCTTTTGTTGCCATTGCTTTTAGTGTTTTAGACATGAAGTCCTTGCCCATGCCTATGTCCTGAATGGTATTGCCTAGGTTTTCTTCTAGGGTTTTTATGGTTTTAGGTCTAACGTTTAAGTCTTTAATCCATCTTGAATTGATTTTTGTATAAGGTGTAAGGAAGGGATCCAGTTTCAGCTTTCTGCATATGGCTAGCCAGTTTTCCCAGCACCATTTATTAAATAGGGAATCCTTTCCCCATTGCTTGTTTTTCTCTGGTTTGTCAAAGATCAGATAGTTGTAGATATGCAGCGTTATTTCTGAGGGCTCTGTTCTGTTCCATTGATCTATATCTCTGTTTTGGTACCAGTAGCATGCTGTTTTGGTTACTGTAGCCTTGTAGTATAGTTTGAAGTCAGGTAGTGTGATGTCTCCAGCTTTGTTCTTTTGGCTTAGGATTGACTTGGCGATGCGGGCTCTTTTTTGGTTCCATATGAACTTTAAAGTAGTTTTTTCCAATTCTGTGAAGAAAGGCATCGGTAGCTTGATGGGGATGGCATTGAATCTATAAATTACCTTGGGCAGTATGGCCATTTTCACGATATTGATTCTTCCTACCCATGAGCATGGAATGTTCTTCCATTTGTTTGTATCATCTTTTATTTCATTGAGCAGTGGTTTGTAGTTCTCCTTGAAGAGGTCCTTCACATCCCTTGTAAGTTGTATTCCTAGGTATTTTATTCTCTTTGAAGCAATTGTGAATGGGAGTTCAGTCATGATTTGGCTCTCTGTTTGTCTGTTGTTGGTGTATAAGAATGCTTGTGATTTTTGTACATTGATTTTGTATCCTGAGACTTTGCTGAAGTTGCTTATCAGCTTAAGGAGATTTTGGGCTGAGACAGTGGGATTTTCTAGATATACAATCATGTCATCTGCAAACAGGGACAATTTGACTTCCTCTTTTCCTAATTGAATACCCTTTATTTCCTTCTCCTGCCTAATTGCCCTGGCCAGAACTTCCAACACTATGTTGAATAGGAGTGGTGAGAGAGGGCATCCCTGTCTTGTGCCAGTTTTCAAAGGGAATGCTTCCAGTTTTTGCCCATTCAGTATGATATTGGCTGTGGGTTTGTCATAAATAGCTCTTATTATTTTGAAATATGTCCCATCAATACCTAATTTATTGAGAGTTTTTAGCATGAAGGGTTGTTGAATTTTGTCAAAGGCCTTTTCCGCATCTATTGAGATAATCATGTGGTTTTTGTCTTTGGCTCTGTTTATATGCTGGATTACATTTATTGATTTGGGTATATTGAACCAGCCTTGCATCCCAGGGATGAAGCCCACTTGATCATGGTGGATAAGCTTTTTGATGTGCTGCTGGATTCGTTTTGCCAGTATTTTATTGAGGATTTTTGCATCAATGTTCATCAAGGATATTGGCCTAAAATTCTCTTTTTTTGGTTGTGTCTCTGCCAGGCTTTAGTATCAGAATGATGCTGGCCTCATGAAATGAGTTAGGGAGGATTCCCTCTTTTCCTATAGATTGGAATAGTTTCAGAAGGAATGGTACCAGTTCCTCCTTGTACTTCTGGTAGAATTCCGCTGTGAATCCATCTGGTCCTGGACTCTTTTTGGTTGGTAAGCTATTGATTATTGCCACAATTTCAGATCCTGTTATTGGTCTATTCAGAGATTCAACTTCTTCCTGGTTTAGTCTTGGGAGAGTGTATGTGTCGAGGAATTTATCCATTTCTTCTAGATTTTCTAGTTTATTTGCGTAGAGGTGTTTGTAGTATTCTCTGATGGTAGTTTGTATTTCTGTGGGATCGGTGGTGATATCCCCTTTATCATTTTTTATTGCGTCTATTTGATTCTTCTCTCTTTTTTTCTTTATTAGTCTTGCTAGTGGTCTATCTTTTTTGTTGATCCTTTCAAAAAACCAGCTCCTGGATTCATTAATTTTTTGAAGGGTTTTTTGTGTCTCTATTTCCTTCAGTTCTGCTCTGATTTTAGTTATTTCTTGCCTTCTGCTAGCTTTTGAATGTGTTTGCTCTTGCTTTTCTAGTTCTTTTAATTGTGATGTTAGGGTGTCAATTTTGGATCTTTCCTGCTTTCTCTTGTGGGCATTTAGTGCTATAAATTTCCCACTACACACTGCTTTCAATGTGTCCCAGAGATTCTGGTATGTTGTGTCTTTGTTCTCGTTGGTTTCAAAGGACATCTTTATTTCTGCCTTCATTTCGTTATGTACCCAGTAGTCATTCAGGAGCAGGTTGTTCAGTTTCCATGTAGTTGAGCGGTTTTGAGTGAGATTCTTAATCCTGAGTTCTAGTTTGATTGCACTGTGGTCTGAGAGAAAGTTTGTTATAATTTCTGTTCTTTTACATTTGCTGAGGAGAGCTTTACTTCCAAGTATTTGGTCAATTTTGGAATAGGTGTGGTGTGGTGCTGAAAAAAATGTATATTCTGTTGATTTGGGGTGGAGAGTTCTCTAGATGTCTATTAGGTCTGCTTGGTGCAGAGCTGAGTTCAATTGCTGGGTATCCTTGTTGACTTTCTGTCTTGTTGATCTGTCTAATGTTGACAGTGGGGTGTTAAAGTCTCCCATTATTAATGTGTGGGAGTCTAAGTCTCTTTGTAGGTCACTCAGGACTTGCTTTATGAATCTGGGTGCTCCTGTATTGGATGCATATATATTTAGGATAGTTAGCTCTTCTTGTTGAATTGATCCCTTTACCATTATGTAATGGCCTTCTTTGTCTCTTTTGATCTTTATTGGTTTAAAGTCTGTTTTATCAGAGACTAGGATTGCAACCCCTGCCTTTTTTTGTTTTCCATTTGCTTGGTAGATCTTCCTCCATCCTTTTATTTTGAGCCTATGTGTGTCTCTGCATGTGAGATGGGTTTCCTGAATACAGCACACTGATGGGTCTTGACTCTTTATCCAATTTGCCAGTCTGTGTCTTTTAATTGGAGCATTTAGTCCATTTACATTTAAAGTTAATATTGTTATGTGTGAATTTGATCCTGTAATGATGATGTTAGCTGGTTATTTTGCTCATTAGTTGATGCAGTTTCTTCCTAGTCTCGATGGTCTTTACATTTTGGCATGATTTTGCAGCGGCTGGTACCGGTTGTTCCTTTCCATGTTTAGCACTTCCTTCAGGAGCTCTTGTAAGGCAGGCCTGGTGGTGACAAAATCTCTCAGCATTTGCTTGTCTGTAAAGTATTGTATTTCTCCTTCACTTATGAAGCTTAGTTTGGCTGGATATGAAATTCTGGGTTGAAAATTCTTTTCTTTAAGAATGTTGAATATTGGCCCCCACTGTCTTCTGGCTTGTAGGGTTTCTGCCAAGAGATCCCCTGTTAGTCTGATGGGCTTCCCTTTGAGGGTAACCCGACCTTTCTCTTTGGCTACCCTTAACATTTTTTCCTTCATTTCAACTTTGGTGAATCTGACAACTATGTGTCTTGGAGTTGCTCTTCTCGAGGAGTATCTTTGTGGTGGTCTCTGTATTTCCTGAATCTGAACGTTGGCCTGCCTTGCTAGATTGGGGAAGTTCTCCTGGAAAATATCCTGCAGAGTGTTTTCCAACTTGGTTCCATTCTCCCCGTCACTTTCAGGTACACCAATCAGACGTAGATTTGGTCTTTTCACATAGTCCCATATTTCTTGGAGGCTTTGCTCATTTCTTTTTATTCTTTTTTCTCTAAACTTCCCTTCTCGCTTCATTTCATTCATTTCATCTTCCATCGCTGATACCCTTTCTTCCAGTTGATCGCATCGGCTCCTGAGGCTTCTGCATTCTTCCCGTTGTTCTCGAGCCTTGGTTTTCAGCTCCATCAGCTCCTTTAAGCACTTCTCTGTATTGGTTATTCTAGTTATACCTTCTTCTAAATTTTTTTCAAAGTTTTCAACTTCTTTGCCTTTGGTTTGAGTGTCCTCCCGTAGCTCAGAGTAATTTGATCGTCTGAAGCCTTCTTCTCTCAGCTCGTCAAAGTCATTCTCCATCCAACTTTGTTCCATTGCTGGTGAGGAACTGCGTTCCTTTGGAGGAGGAGAGGTGCTCTGCTTTTTAGAGTTTCCAGTTTTTCTGTTCTGTTTTTTCCCCATCTTTGTGGTTTTATCTACTTTTGGTCTTTGATGATGGTGATGTACAGATGGGTTTTTGGTGTGGATGTCCTTTCTGTTTGTTAGTTTTCCTTCTAACAGGCAGGACCCTCAGCTGCAGGTCTGTTGGAGTACCCTGCCGTGTGAGGTGTCAGTGTGCCCCTGCTGGGGGGGTGCCTCCCAGTTAGGCTGCTCGGGGGTCAGGTGTCAGGGACCCTCTTGAGGAGGCAGTCTGCCCGTTCTCAGATCTCCAGCTGCGTACTGGGAGAACCACTGCTCTCTTCAAAGCTGTCAGACAGGGACATTTAAGTCTGCAGAGGTTACTGCTGTCTTTTTGTTTGTCTGTGCCCTGCCCCCAGAGGTGGAGCCTACAGAGGCAGGCAGGCCTCCTTGAGCTGTGGTGGGCTCCACCCAGTTGGAGCTTCTTGGCTGCTTTGTTTACCTAAGCAAGCCTGGGCAATGGCGGGCGCCCCTCCCCCAGCCTCGCTGCCGCCTTGCAGTTTGATCTGAAACTGCTGTGCTAGCAATCAGTGAGTCTCCGTGGGCGTAGGACCCTCCGAGCCACGTGCGGGATATAATCTTGTGGTGTGCCGTTTTTTAAGCCCGTCGGAAAAGCGCAGTATTCGGGTGGGAGTGACCCGATTTTCCAGGTGCTGTCCGTCACCCCTTTCTTTGACTAGGAAAGGGAACTCCCTGACCCCTTGCGCTTCCCGAGTGAGGCAATGCCTTACCCTGCTTCGGCTCGCGTACGGTGCGCACACCCACTGACCTGCGCCCACTGTCTGGCACTCCCTAGTGAGATGAACCCGGTACCTCAGATGGAAATGCAGAAATCACCCGTCTTCTGCGCCGCTCACGCTGGGAGCTGTAGACCGGAGCTGTTCCTATTCGGCCATCTTGGCTCCTCCCCCAGTGTGTTTCAATTTGTTTGTGTCTTCTTCAACTACTTTAGTCAGTGTTTTGTAGTTTCCTTGTAGAGGTCTTTTACTTCCTTAGTTAAATTTATTTCTAGGTTTTTAATTGTTTTGGTAGCTATTGTAAATGGGATTGTGATATAGTTCAGATATTTGTCCCCTCCAAAGCTCATGTTGAAATGTTATCCCAATATTGGAGATAGGGCTCAGTGGGAGGTGTTTGGGTCATGGGGGTGGATCTCTCATGAATGTTTTGCTGCCCTCCACATTATAAGAGAGTTCTTGCTCTGTTAGTTTATATGAGCTCTGGGTGTTAAAGAGTCTGGGACTTCCTCCCCTCCTGCTCTCTTGCGCCATCTCTGGCTGTGTCACACTTGAACTCCCCTTTCCCATTTGCCATGATTGGAAGCTCCCTAAATCCCTCACCCGAAACAGATGCTGGTGCCATGCTTCTTGTGCAGCCTGCAGAACCACAAAACAAATAAGCCTCTTTTTAAAAAAAATAAATTACCCAGCCTCAGGTATACATTTATGGCAACAGACTGACACAGATTGCTTTCTCGATTTCTTCTTCAGCTAGTTTCTTTTTGATATATAGAAATGGTACTGATTTTTGTGTATTGATTTTGCATCCTACAACTTGACTGAATTCATTTATTAGTTCTAAGAGTGTTTTGGTGGTGTCTTTAGCTTTTTCTATATATGTAAGGTTATGTCATCTACAAAGAGAGACAACTTGATTTTCTGTTTCCCGACTTGTATGCCTTTTCTTTCTTTCTCTTGCCTGATTACTCTAGCTAGGCTTTCTAGTACTGTGTTGAACAAGAATGTTCAAAGTGGGCATCTGTGTCTTGTTCCAGTTCTTAGAGGAAAGGCTTTCAGCTTTTCCCCATTCCAGTATGATGTTAGCTGTGGATTTTTCATGTATTGACTTCATTATTTTGAGATATGTTCCTTCAATGCGTAATTTGTTGAGGGTTTTTGTGATGCAGGTTTGTTGAATTTTATTAAATGCTTTTTCTGCGTCTATTGAGATGATAATATGGCTTTTGTCCTTCATTCTGTTGCTGTGATGTATCACATTTATTGGCTTGCAGATGTTGAATCATGCTTACATTTCTGGGATAAATTCTATTTGACTATGGCTTATTATCTTTTTGATGTGTTGTTGCATACAGTTTGCTAGTATTTTGTTGAGGATTTTTGTGTCTGTGATCATCAGGGATATTGTCCTGTAGTTTTCTCTTTTTTGTGTGTGTTCTTGTCTGGTTTTGCTATTTGATGATGCTGGCCTCATAGAGTAAGTTGGGAAGAATTTTCCCTGCTTCAGTTTTTTGAAATAGTTTGAGAAGAACTGGTGTTAGTTTTTCTTTATAAGTTTGATAGAGTTCAACAATAAAGCCATGCATTCCTGTGCTTTTCCTTATTGGGATACTTTTTATAATTGATTCAGTCTTATTACTTGTTACTGGTTTATTCGGGTTTTCTTTGTCTTTCTGGTTCAATCTTGGTAGGTTGTATATGTCTAGGAATTTATCAGTTTTCTGTAGGTTTTCTAATTTGTTAGTATATAGTTCATAATTCTCTGTAATTATACTTTATATTGCTTTGGTATCAGCTATAATATCTCCTTTTTCATTTCTGATTTTATTTATTTGGGTCTTCTCTCTTTTTTTTGGTTAGTCTAGATAGTGGTTTGTTGATTTTGTTTATCTTTTTGAAAAAAACAGCTTTTTGTTTTGTTGATCCTTTGTATTACCTTTCATCTGTATTTTGTTTAGCCCTGCTCTCATTTTTATTATTTGTTTCCATCCACTAATTTTGGATTTGGTTTGTTCTTTTCTCTGTCCTTGAGGTGCATCATTAGGTTGTTTATTATAAGTTATTCCACATTTTTATGTAGTAGGCATTTATTGCTATAAACTTCCCTCTTAGCACAGCTTTTGCTGTATCCCATAGGTTTAGGTATAGTGTATTTTAATTTTCATTTGTTTCAAGAAAGTTTATTTTTCATTTCTTTATTGACCCAGTGGTCATTCAAGAGCATGTTTAATTTGCATGTATTTGTACAATTTAAAAAGTTTTTCTTGTTATTGATTTCTAGTTTTATTCCATTGTGACAGATCACAGTATATCCGATAGCTTACTTATATGATTTCAATTTTTAAAATTTTGTTGAAATTGTTTTGTGACTTACCAGATGGCCTAGCCTAGAGAATGTTATATGTACTGATGAAAAGAAAGTGTATCCTGCAGCTGTTGGAGAAAATGTTCTGTCTTATCTATTCCATCTAAAGTGTAGTTTAAATCCAATGTTTCTTTGTTGATTTTATGTCTCAATGATCCATCCAATGCTGAGAGTGGGCTGTTGTAGTCCTTAACTATGTTGTATTGGAGTCTGCTGTTTCTTTAGATCTAATAATATTTGCTTTATACATCTGAGTGATCCAGTATTAGGTGCACATATATTTACAATAATTATATCCTCCTGCTGAACTGACCCCCTTTTCATTGTGTAATGACTTTCTTTATCTCTTTTTAAAAATAGTTTTTGACTTAAAGTTTGTTTGATATAATGTAAGTATAGCTATTCCTGCTTGCTTTTGATTTCCATTTGCATGAAGTATCTTTTTTCATCCCGTTACTTTCAATCTATGTTTTGTTTTTTATTTATTTTATTTATTTTATTTTTGAGATGGAGTCTCTCTCTGTCGCCCAGGCTGGAGTGCATTGGCACGATCTTGGCTCACTGCAACCTCTGCCTTCTGGATTCAAGCAGCTCTCCTGTCTCAGCTTCCCAGTAGCTGGGACTACAGGAGCATGCCACCATGCCCAGTTAATTTTTGTATTTTTAGTAGAGATGAGGTTTCACTGTGTTGGCCAGGCTGATCTTGAACTCTTGACCTCAGGTGATCCACCTGCCTCTGCCTCCCAAAGTGCTGGGATTACAGGGGTGAACCACTGCCCCTGGCCTTAGTCTATGTTTCTTGCGAAGTGAATTTCTAGTAGGCAGCATATAGCTGTGTCATATTTTTAAAAAATCCATTCGGTCTGTATATTTTAAGTGGGGAATTTAATCTACTTATGCTCAAAGTTATTGATAGAGAGGTCATATTCTTTTTGTTAATTGTTTGCTGGTTATTTTTCATACTTTTATTTCTTCCTGTATTTTTGTTTATCACCGCAATTTGGTGGTTTTCTGTAGTAATGATGGCAGTGGCAGGCCTTTTGAAGCAGCCACTGCCATCGTGCTGGCTGCAGTGGGGAGGTGCAAGCAGTGGTGGCAGGAATGGCTGCTGCAGGAGCAGCATTGGTGGTGGTGGGACCCCTGTGCCTCATGTCCCCAAGGCAGCCGACTGCATCAGCCCTAGTCCTGGAGCCTCCACCACTCCAGACCCTGGCCCTGTGTTGCTGCTCTCACCTGCTGCTGCTGCAGAGAGGGTACAGGGAGGAGGTGGAGCTGGGCCTGGGCAGTGCTAGGCTCCACGGAGCCAGCGGGAGCCAGGGACAAGTGGGAGCTCCACCAGAGCCCACTGCCCTCGGGGTCACTGCAGTGGGGCTGGGCTGAGCTGCCTGCCAGTGGAGACGCAGTGTGGTCAGGCACAGAGGAGTGGGCAGAGAGGGGCCCAGCAAGGGGACCTGGAGCTCCTGCCCCAGGCTGCAAGGAGGCCCAGCCAGGGCTGCCTGCATGCTCCACTGAGTGGGAGGGAGTGGGTGGGAGCCCCACTTTCCCAGGTGCAGGACCTGGGCATCTCTGCACTCTTGGGCACCTGGGAAGACCGCTCATTCCCCAACAGGTTCAAGGGTTTCTGCTCTCACTGCCTGGCCTCTCCCTGTCCCCATTACCTGCTCAGATCTTGGAGCAGGGTTCGGGCCAAGCCCAGGCACTGTCACAGCCCAGCCAGGTGTGTGCATGCTTGAGGCAGTGCCGGCATACCAGACCTCTGCTGCCTCGGCCCCCTCTGGACTTTGGGTGCCCCCTCTGGACTTTGGGTACACAGGGGGTAGGGATGAGGTGGGGCTGAGGGCGGCTCTGGTGCTGGCCTGCAGGTGCCCCTTGGAGCAAGCAGTCTCAGTGCTATGATGACAGGA
This sequence comes from Homo sapiens, assembly GCF_000001405.40. Classification (NCBI taxonomy): domain Eukaryota; kingdom Metazoa; phylum Chordata; class Mammalia; order Primates; family Hominidae; genus Homo; species Homo sapiens. The sequence continues at coordinate 50,983,268 of NC_000003.12, forward strand.
GGAGGCAGACAGGCTCCTGGGTGGAAGGGGGTGGGTCCCTGATGAGGCCCCACCTTCAGGCTAGGGAGGACCTGAAGGCTGGGGGCTGGACTGCTAGTTGAGGAACTTGTGGTACCTTTTCTGGGCCCACCCATGGCCGCCTCTGGACCAGTCATACACATTTCCTCCCCTCTGTGGCCCATAAAAGCCCAGGCTCAGCCAGAGCTGGACAGACGATGGGATGACCAGTTGCAGAGAGGAGCTACCCTTTCTGCTGAAAGTTGAGCACTAGTCAGGATAGCCTGCCTAGCAGAGAGGAGCTACCTACCCTCTCTGTTAGGAGCTGAACACTCATTGGGATACCCTTGCTGCAGAGAGCAGCTGCCCACTGTGAGTCTCCTCTGAGCTGTTCTATTGCCCAATAAAGATTCCCTTTGTCTTGCTCATCCTCCACTTGCCTGCATATCTCATTCTTCCTGGTCACAGAACAAGAACCCAGGACCCGCCAAACTGGTGAGGCTAAAAGAGCTATAACACAAACAGGGCTGAAACATGCCCCTTGCTCACCATGTTGCAGATGAAGAGAAGAGCTGCAGCTCTTTGGGGAGCCCAGTCCTGGGGTATGACTCGAGCCAGGGCTATGACTGTCTCTTTGGGGCCTTCCTGTTCTTGGTGTCTCCAGGCTTCCTGTTGCCACTCTGTTCCCTGGTGCCAGCTTTGGAAGCTGCTTGTGGTGCACCTGGTCCAGCCACAGCCTCATGGAGAGCCGGCAGCCTGCCGTGCTGCAGCAGCCAGTATGTCTGACTGCACAGTTGCCAGACCCCACACTTGCTCACACACCCCTTGCCACTCCATGCCTTACTTGCCCTTGGCAGGTGTGGGATCCAGGCCAGTTGCATGAGCCAAGCGCAGCCTGCCAGGCTGAGTGGCAGAACGAACCCAGTGGGCCCAAGCAAAACTCGAGCAAAGGTGCCACTGGCCACAAAGGTTTCCAGTCAGAAAAGCAACACCCCAAAGATCCTGTAACAGTAACATTTGAGTTCTTTCTCATTTGTTTGCTTGCTCTACCAGGGAGTTTTATACTCTTGTGTGTTTTCATGATGGTACATACCATCCTTCCACTTCCAGATGCAGGACTCTCCTAAGCCATATCTTGTAGGGTCAGTGTAGTGGTGATGAGTTCCCTCAATTTTTGCTTGTCTGGTAGAGACTATTTCTCTCTCATTTTTGAAGGATAGCTTTGCTTCATATAGTACTTTTGGCTGGCATTTTTTTCTTTCTGCACTTTGAATATGCCATCCTCTTTTATCCTGGCTTAAGGAGAAAAGATTCCTGCTGAGAATACCACTGTTAGTCTGATGGGGGTTTTCTTATATGTTACTTTATTCATTTCTCTTGCTATAAACTTCAGACTGAAAGGGACTCCTGAATGTCAGGTAAAAATAACTAAAACTGCACATATCTATATGTATAGTTGGCCTCTGTATTCATGGGTTCTGTATCTGAGGATTCAGCTGACCACGGATTGAAAATGTTTGAACAACAACAAAATAAAAAATAAATAAAACAAAACAGAAATTTAAAAATAATATAAGAACTATTGACATAGCATTTACATTTGTTATTAGATATTGTAAGTAACCTAGAGATGATTGGAAGTACATGTGTGGATGTGAGTAAGTTGTGTGCAAATACTGTGCCGTTTTATGTAAGTGACGAGTATCTATGGGTTTTGGTATTCAAGGGGGTCCTAGGGCCAGCTCTCCATGGATACCGAGGGATGACTGTGTACCCATGTAAATACACTTACATTCACACATATGTATAAGTCTTAAATACATAAAAATAGAACCACATTATATGTATTTTTATGAGACTTACTTCTTTCACTTTTGTATTCCTGAATTGTCAGAATTTTTACAAGCAATCACCAAAAATTTTAAAACTGAATGTGTATTGACATATGGATGCATATTAGGTTTTTCTGTATTGCACATATGCTTTTAAATTTTGATTACTATTAAAAGCCTACAGTGAAAATGTGTATACAAATTTTCTGCTGTATCCTCAGTTGTCCTTTTAAAGCAGATTTGTACAAGAGTAATTTTTGCTTTTTAGCAACATTTTTTCATTTAAATGCCTATGGATATGTCATGTGAATCTAATTTTTTCTTCCTGTATCCTCACATTAAATATTAATATTTTTATTGTTTCTATTTAATAGATTAAAAACCCCTCTGGCAATTTTAACAGACATTGTAGAGACACTTTGTTCTGGTTGCATAGCTTTTAATCACTTTCAGTGGGATTCAATAGTACATATTTATTTGTTGAACAGGCAGATATTAGGCTACGCATTTAAAATGACAACTCTGCTTCTGGTCAGTTCAAAAAATATATATACTGAGCTCCTACCATGATGTGCCAGGCATTGTGCTGAGCACCATAACATATGATTAAGACAGGTTATTGAACTCAAGAGACCTCTATCATGTCTTAGGTCAGTGTTTTATTTTGACAGGTATGAATGTATTTTCAGAACTATGGAGATAGTATTTTAAATTTAAATTTATTTATTAAATTAAATTAATTAAATTAAATAAATTTATTTAATAAACCCGGGATGTATTGTCTCTGTACGACAGCCATGTGACCCTCTTCTAAGATTTTTTTAGCTAATCTATTTTAAAAGTTTTAAAAATTTTATGCCAATATAGTGTATTTTTCTGCTAGGCATTCTACCTTGTGCTTATTTTTTATTAAATATCTATTTATATATTGTCACTCCCCAGTCTGCAAGTATTTGTACTTTGAACCTTTGAGTCACTATTTCCAGTACAACGTTGATTTGATTCAGTTTCTATTATGTTTAATTAACATTTACTGAGAACCTACCATGTGCCCAGATCCTCCCTTAGGACCCAAGAATACAAGATAAATGACCTATGATTTTTATCCTAGAGTGTATAAAGAGTGGTGGAAGAGGTAGATGAATAAACCAAAAAAAATTATGCAAGTATATAGTTACAATCTAAAGTAAAACCCAAATATATGCCCATTATTTTCTCCTTATCATAAACCCCTTTAATGCTATCTAACAAGTTTGCCTGATAGCCTGTGACATACTTCTCCAAGAATGACAAATGTCAGTGAAATTGTGAAGATTAGTTTGGCTACTATAAATGCTGTGTGTAGAATTCACATGTGACAAATTCACCCACATATCCCATACTCTATTCCTACCCAGTTACACAATGACATTATCCTGGTACAGGATTTTTTAGGCCCATTCCCATCCTTACTAGAATAGCTTTGGAAATTTCAAAGTAAGCCCAATTATAGTTTGCATTGCTTTTCCAAATGTTTCAAATAATCATATTCTTTTGGATTTTCTCTGTTAACATTATACCGAATCTTTTATTTCTGCCTCACACCTGGCATGTTTTATATTTTAAAATGTATATTCTATATTGTATAAATATTTATGAGACAGATTAAATTACCTAGTATAAAAACAATATACTTTTACACAGAACTCTGTATTCCCTCAGTCTAAGCACAGGCTTGCTTTTTACAAGAAAAGATGTTAAAGATCCTGAAGTTGTTCATACTTTTCCCACAAATTAAAGCTCTATGCATCATTTATGAAAGCAGCGTGCTGCTATGATCTTAAGGTGCTGGAGCCTGGAAACCCATTGCCTAGCAACCACATACTAACTCTGTCCGTTCTCCAGGCAACATTCTTCAATTTCTAGTCCATTTGGTCTTTCCTGGTATTTATGTTTTTCAGCCACAGAGATTTTAATGTTTTAACAAAGATAGTTTCTTATCTTTGTGAGTACCTTCCCAAAGGGCCACATGACAAGGGATATGTGTGTTCTTAATTACTGTTTCCTTACGGTCTCTTTGTCACAATACTGGTTTTTTTTGCCATGGAATACACATTGGTAGGATTGAAATGCTAGAATCTGTAATAAGAGTTTCTTTTTTATATTGATTTAATATTTACAAATTCTGTTCATAAAGAATACATTCTAGAAATTTATCCCTGACCTTTTACATTTTATTTTAATGTATTAATAGTGGTAGCTGGTAGTTAGTTATGTTTTTAAATGACCATGTATTAATCATTTGCCTGATCTTATTTAATCCTTAGAACAATCTTATGAGCGAGATGTAATTATTATTCCATTTTTAGAGGAGAATACTGAAGCACAAAAACATTACAACCTACCCAGGGTTACTTTTTATTACTTACTATTTGTGGTTTACAATAGCAACTTAAAAAATTTGGTGGGGGGAGTGGCCAAGATGGCCCACCGGAAGCAACTAGTGTACGTGGCTCTCACAGAAAGGAATGGAAGGGACAAGTAAATAAAACACCTTCAACTGAAACATCCAGGTACTCACATTAGGACTAATCAAGGAAACAATTTGACGCATGGAGAACGAAGAAAAGGCAGGATGGTGGCCCGCCAGGGAGCAACATGTAACCAGGGGAACCTCTCCGGTCCAGAGAAGCGGTGAGTGAATGTGCAACCCTGGGAAACTCATGCTGCTTCCATGGATCTTTGCAACTCTTGGATCAGGAGATCTCCTTGTGAACCCACTCCGCTAGGGCCTTCAGTCTGACAGACAGAGCTACTTGGAGTCTCAGCAGAGCAGTTGCTAAAGCATTCATGGAGACCCTGGAGTCTTAGATATTTGGGCTTTCGGGCAAAAGTAGCTGAAAAGTAGGAGGTTAGACCCCTTAGGAAAGAGGCTGAATCCAGGGAGCTAAGCAGTGACAGTCTGCAGGCTCTACTTCCACAGCACCTCACAAGACCCACTGGCTTGGATTTCCACCCAGCCTCTGGTAGCAGCATTGCACCTCCCTAAGAGGAAGCTCCTGAGGGGAGAGGGAGCTGCCATCTTTGCTGTTTGGGCACCTTAGCCATTCCAGCCTTTGGGCTTTGGAGAGTCTGAGCTCCCCGGGGACAGAAGGGATCCCCCAGCACTGCACAGCTGCTTTATTAAAATGTTGCCACACTGCTGCTTTAAGCAGGTCCCAGATCCCACTCCTCACTGTGTCGTAGCTCCCAATCAGGGACCACCCCCCCACAACCCCTGTTGGTGTTCTCTGGCTGACAGAAATTTGTAACCTCTGTGGGATGGAGCTGCCAGAGGGAGAGGTGGGCCACCATCCTTGCTGTTTGGGCTACTTAGCTGTTCCTACCTTTGGGCTTCAGAGTGTCCGAAGCGACGGGGCCAAAGTGGATGCCCAGCACAGCACAGCTCCTCTACCAAAATGTGGTGAGATTGCTTTTTTAAGTGAATCCCTAATCCCATTCCTCCCTACTGGATGGGACCTCCCAACCAGGGTCTCCAGCCACCTACAGGTGCCTTCAGGCTGGCAACTGGCCCCTGTCTCCCTGGGACAGGCTGCCATCTTTGCCGTTTTGCAGCCGTCACTTGTGACACCTCCAGGTACTGGAAAATCCAAAGTGACTAGGGACTGGAACAGGCCCCAGGCATACCACAGCAGCCCTACGGAAAAGTGGCCAGACTGTTATGTGGTCACCCATTCCCATATATCCTCACTGGGCAGGTCCTCCAGGCCTGTGCCTCCAGCCTCCCCCAGCCAGAGCTATCAAGCGAGTGGCAACTTGGCAACTCCCTGGACAGAGCCTCCAGGGGCAACAGAAAGCCTCTCTGGCACTGTTTCTGCAGTGAAACCACCCTTGCCACCCTCGGACTAAAAAAGAAGCAAAGACCCTATGTGCTTTATCCACACCTGCTACAAGCTGCAGTTGACCCAAGAAGAAGAGGCTGGTCTTTGACCCAAGAAGAAAAGGCTGGTCTGTCTCCTGTGGGTCTCATGCACCGCCCCCTACTGCTTGTCACCAGACAGGAAACCCCTGGCTTGGGCCCACAGCACAGACCCTCCATCCTGGGCTGATTGCACAGAGTAATTGCTGACCTGCATCTCTCTGGGGTGAAGCTCCCAGGAGACACGCAGATGACCTTTCGGCAAAGCTACTACTAAGATTCCTTCCTCTGCTGCCTCCAAGTTGGAGGAGGAACATAAACACTGAGATTGCCCCAGAGCTACAGCGGGCAGGCCAGGAGTACCAAGTCACGATGTACAGCTAGCAGTCAGGGGGGAGAGGAACCCATATTTTTACAGCATTGAGCGGGAACATGGCTGCAACTGTGAGGAAACACAGGGGAGCCACACAACCAAGGAAGCATCTACCAACTGACCAGTAAGCCTAAGTGCCACCAACTGGATTACATCCCGAAGCTTCAACACAAAATACCTCTCTTACATACCCACCTTTGAAACCAGAAAGAAGAAGTCAGCTTCAAATAAAACCCCTGCAGAGTACCTCAGCCCAGTGAAAACATCCAGAAAAGTCTATTGACTGTACTCAATCTACACAGTAGTTAAAGGAACACCCACATGCAGAGATGAGAAAGAACCAATGTAAGAACTCTGGTAACTCAAATGGCCAAAGTGTCATATGTCTTCCAGATGACCACACCAGTTCTCCAACAAGAGTTTTTGACCAGGCTGAACTGACTGGAATGACAGAAATAGAATTTGAATATGGATAGGAACAAAGATAATTGAGAGTCAGGAGGATGGCAAAACCCAATCCAAGGAAAAGAAAAATCACAATAAAGTGATACAGGAGCTGAAGGACAAAATAGCTGATATAAAAAAGAACCTAATGGGTCTGACAGAGCTGAAATAACACAATATAAGAATTTCACAGTACAATCACAAGTATTAATAGCAGAATGAACCAAGCTGAGGAAAAAATCTTGGAATTTAAAGACTGGTTCTCTGAAATAAGACAGTCAGAAAAATAAAGAAAAAAGACTAAAGATGAATGAACAAAACCCCCCAAAAAGTATGAGATTATGTAAAAAGGCCAAATCTGTGAATCATTGGCATCCCTGAAAGGCAGGGGGAGAAAGTAAAAACGACTTGGAAAACATGTTTCAGGATATCATTCATGAAAACTTCCCAACCTTGCTAGAGTGGCCAACAGTCAAATTCAGGAAATACAGATAACTCCTGCAAGTTTCTACACCAGATCATCCCCAAGACACATCACGTAACTGTCAGATGTTCTAAGGTTGAAATGAAAGAAAGAATGTTAAAGGAAGCTAGAGAGAAAGGGCAGGTCCACCTACAAAGGGAACCCCATCAGGCTAACAGCAGACCTCTCAGCTGAAACCCTACAAGCCAGAAGAGACTGGGGGCCTATATTCAACATTCTTAAAGAAAAAATTCTTCAACTAAGAATTTTATATCTAGCTGTATTAGGGTTCTCTAGAGGGACAAAACTAATGGGATAGATGTATGTATAAAAGGGAGTTTATTAAGGAGTATTAACTCACATGATCACAAGGTCCCACAGTAGATCATCCGCGGGCTGAGGAGCAAGGAAGCCAGTCTGAGTCCCAAAGCTGAAGAACCTGGATTCCGACGTTCAAGGGCAGAAAGCATCCAGCATGGGAGAATGATGGAGGCTGGGAGGGTAAGCCAGTCTAATGTTTCCATGTTCTTCTGCCTGCTTTTTATTTTGGCCGTGCTGGCAGCTGATTAGATGGTGCCCACCCCAATTGAGGATGGGTCTGCCTCTCCCAGTCCACTAACTCAAATGTTAATCTCCTTTGGCAACACCCTCACAGACACACCTAGGAACAATACTTTGCATCCTTCAATCCAATCAAGTTCACACTCAACATTAACCATTATACCAGCCAAACTAAGCTTCCTAAGTGAAGGATAAATAAGATCCTTTTCAGATAAACAAACATTGAGGGTATTCATTGCCACCAGACCTGCCTTACAAGAGATCTTGAAAGGAGCACTAAATGTAGAAAGGAAAGACTGCTACTAGCTAATACAAAAACACACAGACCAGTGTCATTGTAAAGGAGCACACAAACAAGCCAACATAATAACCAGTTAACAGCACAGTGACAGGATCAAATCCACACATATCAATACTAACCTTGAATGTAAACAGTCTAAATCCTCCACTTAAAAGGCAGAGTGGCAAGCTGGATAAAAAAGCAAGACCCAATGGTATGCTGTCTTCAAGAGACCCATCTCAAACATAGTGACACTCATAGGCTCAAAATAAAGGGATGGAGGAAAATTCACCAAGCAAATAGAAAACAAAAAGCAGATGTTGTGATTTTTAATTTCAGATAAAACATTTCAAAACAACAAAGATTTAAAAAGTCAAGGGCATTATATCATCATAAAGGGTTCAATTCGACAAGAAGACTTAATTATCTTAAATATATATGCACCCAGCATAGGAGCACCTGGATTCATAAAGCCAAGCTATTTGAGACCTACAAAGAGACACAGAGTTTTACACAATAATAGTGGGAGACTTCAACACTCCACTGACAGTATTAGACAGATCATTGAGGCAGAAAATTAACAAAGATATTCAAGACCTAAACTCTACATTGGACCAATTGCATCTGATATACCTTTACGAAACTCTCCACCAAAAAAAAACAACAGAATATACATTCTTCTTATCGCCACATGACACATACTGTACAATCCACCACATAATTGGACATAAAATAGTCCTCAACCAATATAAAGAGCCAAAATCATACCAAATATACTCTTCAATCATAGTGCAGTAAAAATAGAAGTCAAGACTATAAAAATCACTCAAAACCATGCAATTAAATGGAAATTAAACAACATGCTCCTGAATAACTTTTGGGTAAATAATGAAATTAAGGTGAATATAAGGTAGTTTTTTGAAAATACTGAGAACAAATATACAACATACCAGAATCTCTGAGACACAGCTAAGGCAGTGTTAAGAGGGAAATTCATAGCACTAAATTCCCACATCAAAAAGTTAGAAAGATCCCAAATTAACAACATAACTTCACAACTGAAAGAATCAGAGAAGCAAGAACAAATCAGCCTCAAAGCTAGCAGATGAGAGATAACAAAAATCAGAACTGAACTGAAGGAAATCGAGATGTGAAAAACAATTCAAAAGATCAGTGAATCCAGGAGTTTTGTTTTGTTTTGAGATGGAGTCTGTCTTTGTCACTCAGGCTTGTGTGAAGTGGCGTGATCTCAGCTCACTGCAACCTCCATCTGCCAGGTTCCAGCTATTCTCCTGCCTCAGCCTCCTGAGTAGCTGGGACTACAGGCACGTGCCACCATGTCTGGCTAATTTTTTATTAGTAGTAGAGACAGGGTTTCACCATGTTGGCTAGGCTGGTCTCGAACTCCTGACCTCAGGTGATCCGCACGCCTCAGCCTCCCAAAGTGCTGGGATCACAGGCATGAGCCAACTCGCCCAGCCCAGGAGTTGTTTGTTTGTTTGTTTGTTTTAAATAATAGGCCACTTGATAGACTAATTAAGAAAAGAGAGAAGATTTAGATAAATGTAATTGGGAATGATGAAGGGAATGTTACCACTACCCCACAGAAATAGAAACAACCATTAAAAGCTACTACAAACACTTCTGTGCACACAAACTAGAAAACCTAAAAGAGATGGGCAAATTCCACATACATCCTTTTAAGACCGAGCCAGGAAGAAATTGATTCCCTGAACACACAAATAACAAGCTCCAAAATTGAATCAGTAATATTAGCCTATCGATCAAAAAAAGCCCAGGACCTGATGGATTCACAGCCTAAAAACCTAAAATTTTGTTCTTTTTTTTGTACTATGCCAGTGATGCATTAAGTACATTGGGCATCAAATTTACACAAAGGCCATTAATGATTACACCCTTTAGGGACATCCCTCTTTAGCAATAGACCATCTCCTCAATCCCTTGGGGTAATTAATGTGAGGGGGCAGTTTACTTCTAGTTCTCCTATCTCTGGATTGTAGCCATTGAGGCCCTAAGTTGAATATGATGGGACCTCCTATAAGACTCTCCACTTGAGTGAGCTTTCATATCTGTCCCCTTGGCTAAAAGAGCTGTTAAAACTGTGGTTTTGCCTGGATTAGCAATTGCACTTGGGGAAAAAGCAGTTTTGGTTACTTGGCTTCTTTTTCTGGGTTTTTGCCTTTTTTCAAAATTTGGCTTAATAATTCCTTGCCATCCTATTAACTATTTGATACTTTTCAGAAGCTGAAGTTTTATAATATTTTATCCAGTAATTTTAGGTAATTTCAGCAAGGAGATATAAATAGCTCAGCCTGGAATGACTGGAAATAGAAATCTTCTTAATTAACATCTCTTTCAGATTGTCTCAAGGCAACTCAACCCTGGACTTTCAAAACAAGACTTCTATCCTCCTCTGCACCCCCAGCATGGTCTTTTTCCAGTGTTCATCAGTTTATTGCACACATGAGAAATCCATATGAACTCACCATCTGGTTCTCTATAGTTTTACTAAATAGTTCTTTAATCACTTTACTTCTATTGCTTTCATTCTGATCTGTCATTACTCACCAGTACAACAGTAGTAGAATCTACACCTCCATCTTTAGGCTCCCTTAGTCTGTTCTAGAGATTGTAGCCAAAATGACCTTTTTAAAATTCAGATTTGATCATGCCATTGCCCTGCTTAAAGTCCTTTAATGACTTCCTATGATATTCAGAACAAAGACCCAAATTACTACTATTGTTGGTCAGGCCCTGCATTGTCTGCCCTGTGCTGCCTCCCAACCACAGGGCCTTGGAGGTAAAACTGTCTAATACAGGTCTAGAAAAGGCTATTGGTCCTAACTTAGAAAGTTGCTTTTTTTTAATGGCAGTGAGGAGTCTGCAGGGAACCACAAAAAAAGACTTAAAGCAATAGAAAGATACATCTGCTTCCGTAGCATTGATATTGGACTGAGTGGCAGGACTGAGAGACCTGTGAAGATGACAAGTAGTGAAGACCTGGTCCAGGAGGATGGCAGAGGTTTCATACAGAAATGCTTTTTGAGATAGAATTAGTGAGAGTCAGCAACTTACTGCATGTAGTTGGTAAGGGAAAAAGATAAGTCAAAATTATAAAATATTTCACATGTAAATTTATCAAGCAGTTACAATGTATTAGACACCATTTTAAACATTTTTCTATATTCTCTTTTACTTCTCACAGTCATCCTGTGAGATAAGTATTGTTAGTATCTTCAGCTTTTCAGTAAAGGAAACTCTGACATAGAGATATTAAGTACCTTACCCATTCACAGCTATAGAGTGATGGCAGTAAGATTTCAAAACTGGTGTGATGTCAAAGTTGTGCTGTTTCTCCCTCAAGAAAGCCAGTGGACATTAGTTGTGTTAACTAAGATGTAAAGCCTAAGAATGGGAAAAGATTTTGAAGAACAAGTATGTATATGTCAAAAAATGGGGATGAAAGTGGGACAACAAAAAATGACTTTATTTCTGGATATTCAGGTGAAGATATCTGTAAACAGTTGGCAGTATGGTTGTAGATTTCCAAAGACAGAGTAGGATTGCAGAGTGAGGTTATGCAATTGTTTGTCAGCGATGTTTAGAGACATAGAAGGGCCCAAGATTACCCAGGGAGAAAGTGTGACTTTATAGGCCTGATGTGAGAGTTCAATTAGATAAGATATATAAAGAGCACATAGCACAGTGCCTGGAGCACTCTAAGAGATCAATAAATGTTACCTGTTATCATCATTGTTGTATACCATTAAAAGAAAGTAAGGATGAGAACTCAGGTTTCTTATAATTTTATTAAACCTGTATAGCATGATTTTCTTAATGAATTATGGTGGTATGCCAAGTATGTCATGAAAGGGCAGGCATTCTGTAGGAGATAAATAACTCGATATTTATCTCAATATTCATATTTCCAAATGAAAAGCATTTGGATTCTCACATTTAGTATTATTTTAATACAGTGTTTTTATATTTATATGTACTACTGTTACTTTCCCATGTTCTTTTATCTTTTCAATAGAAAAATGTTCTAGTGATTACATTCATTTGGAAAAGTCAACTGATTTAAACTTTTACATCTACAATAAAAAGCCTAAATTACAACTGTCTGGCAAGAGTTGCCAGCTGTTAGTTTCTGTTTAAACAGACTAGGTATGGAGTGTTTTTTAGCAGTTTAATCAGTGCCACTTACAAAGTCTATTTAATATTTAATGAAGAGGCATAGTCCTTAGCAGTAAGGCTCTGAGATGTTGATGTGTGCAGCAAAAAAGACTTTGTGAACAGCGATTATTTGTTGAGCTCCTACTCCTTTAAGGTGTCAAGATAGGCAGTGGGAGAAAGAGGTAGAGTGGAGTGTGGAGAATGCACATATAAAATATGGTCCCAGACCTTTAAGTGCTTACAGACTTTGCAGAGGAAGAAAGGTTCACACATGAGAGGTGATATAGGGCAATAAAAGATTCTGTCTACTCCCTAACAAGTAGTAAAGACAGTGAGTATTACAGGCCTTCTTGAAAGTTTGAGATTGGTGAGAACAGTTCAGGAGGTGTGGTCAGGAAGAGAAATTACATCTATAAGATTGAAATATTGAAAGACAGTAGGGGCATAATGGGAAGAAGGGTGTTCCAACCTAGAGAGACTGGGCAAAGTCTCAGAATGTCAGGCATTGGTCCTGTAGAATAGGACCAACATGGTACGTCAGTTTATTTAGCCACTTATTCTGTCATCAAGTATTGTAGATCTCCTTTTTGGCGGGGGCGGAGGGGACTGAGTCTTGCTTTGTACCCCAGGCTGGGGTGCAGTGGTGCGATCTCGGCTCACTGCAGCCTCCACCTCCCCAGTTCAAACAATTCTCCTGCCTCAGCCTCCTGAGCATCACACCCGGCTAATTTTTGTGTTTTTAGTAGAGATGGGGTTTCACCATGTTGGCCAGGCTGGTCTCGAACTCCTGACCTCAGGTGATCCTCCCACCTTGGCCTGCCAAAGTGCTGTGATTACAGGCATGAGCCACTGCATCTGGCCGTATTGTTGATCTCTTATTTGCAAGGCTGCATGCAGGATTTTTTCTTAACTTTTTTTTTTTTTTGACAGAGTCTCGCTCTGTCGCCCAGGCTGGAGTGCAGTGGCGCTATCTCGGCTCACTGCAAGCTCCGCCTCCTGGGTTCATGCCATTCTCCTGCCTCAGCCTCCCAAGTAGCTGGAACTACAGACGCCTACCACCACGCCTGGCTAATTTTTTGTATTTTTAGTAGAGATGGGGTTTCACCGTGTTAGCCAGGATGATCTCAATCTCCTAACCTTGTGATCCGCCTACCTCGGCCTCCCAAAATGCTGGGATTATAGGTGTGAGTCACAGTGCCCGGCCTTTTCTTAACTATTTGTAATTTATTTTCCTTCTTCTCTACGTATATGATAATAAACCCCATTATTTCTATCTCCATAATATACCTTGACTTTCAATTTCTTTCTCTCTACTTCTTTTCTTACTGATTTGATTCTTGGGGGGAAAACTGTGTAACGCTAGCCTAAATGAAAAAAGAGAAGAAAAGAGGAAATGAGTAGTGCATGGCATTTTAATTTCCCCTTTTCTTTTATTCTCTCCATACAACAGGAGCCATGAGCTTTTTAAAATGCATACGGAATCATTGTATCTCTTCAGTGGTCAGCCTTCCAGTGGTTCTGATCGCATTTAGAATAAGAGCCAATCCCTCGCTCTGTCTCTGACAGCACCTCTTTTCTATTTGCCCATTTGCTGAAGTACTAACCTGTTTCCTACCTGAGATCTTTGCTTATGCTGCTTCTGCTATCTCGATTGTTCATCCCTGGCTCTTCATCCGAGAGGCTTTCCCCAGCAGTCCTATAGAAATAGGTCCCTGGTATTTGTTATGACAGTACTATGTAGCTTACCTTCAGTGACCTTTTGTGTTTATAATTCAGCCATTATTGTTTTCTGTGCTAATCTGTAAATTCCATGAAAATGAGCACTGTTCTCTTTATCTCTGTATACCCAGTGCCTAACAGTGCACCCTATACGTACAAATACATTTGTTTATTTACCTAATGAATTTTCATTATGCCAAACATAAAAAATGCACAGTATCCATTGAATAAATGAATTTTTATTGAAGTTAAAGATTGTCTAGTATATATTAAATAAAAAGCAAATTATAGAGCAGTATATGTGAGGAAAAATGTTGGTTATATATTCATATCTTTTAGGAAAAAAGATACTCATATAGTGTACAGACAAAAGCTTGGAAGTATATATATATTTAAACCATTAGTATTGGTTATTGTGGAAATGATGTTGGGATTAGGTGTAGGAGAGGCACACTCCAAAAATAGAGGACTTTGAATTTAACTTATGTCTATATTATTTGAGTTTTTAAAATAAGGGTATATTATTTTATAATAAATAAAACATTAGAAAGAAATACACTAAAATGGTAACAGGGAACTGTCTCTTCTTAGAAATGGGACTCAGAAAGGACCAAATTCCCCCTGACACCTGAGACATTGTGCTGGTGGTTGCTTTGGTGCTGCACTGGCTGAGTTGAATGCACCGCCCCACCCACCTCACTCTTTTTGATGTTGGAAAAATAACTGGCTAGGTATAGGGATCAGTTGGAGGAGTGTTTGGTAGCTTTTTCTTTAAATCAAATTAAAATCCCTGCTGTGGCCAATTACCAAGAAGAGAAAATTAGATGACTAAAATTACTTGCTTAAAATAAAGCAGACTGGAAAGAGCTTTTTTATTTTCTGTAGAAGACTTTGCTGCTTCTCTCAATTGTAATGAGATGTAATATTAGAGAATATAATGTATTTTAATGGGTCTAATTTTAAAGAATATAATGTTGGGGTACTATATTACAAACTTTCTGAGATGAGTAATATACTTTTTGAATGTTTTCTATATATAGACATTATTTTATCAAATCCTTGAAATGACATTGAAGATAATATTAACCACATTTTACAAACAAAGGAACTGAAACTTAGGTAACAAAAATTGCCCTGTGTCACAAAGCTAGTAAATAGAGGAGCTAGATTTGCGTTATAGGTTTTCCTAGCCCTCATCCCTCAGCATTAGATCTGGATGTACTCCAGACCTGGGACTTTGAATGCTAGCTCTTGATTAGACTAATTGGAGAGCTTTTAAAATACTGATGCCCAGGCTGCACACCAAGTATTTGAATTAGAATCTCTGAAGATGGGGCCCAGATTTGTTTAAGAAAAAACAACAAACTCTTCAGGTGATTCTGATGTAGTGAGGGTTATTGCAGACTCTTGGAGCTAGCATCAGTGGTTTACGAATGAGTTGATACAATTTCTGGAAAGGTGGGAGGGAGACAATAAAAAGAAGGTTAGTCTCTGATACCTAAGCCATGGGTACCTGGTATACCCAAGGCCATGCTCTGAATACTTTCTTCCTAGAAACTTTTTATAAATAGTGTAAAAAATCATAGCATCGTTAATATAGCAATATCTTTTAGTTTCTTCAAGACCTAGAGGTCTAACTACTGTATGTCTAATTTCCATGGAAAATGTCCAGATTCTAAATAAACAATGTAAATATTATGTTATGGCTTTTTCATAAGCAAAGGATTACTGAAATTTAATATACAAAACAAAAGTTTAAAAATATTTTATCCATGGAAAACTGTCATTTAGATAAGCACCATAAATCTAGCAACTAATCCTGCAGTGTGATTAAAAAGATTACAGAAGTTATTTCCTTTGGACATTGTTCTGGTTAATTGTAAAACTTGAAATAGTCATATCAGAATGTTGGCTTAAAATGTTTTCATTAATCTGTACTTAAGTAATGTTCTTCTAAATTTTATTAAAATTTTAGGCTCATTTAACTAACACTAATGTTCCTCTAGAAATTAAAAAGAGTTAAAATTATAGCTTATTGTGGAGTAGCATTTATTGCTATCAGTGAAGCAAATATTTCTAAAGAGTTTTACTGCTATAAAACCGTAGAAATAATGCCACAAATGCATATTTAGCAGAAAATGACAACCAAAATGGGAAATCTTTGCCCAACCTGTTAAGATATAAGTATAAATAAGTTATTATTTCATATATTGTCAGTTTTTCAGCTTGATTTGAAATTTCCAAAGAGAGGGTTCGTTGAAAGACCATATGCTCTTGAAACTATGGCAGAGCCATTGCAGTGGAGATCTCTGGTTAGAGTTAGACACTGTGATAGCAGGCTATGGGGAGACTCAAAGGAGACAACACCCAGCCCTTGCTCTTACTCAAATACTTATATTGGGGATTTCTCCAAATAGAAACCTAGTTATTTACCTTGAAACATACATTCTATGATCTCTAAAATTTAGAGTACCCAGACCTCTCCTTATACCCTAGGTTTTATCCAGCCTTGTAGCGTTAAATATTCTCTTCGTACTGATGACTCAGAAATTTATATTTCTGGTTAGAACCTTTCTTGGTACTCAGGATTCACATATCCACTGTCTATCCAACGTTTTCATTTTGGTGTTCAATAGGAATCTCAAACTCAACATGTGCAAAAAAAAGGCTTAGACTCTGCTTCCCACCTCAGACTTCTCCTTCTTGGTAAATGGCAATTCAGTCCTGCTAATAGACCAAAATGATTAAGGTCTCTTCACTTTTCAAACTATTTTTGCAAAGACTGCATTCCTTGTTGTAGATGGTCACTGAAGTGGCTCTGTTTCTTCAGCTTGGGTTCATCTATAATTTTAACAGATTTCATTGAATGCCATAAACTAAAAAACAGTAAAACGACACCCAAGAAAAGTAAATAGCACTCCCTTTCTTTGTAGATTGGCCATGTGCTGGCCACTGCTTCAACACCTAGTTAGGCTCACAGTGGACCTAGGGATCAGCCCAAAGTGAAAACTGAGGGTCTTCTCTGGCCTTTTCTTAGCATGTATATGGCTTTCTAAATTCCCTTGTATACCTAGGTGCTTTTAAATGTCCTAATTTCCCATGGAATCTTTCTCAGGTTTTTGCTTCTGGACCTTGAATGGCCTGTTACATGTTTTGACCCCATAATCTTTTGCTCAGGCGACTGTGGTTTTTAAGTTCATCTTGCAGTGTTCTTGAACAATGCCAGCCACTTTTTCAGCCTATGTCCAAATTAGGCAAAACAGACAAAAGTGTCTTGTGGCAGCGTTTCAGGTATCCAAATAGACAAGTTAGAAAAGACACATACAATAATTTGTGAATGAAGTCTCTTCTGCTCCCCTCAGAACCAGGGACCAGGGTCCCATACTGGGAACACAGCTTGCTGCCTGACTGCTACCACTGCTTTAAGACTGTTGCCTTGCTGGGGAAGGCCTAGGACAAGGGCAAATAAAAACACCACAAAACTTTGTATTTTCAAGTTGCCTTTTTCTTGGTTTAGCATTTGCTTGGTTTTTAGAGTTCTGACAATGTTGATTCTAATAGTTTCTTCTTATATTTCAGTGTTTCTATAAGGGAACAAGCACTTAGTCTGACATTTTCTTTTTCTTTTTTCTTTTTTTTTGAGATGGAGTCTCGCTCTGTCTCCAGGCTGGAGTGTAGTGGCGCGATCTTGGCTCACTGCAACCTCCGCCTCCTGGGTTCAAGCGATTCTCCTGCCTCAGCCTCCCGAGTAGCTGGGAATACAGGCACGTGCCACCATGCCCAGCTAATTTTTGTATTTTTAGTAGAGACAGGGTTTCGCCATGTTCGCCAGGCTGGTCTTGAACTCCTGACCTCAGGTGATCCATCTGCCTTGGCCTCCCAAAGTGCTGGGATTACAGGCGTGGGCCGCCACACCCAGCCTGTTCTGCCATTTTCTAACATCACCCAGTTAATTTATTTTTATCCTGAGTAGTACTCCATTTGATGGACATCCCACAATTTGTTTATCTACCTGTTGGGAAACTTTTGGATTGCTCCGAATTTTGATCTATTTCGAATAAAGCAGTTGTGATGGTTAATTTTGTCTACTTGATTGAGCTGCCAAATATTTAGTCAGATATTAATCTGGTGTTTTTGGGTAGTATTAACATTTTGAATTAATAGATTGAGTAAAGTATATTGCCCTCCCCATGTGTAGGTGGCCCTCATCCAATTAGTTGAAGGCCTAACAGACCAAAAAAGACTGACTTTCCTGTAAGAAGAAACTCCTGCTTGACTTATGGAGCTGGGACATTGGTTTTTTCCTGCATTCCAACTCAAATGGAAACATTTGGCTCTGACTGAGTCTTGAACCTGCTGGCTGTCAGACTGAATCTTTTACCATAGACTCTCCTGGTTCTTGGGCCTTTGGAGTTGGACTGGAACTACATCATTGGCTCTCCTGGGTGTCAAAGTTGCCAACTGCAGATCTTGTGACTTCTTAGTGTCCATAATTGCATGAGCCAAATCCTGTAATAAGTCTCTTTCTGTATATAGACATCCTGTTGGTTCTGTTTCTCTGGAGAATGCTAACAATCACAAATACCGTGTGTATGTATTATGTAGATATATCTTTTTATTTCTCTTGGGTGAATAGGAGTGGAATCACTAGATCATACTGTAAGTGTATGTTTTACTTTATGAAACTGCCAGATTGTTTTCCAAAGTTGTCACATTTTACATTCCCACCAGTAATATATGAGAGTACCAGTTGTTCTTCATTCTCAAAGTACTCATCATTGTCAGTATATTTTATTTTATCTATTCTGATAGGTGTGTCTCTCACTATTGTTTTAATTTAATTTCACTAGTAGCTAGTGATGTTGAGCATCTTTTCATGACTCATTTTTTATTTTTTTAAGAGACAGGGTCTCACTCTGTCACCCAGGCCGGAATGCAGTGGTATTGGTATTTTTATAGGGATTGCATTGAATCAGCGATCATTGCTCACTGCCATCTCAAACTCCTGGGCTAAAGGAATCCTCTTGCCTCAGCCCCCTGAGCAGCTAGGATTATAGGCACATATGACCATGCCCTGCTAATTTTTTTTTTTTGTTTGGTAGAGACAGAGTCTCAGTATATTGCCCAAGCTGATTTCAAACTCCTGGCCTCAAGTGATCCTCCCGCCTTGGCTTCCCAAAGTGCTGAGATTATAGGCATGAGCTATTGTACCCAGCTGATTTTTCCTTTGTATATCCTCTCTAGTGAAGTGTCTCGTTTTAAAATTAGTTTATTTGTTGAGATTGGAGAGTTTTTCCTATATTCTGGGTATTAGTCCTTTGCCAGATATTTGATTTGCAGATATTTTCTCTTTGCCTATAGTTTGTCTTTTCATTTCTTAGTTGTATCTTCACACAGCAAAAGTTTCAAATTTTGAAGTCCAAGTTTATTGATCTTTTATAGATTATGCTTTTGATATCATGACTGAATTCTTAGCTTATCCACAGCTTATAAAGATTTTCTCCTGTATTTATTCTATAAGTTGTATAGTCTTATAACTGTGATCCAGTTTAAGTTAATTTTTATGTAAGGTTCAAGGTTTATTTGGGGGAGCAGTGGCATTTGGAGATCCAGTTGTTTCAAAACCACATTTGTTTAAACAGCCTTGAACTTTGACAAATTCAATTTGTTAAAAGGACTGTTCTTTGCACTCAGACTTATCACCCCTCCTACTTGTTTATTCCCTTGTCATTTTGGATAAAATGCTTGTAGCTCCTCTCTGACCCACTTAATGATCTTAGACAAATTACATTTCCACTTGTTATGACATTTTTTTCTTAAGCTATATTTGACCCTTTCAACCTCAAAGTATTTGAAAAGAAATAACTGGTCTGTTAACTCTGGATAAATGTATGTGATTAATTTTAAATGATTATTATTCATTCTGGAAAGCATTATTTAAGTCTATGTGGTATGCCCTGACTAGTCAAATACAATAAAGAGATTACTCCTTAGATATGGGGCATAGAGTCTAGAAACATAAAGAAGGAAATGTGAATACATATTCCTAACATAAGATGTTTCAGATAGCCAGAATCTCTTTGTAGCTCTCTTCTTTTCAGTGCTTTGCATTTTCCTATTGATTCATTAAAAAGTAGTTAAGGGGAAAAGAAGATGAGAAGAAAACCTCAAATAGATCTCAGTGATTCTTCACATTTTTTTAAAGAGCTGCTAGTCAGTCTTTTAGCAGAAAGTGTGTCCAGCCTAAGCAGTACATTACTCTGTAGTCTGTAGGCTGGTTGGGAATGGAAGCAGAGAGCCATACAGCAAAGCAGGTAAGGAGGTAAGGTCAATTTACAAGTGAAATTCTAGAATCTCTAAATCCCTCTGTCTCTATATTGGTGAAACTTAAAAACATCTAGAGATAAATTTCTAGTTATAGTACAGTTTACCAAAACAATTCATAGAGCTGCAAGTGAAAGACATACATTTACGCTAATGATTTATGTATGCATGATGGATATTACTGAACCTATTTGTTAGTAATAGACCTGATACCAAGTGGGAAATCTTAACATTTTCCATAGTGGAGAATTCGTAGGTAACATTTACCCATTTTCTATGCCAACTTTTTAATTTTCTATCATTAATCAGCTTCTCCTATTTCTTGATACAATAAGCTGGTACAATCTCATAACATGTTTGTCTCTTGGAATGTCTTCAATGTAATTTTCACTTGGACATGTTCTATTCAGAGAAAAAGGAAATAAATTATTTCTAAATGTGTTTGGATTTGAGCAATTTTTGTCCAGGTGTTGGTGAATGGATTGAGTTCTGGGTTTGTGGGGGAAAAACTGCTAGCCACTATAGGATATTACCAAAAAATTAATACACTTAAAGTAAAAACAACAAAACAGCCTACCTTCCTAAGAATCAAGAAATTTTAAATATGTACGTAGCTGAGAAAGGTGGGTGTGTTAGGCAGCCTCTGAAATGGCCTCCAATTATCCTTGTTGACTTCAGATACTTAACACTCCCATGAAATACCCTCCACTTGAGTGTGGGCTTGATGTAATGACTTGCCTCTAGTGAATAGAATGCAGTAAAAATGATGTGGGTTGTCATCTTTGAGATTAAGTTATAAAGACTGGAATTTCCATCTTGGATGCCCGTTTTTTCTTTCTTTCTCTCTCTTTCTGTTTGTGTCTTTTGGATAAATCACTCTGGGGGAATCCAGCTACCACGTTGTGAGGCAAGCTATGGAGAGGCCCATGTGAGTGAATTTAAGAGCAGACTTTACTTCAGCCAAGTCTTGAAATGACAGCAGCCTGGCTAACGTGTTTTAATTGTAGTCTCACATGAGATCCTAAGCCAGACTAATTAAGCCACTTCCAGATTCCTGATCCATAAAAACTATGACATCATATTTGTGATTTCCAGGCTCTAAGTTGTAGGGTAATTTGTTATACAGCTATAGAGAACTAAAATAATGGATTAGGTTTAGGTTTCTCTTGTCATAAGTATGGTAGAGATTGTGATTCCAACTGTGTTTATGAAACTTTGGAACCATGATTATAGTAGTATTATATAGTAGAATGATTGTAGTAGATAATTTATAATACTGCATTATTCTACTGATTTAATTTTATTCTTTTCTCTCCCCTTTCTACTGTAATGCAAACTTCATTTGAGAAGAGATTTAAGTTTTTTTTTTTTTTTTTTTTACAAACTCCTGCATCATTTCTCATTAGGTGGTCAGACTGTAAATGTAGAACAGTGATGATCACAATGACTTACTATATAGTTATAACTTACTTAAGTGGAATATATTTTCCCATAGTATTCTTACTCTTTATCGTTCATTCAGGCCTACACATCTTTAACGTTTCATATTTCATTTGACAACAGCATCCTAGATATATGAAGTTAATCTAATTTGAAAAGTCCTTTTATTCATTTAAGATTGGTGGAGCAACTAAGTCTTATTATTTCTTGATTTATATGTTGTACTGACTGAGCATGAAACATTCTTCATTTTAAGAGAAAATACTGTTTATGATGTCATATCATGCTATGTTTTTAGTCACATTTTAAAGAAATTATTTTGAAGTAAAGATAAAAAAGGAAATTTAAAAATATTTCTAAGTGGAATTCAGTAGTCTATTCTCAGAGATGATTACTGCCTTCACTTTGAGTTTATTTTCTCCACCTCTAGAACACTGCGCTAAGGTGGGTTTTTTCTTCTGACTCACCAGTAACTTTTATCAATGATTTTTACTGGTTCCTCTTCATCTTTCTGTGTTTCTAACACTGGTGATGCCCCCAAACTTAATTTCTGACCTCTTCTTTTCTGTTTATACCCAATCCTGCCACTGTCCCCTCTCGCCATTATCACCATTGACTTCCAGACTTGCATATTGCTTCCTTGAACTTCCTTCAATGCATATTGCTTCCTTGAACTCCACACTTTTAACTAAACTTTATCTCTGTTTTGATGTCTAATAAGCACCTCAAACTCAATAGCTCCCAAACAAAATTCCATATTGTATCAGCAAAATGATTCCTTTCTTGGTATTTATCTCAATGGTTTAGGCAAAAGACATCTGGAATTTCTCATACTATAACTCCAATCAAATGTTTAGCAGGTTCTGTCAGCTCTACTTTCAAAATAAATCTAAATCTGACCACTTACCACCTCAACTGTTCTCACCCTCATATAAGCCATCATCATCATTTATGTGATGGCTGCAGTAATCTCCTAACTGGTTTCTCTCCTCCCTCCCTTGCCCCTTCCATTTTTCCCCCAACTAACATCCAGAGAAATGTTCCAGAATGAAACACCAGATGTCATTCTTTTGCCTAAAACCCTCCAATGGCTATCATCTAACCCAGAGTAGAAGCAGAAGTCTAGAAAATGGTCTCTAGGGCCCCAGTGGATCTGCCCCCTTAGTTATATATATGACTGTATTTCCTGCTTTCTCTTCTGCCCCTTTCTTTTAGTTCACTCCAGCTACCCTAGTTTCTTTTATATTCTTTAAGTATGTCAGTGCCAAGCAAGCATTGACCTTAGAGCCTTTGTCTTTCCAGTTCTGTCTGCCTAGAATACTCCCCCCTTAGTTATCTTCATAGCTCATTCTGTCTCCCTCATGTCTCTGCTCGTGTTACAGTCTCAGCCAGTCTCCTGGCCATGATGTTTAAAATTATAAATGTTTCCTCTCACACTTCTTATTTCCCAATCCTGCTTTTTTTTTTTTCTGTAGCACTTATCACCTCTAAGTCATAATCTAGTTATTCAGCTTAATTATCTTTTCTCCCTTCCCCAATAATGTAAACTTCATGAGAGAAGGGATTTAAAAAAATTGTTTTGTGTATTGCTTACAGCCAACTACCCACTGTACCCCTCTAGTAGATCCCATTGATACTTCAAATCAAAATACTTTAAAATGGTTCTCCTGTACTCCCAAATATTCCTTCAGATTCTTAACCTGGAAGTTGCCAAAGGCTTCTACCTTTCCTTCACTCCTTGAAAAGATTGAGTCTCATCAATTGTACTTCCTAAATACTTTGCAAGTCTACTCATTCCCTTCAAGCTCTGCTTCCACAGACCTTCATCATTTTTTTTTATTATTATACTTTAAGTTCTAGGGTACACATGCACGACGTGCAGGTTTGTTACATATGTATACATGTGCTGTGTTGGTTTGCTGCACCCATTAACTCATCATTTCCATGAGGTATTTCTCCTAGTGCTCTCCCTCCCTGCTCCCCCTACCCCACAACAGGCCCGGGTGTATGTTGTTCCCCACCCTGCATCCAGGCGTGCTCATTGTTCAATTCCCACCTATGAGTGAGAACATGCGGTATTTGGTTTTCTGTCCTTGCGATAGTTTGCTGAGAATGATGGTTTCCAGCTTCATCCATGTCCCTACAAAGGACATGAACTCATCCTTTTTTATGGCTGTGTAGTATTCCATGGCGTATGTGTGCCACATTTTCTTAATCCAGTCTATCATTGATGGACATTTGGGTTGGTTCCAAGTCTTTGCTATTGTGAATAGTGCCACAATAAACATATGTGTGCATGTATCTTTATAGTAGCATGCTTTATAATCCGTTGGATATATACCCAGTAATGGGATGGCTGGGTCAAATGGTATTTCTAGTTCTAGATCCTTGAGGAATCACCACACTGACTTCCACAATGGTTGAACTAGTTTACAGTCCCACCAACAGTGTAAAAGTGTTCCTATTTCTCCACATCCTCTCCAGCACCTGTTGTTTCCTGACTTTTTAATGATCGCCATTTTAACTGGTGTGAGATTGTATCTCATTGTGGTTTTGATTTGCATTTCTCTGATGGCCAGTGATGATGAGCATTTTTTCATGTGTCTGTTGGCTGCATAAATGTCTTCTTTTGAGAAGTGTCTGTTCATATCCTTCACCCACTTTTTGATGCGGTTGATTTTTACTTGTAAATTTGTTTGAGTTCTTTGTAGATTGTGGATATTAGCCCTTTGTCAGATGGGTAGATTGCAAAAATATTCTCCCATTCTGTAGGTTGCCTGTTCACTCTGATGGTAGTTTCTTTTGCTGTGCAGAAGCTCTTTAGTTTAATTAGATCCCATTTGTCAATTTTGGCTTTTGTTGCCATTGCTTTTGGTGTTTTAGTCATGAAGTCCTTGCCCATGCCTATGTCCTGAATGGTATTGCCTAGGTTTTCTTCTAGGGTTTTTATGGTTTTTAGGTCAACATTTAAGTCTTTAATCCATCTTGAATTAATTTTTGTATAAGGTGTAAGGAAGGGCTCCAGTTTCAGCTTTCTACATATGGCTAGCCAGTTTTCCCAGCACCATTTATTACATAGAGAATCCTTTCCCCGTTTCTTGTTTTTGGTCAGGTTTGTCAAAGATCAGATGATTATAGATGTGTGGTGTTATTTCTGAGGCCTCCATTCTGTTCCATTGGTCTGTATCTCTTTTCTGGTACCAGTATCATGTTGTTTTGGTTACTGTAGCCTTGTAGTATAGTTTGAAGTCAGGTAGCATGATGCCTCCAGCTTTGTTGTTTTGGCTTAGGATTGTGTTGGCAATGAGGGCTCTTTTTTGGTTCCATGTGAACATTAAAGTAGTTTTTTTTCCAATTCTGTGAAGAAAGTCATTGGTAGCTTGATGAGGATGGCATTGAATCTATAAATTACCTTGGGCAGTATGGCCATTTTCACGATATGGATTCTTCCTATCCATGAACATGGAATGTTCTTCCATTTGTTTGTGCCCTCTTTTATTTCATTGAGCAGTGGTTTGTAGTTCTCCTTGAAGAGGTCCTTCACATCCCTTGTACACAAGTTGTATTCCTAGGTATTTTATTCTCTTTGAAGCAATTGTGAATGGGAGTTCACTCGTGATTTGGCTCTCTGTTTGTCTGCTATTGGTGTAGAAGGATGCTTGTGATTTTTGCACATCGATTTTGTATCCTGATACTTTGCCAAAGTTGCTTATCAGCTTAAGGAGATTTTGGGCTGAGACAATGGGGTTTTCCAAATATACAATCATGTCGTCTGCAACAGGGACAATTTGACTTCCTCTTTTCCTAATTCAATACCCTTTATTTCTTTCTCTTGCCTGATTGCCCTGGCCAGAACTTCCAACACTATGTTGACTAGAGAGGGCATCCCTGTCTTGTGCCAGTTTTCAAAGGGAATGCTTCCAGTTTTTGCCCATTCAGTATGATATTGGCTGTGGGTTTGTCATAAATAGCTCTTATTATTTTGAGATACCTTCCATCAGTATTTAGTTTATTGAGAGTTTTTAGCATGAAGGGCTGTTGAATTTTGTCAAAGGCCTTTTCTGCGTCTGTTGAGATAATCATGTGGTTTTTGTCTTTGGTTCTGTTTATGTGATGGATTACGTTTATTGATTTGCATATGTTGAACCAGCCTTGCATCCCAGGGATGAAGCCAACTTGATCTTGGTGGATAAGCTTTTTGATGTGCCGCTGGATTTGGTTTACCAGTATTTTATTGAGGATTTTCACATCAGTGTTCATCAGGGATATTAGTCTAAAATTCTCTTTTTTGTTGAGTCTCTGCCAGGCTTTGGTATCGGGATGATGCTGGCCTCATAAAATGACTTAGGGATGATTCCCTCTTTTTCTATTGATTGGAATAGTTTCAGAAGGAATGGTACCCACTCGTCTTTGTACCTCTCATAGAATTCGGCTGTGAACCCATCTGGTCCTGGACTTTTTTTGGTTGGTAGTCTATTAATTATTGCCTCAATTTCAGAGCCTGTTATTGGTCTATTCAGAGATTCAACTTCTTCCTGGTTTAGTCTTGGGAGGATGTATGTGTCCAGGAATTTATCCATTTCTTCTAGATTTTCTAGTTTATTTTTATAGAGGTGTTTATAGTATTCTCTGATGGTAGTTTGTATTTCTTTGGGATCGATGGTGATAACCCCTTTATCGTTTTTTATTGCATCTATTTGATTCTTCTCTCTTTTCTTCTTTATTATTCTTGCTAGCAGTCTATCAATTTTGTTGATCTTTTCAAAAAACCAGCTCCTGGATTCATTGAATTTTTGAAGGGTTTTTTGTATCTCTATCTCCTTCAGTTCTGCTCTGATCTTAGTTGTTTCTTGCCTTCTGCTAGCTTTTGAATGTGTTTGCTCTTTTTTCTCTAGTTCTTTTAATTGTGGGGTTAGGGTGTCAATTTTAGATCTTTCCTGTTTTCTTTTGTGGGCATTTAGTGCTATAAATTTCCCTCTACACACTGCTTTAAATGTGTCCCAGTGATTCTGGTATGTTGTGTCTTTGTTCTCTCTGGTTTCAAAGAACATCTTTATTTCTGCCTTCATTTAATTATTAACCCAGTAGTCATTCAGGAGCAGGTTGTTCAGTTTCCATGTAGTTGAGCAGTTTTGAGTGAGTTTCTTAATCCTGAGTTCTAGTTTGATTGCACTGTATTCTGAGAGACAGTTTGTTATAATTTCTATTCTTTTACATTTGCTGAGGAGTGCTTTACTTCCAACTCTGTGGTCAATTTTGGAATAAGTGCAATGTGGTGCTGAGAAGAATGTATATTCTGTTGATTTGGTGTGGAGAGTTCTATAGATGTCTATTTGGTCCACTTGGTGCAGAGCTGAGTTCAGTTCCTGGATATCCTTGTTAATTTTCTGTCTCGCTGATCTGTCCAATGTTGACAGTGGGCTGTTAAAGTCTCCCATTATTACTGTGTGGGAGTCTAAGTCTGTTTGTTGGTCTCTAAGGACTTGCTTTATGAATCTGGGTGCTCCTATATTTGGTGCATATACATTTAGGATATTTAGCTCTTCTTGGTGAATTGATCCCTTTACCATTATATAATAGTCTTCTTTGTCTCTTTTGATCTTTGTTGGTTTAAAGTCTGTTTTATCAGAGACTAAGATTGCAACCCCTACTTTTTTTTTGCTTTCTGTTTTCTTGGTAGATATTCCTTCATCCCTTTATTTTGAGCCTGTGTGTGTCCCTGCACATGAGATGGGTCTCCTGAATACAGCACACTGTTGGGTCTTGACTCTTTATCCAAGTTGCCAGTCTGTGTCTTTTAATTGGGGCATTTAGCCCGTTTACATTTAAGGTGAATATTGTTATGTGTGAATTTGATCCTGTCATTATGATGTTAGCTGGTTATTTTGCTCGTTAGTTGATGCAGTTTCCTCCTAGCATCAATGGTCTTTACAATTTGGCACGCTTTTTCAGTGACTGGTACTGGTTGTTACTTTTCGTATTTACTGCTTCCATCAGGAGCTCTTGTAGGGCAGGCTTGGTGGTGACAAAATCTCTCAGCATTTTCTTGTCTGTAAAGGATTTTATTTCTCCTTCACTTATGAAGCTTAGTTTGGCTGGATATGAAATTCTGGGTGGAAAATTCTTTCCTTTAAGAATGTTGAATGTTGGCCCCCTCTCTCTTCTCGCTTGTGGGGTTTCTGCCGAGAGATCCACTGTTAGTCTGACGGGCTTCCCTTTGTGGGTAACCCGACCTTTCTCTCTGGCTGCCCTTAACATGTTTTCCTTCATTTCAACTTTGGTGAATCTGACAATTATGTGTCTTGGAGTTGCTCTTCTCGAGGAGTGTCTTTATGGTGTTCTTTGTATTTCCTGAATTTGAATGTTGGCGTGTCTTGCTAGGTTGGGGAAGTTCTCCTGGATAATATCCTGCAGAGTGTTTTCCAACTTGGTTCCGTTCTCCCCGTCACTTTCAGGTATACCAATCAGACGTGTACCTGATTGGTCTTTACACATAGTCCCATATTTCTTGGAGGCTTTGTTCATTTCTTTTTATTCTTTTTTCTCTGAAATTCTCTTCTCGCTTCATTTCATTCATTTGATCTTCAGTCACTGATACCCTTTCTTCCAGTTGTTCAAGTTGGCTACTGAAGCTTGTGCATTCGTCACATAGTTTTCCTGCCATGGTTTTCAGCTCCATCAGGTCGTTTAAGGATTTCTCTACACTGGTTATTCTAGTTAGCCATTCGTCTAATCTTTTTTCAAGGTTTTTAGCTTCTTTGTGATGAGTTTGAACTTCCTCCTTTAGCTCAGAGAAGTTTGATTGTCTGAAGCCTTCTTCTCTCAACTTGTCAAAGTCATTCTCTATCCAGCTTTGTTGCATTGCGGGCGAGGAGCTGCATTCCTTTGGAGGGGAAGAGGCACACTGATTTTTAGAATTTTCAGCTTTTCTGCTCTGTTTTTTCCCCATCTTTGTGGTTTTACCTACCTTTGGTCTTTGATGATGGTGACGTACAGATGGGGTTTTGGTGTGGATGTCCTTTCTGTTTGTTAGTTTTCCTTCTAACAGTCAGGTTCCTGAGCTGCAGGTCAGTTGGAGTTTGCTGGAGGTCCACTCCAGATCCTGTTTGTCTGGGTATCAGCAGCAGATGCTCCAGAACAGCGAATATTGCTGAATAGCAAATGTCGCTGCCTCATTGTTCCTCTGTAAGCTTTGTCTCAGAGGGGTAGAAGGCCGTGTGAGCTGTCAGTCTGCCCCTACTGGGGGGTCCCTCCCAGTTAGGCTACTCGGGGGTCAGGGACCCACTTGAGGAGGCAGTCTGTCAGTTCTCAGATCTCAAACTCCATGCTGGGAGAACCACTGCTCTCTTCAAAGCTGTCAGACAGGGACATTTAAGTCTGCAGAGGTTTCTGCTGCCTTTTGTTCAGCTATGCCCTGCCCAATGGAGTTAAATACTCCATTGCCCACAGAGGTGGAGTCTACAGAGGCAGGCAGGCCTCCTTGAGCTGCGGTGGGCTCCACCCAGTTCGAGCTTCGAGGCCACTGTTTTTACCTACTCAAGCCTCAGCAATGGCAGGCACCCTCCTCCAGCCTCACTGCCACCTTGCAGTTCGATCTCAGACTGCTGTGCTAGCAATGAGTGAGGCTCTGTGGGTGTGGGACCCTCCAAGCCAGGCACAGGATATAATCTCCTCGTGTCCGTTTGCTAAGACCATTGGAAAAGTGCAGTATTAGGGTGGGAGTGACCCAATTTTCCAGGTGCCGTGTGTCACAGCTTCCCTTGGCTAGGAAAGGGATTTCTCTGACCCCTTGCGCTTCCTGGGTGAGGCGATGCCTTGTCCTGCTTTGGCTCACACCCGGTGGACTGCACCCACTGTCCTGCACCCACTGTCCGATAAGCCCCAATGAGATGAACCTGGTACCTCAGTTGGAAATGCAGAAATCACCCGTCTTCTGTGTCGCTCACACTGGGAGCTGTAGACTGGAGTTGTTCCTATTCGGCCATCTTTGAATCGCCCAGATTTGGTCTTTTCACATAGTCCCATATTTATTGGAGGGTTTGTTCGTTTCCTTTTAGTCTTTTTTTCTCTAAACCTCTCTTCTCGCTTCATTTCATTCATTTGATCTTCAATCACTGATACCCTTTCTTCTACTTGATCGAATCAGCTACTGAAGCTTGTGTGTGTGTCACATAGTTCTCGTGCCATGGTTTTCAGCTCCATCAGGTCATTTCAGGTCTTCTCCACACTGTTTATTCTAGTTAGCCATTCATCTAATCTTTTTTCCAGATGTTTAGCTTCCTTGCAATGGGTTCGAACATCCTCCTTTACCTTGGAGAAGTTTGTTATTACCGACTTTCTGAAGCCTACTTCTGTCACCTTGTCAAAGTTGTTCTCCGTCCTGCTTTGTTCTGATGTGGCAAGGAGCTGCGATCCTTTGGAGGAGATGCAGTGCTCTGGTTTTTAGAATTTTTAGCCTTTCTGCTCTGGTTTCTCCCCATCTTTGTGGTTTTATCTACCTTTGGTCTTTGATGATGGTGACCTACAGATGGGGTTTTGGTGCGGATGTCCTTTTTGTTGATGTTGGTGCTATTCCTTTCTGTTTGTTAGTTTTCCTTATAACAATCAGGTCCCTCAGCTGCAGGTCTGTTGGAGTTTTTTGGAGGTCCACTCCAGACCCTGTTTGCCTGGGTATCACCAGTGGAGGCTGCAGAACAGCAAATATTGCAGAATAGCAAATATTGCTGCCTGATCATTCCTCTGGAAGCTTTGTCTCAGAGGGGCATCCGGCTGTATGAAGTGTCAGTCAGCCCCTATTGGGAGGTGTCTCCAAGTTAGTCTACTTGGCGGTCAGGGACCAACTTGAGTAGGCAGTCGGTCCGTTCTCAGAGCTGAAACGCCATGCTGGGAGAACCACTGCTCTCTTCAGAGCTTTTAGACAGGGACGTTTAAGTCTGCAGAAGTTTCTGCTGCCTTTTGTTCAGCTATGCCCTGTCCCCAGAAGTGGAATCTACAGAGACAGTCGGGCCTCATTGAGCTGTGGTGGACTCCACCCAGTTTGAGCTTCCTGGCCACTTTGTTTACCTCCTAAGCCTCAGCAATGGCGGACGCCCCTCCCCCAGCCATGCTTGCTGCCTAGCAGTTCGATCTGGGATTAGCAGTGAGTAAGGCTTCGTAGGCGTGGGACCCACTGAGCCATGCGCAGGATATAATCTCCTGGTGTGCTGTTTGTTAAGACCATTGGACAAGTGCAGTGTTTAGGTGGCAGTGTCCCGATTTTCCCGGTACAGTCTGTCAAGGCTTCCCTTGGCTAGGAAAGGGGAATCCCCCGACCCCTTGAGCTTCCTGGGTGGGGCAGTGCCCCACCCTGCTTCAGCTCGCCCTCCGTCAGCTGCACCCACTTTCCAGCCAGTCCCAATGAGATGAATCAGGTACCTCAGTTGGAAATGCAGAAACCACCCATCTTCTGTGTTGATCACGCTTGGAGCTGCAGACCAGAGCTGTTCCTATTTGGCCATCTTGGAATGGAGCACCTTCATCATTTCTTAATAGGACTTCTCTGTAAGCTTCCTATCTAGATTTTCTGTTCCATACTCATTCTCTCTTACATTCTCCACCTCCCTCGACACTTATACCCATCATTCTGTATAGTGCTTCCAGAATCAGTTTCCTGAATCTGTTTGATCATATTATTTTCCAGTTAAATACCTCCATTGATTTGCTGTCATCTCTAGAATGCAGTCCAGGTTCTTCAACATGGTATACAAACTCTTCATAATCTCTTAAATATAAAATTATTGTTATTAATGTGATTCCTCCAGTTTTGTTCTTTTTTGCTCAGAATGGTTTTGGCTATTCTGTGTCTTTTGCGGTTCCATACAGATGTTAGGATTGTTTTTTCTATTTCTGTGAAGAATGTCATTGGTATTTTTATAGGGATTGCATTGAATCAGTAGATTGCTTTGGGTAGTATGGACGTTTTAACAATATCAATTCTTCCAATCCATGGACTATCTTTCCATTTAGTGTCCTCTTCAATTTCTTTCACCATTGTTTTGTAGTTTTCTTTGTAGAGAACTTTCACTTCTTTGATTTAATTAATTTCTAGGTATTTAATTTGTAGGTACTGTAAATGGGATTATTTTCTTGATTTCCTTTTCAGATTGTTCACTGTTGACATATAGGAATGCTACTGATTTTCATAACTTGATTCAGTATCCTCCAACTTTACTGAGTTTATCAGTTTTAATAGTTGTTTTGTGGAGTTTTTAGGTTTTTCTAAATATAAGGTCATATTAACTGAACAAGGATAATTTGACATCTTTCCTTCCACTTTGGATGCCATTTCTTTATCTCTGGTCTAATTGCTCCAGCTAGGACTTCCAGTACTATTTTGAATAACAGTGGTGAAAATGAGCATCCTTGTCATGTTCCAGATCTTAGAGAAAAGGCTTTCAGATTTTTCCTCATTCAGTATGATACCAGCCGTGAATCTGTTATATATGGCTTTTACTGTGTTGAAGTATGTTTCTAATGTACCCAGTTTTTTTAAAGATTTTTATTATGAAGGGATGTTGAATTTTATTAAATGCTTTTTCAGCATCAGTTGATCATATGGTTTTTCTCTTTCATTCTGTTGATGTGATTTAGCACATTGATTGATTTGCATATTTTGAACCATCCTTGAATTCCTGCAATAAATCCCACTTGGTCATGACAAATGGTCTTTTTAATGTGTTGTTAAATTTGGTTTGCTAGTATTTTGTTGAGGATTTTTGTGTCAATATTTATCAGATATATTGGTCTGTAGTTTTTATTTTTTGATGTGTCTTTGCTTTTGGTATTAGGGTAATCCTGACCTTGTAGAATGAGTTTGGAAGTATTTTGTTCACATTTGTTTTTTGGAATAGTTTGATTAGGATTGGCATTTGATTAGGAATAGTTTGATTAGGATTGATATATATATATCATATATTTCTATATATGATATATATATCATATATTTCTATATATGATATATATATCATATATTTCTATATATGATATATATATCATATATTTCTATATATGATATATATCATATATATGATATATATATCATATATTTCTATATATGATATATATCATATATATGATATATATATCATATATTTCTATATATGATATATATATCATATTTTCTATATAATATATGATATATATATCATATATTTCTACATAATATATATATCATATATTTCTACATAATATATATCATATATTTCTACATATGATATATATCATATATTTCTACATAATATATATCATATATTTCTACATATGATATATATCATATATTTCTACATATGATATATATCATATATTTCTACATATGATATATATCATATATTTCTACATATGATATATATCATATATTTCTACATATATATCATATATTTCTACATATATATATCATATATTTCTACATATATATATCAATCATATATTTCTACATATATATCATATATTTCTACATATATATCATATATTTCTACATATATATATCATATATTTCTACATATATATATCATATATTTCTACATATATATATCATATATTTCTACATATATATATCATATATTTCTACATATATATATCATATATTTCTACATATATATATCATATATTTCTACATATGATATATATATCATATATTTCTACATAATATATATATCATATATTTCTACATAATATATATATCATATATTTCTATATAATATATGATATATATATTTATATATATCATATATTATATATATATTTATATATATCATATATTATATATGATATATATATTATATATTTATATATATAATATATATGATATATATTTATATGTTTATATATATTATATGATATATATTTATATATCATATAATATATAAATATATATTATATATCAATATAATATATATGATACATATTATATATATCAATATAATATATATGATATATGTTTATATATATCATATATAAATATATATGATATATGTTTATATATATCATATATAAATATATATGATATATGTTTATATATATCATATATAAATATATATGATATATGTTTATATATATAAATATATATGATATATGTTTATATATAAATATATTAATATATACAATATATGTTATATATAATATATATATTATATATATATAAATAAATGGTAAAATTTAGTAGTAAAACCATTGAGTGTCCTTTCTTTGCTGGGAGGCTTTTTATTATGGCTTTGATCTTATTACTTGTTATTAATCTGTTCAGGTTTTGGATTTCTTCATGGTTCAATCTTTGTAGGTTGTATGTGTCTAGGAATTTATTCATTTTTTTCTAGGTTTTTCAATTTATTGGTGTATAGTTTTTCATAGTAGCCACTAATGATCCTTTGATTTTTCTGTGGTATCAGTTGTGATGTCTCCTTTTTCATCTCTGATTTTATTTGAGTCTTCTATTTTTATCTTAGTTTGACTAAAGGCTTGTCAATTTTGTTTATCTTTTCAAAAAGTCAGCTTTTTGTTTCATTGATCATTTGTATTTTTTTTAAATTTCTTTCTACTGTGATCTTTATTATTTCTTTTCACTGGCTAACTTTGAGTTTGGTTTGTGCTTGCTTTTCCAGTTCTTTAAGATGTATCATTGGGTTGTTTATTTAAAGCTTTTCTTCTTTTAGACATGGGTACTTGTAGCTATAAATGTTCCTCTTAGTACTGCTTTTGCTATATCCAGTAGGTTTTGGCATGTTGTGTTTCTGTTGTTTGTTTCAAGAAAATTTTCAATTTCCTTCTTAACCTCTTCATTGACTCACTTTTCATTCAGGAGCATATTGTTTAATTTTCATGTGTTTGTATAGTTTCCAAAATTCCTGTTGTTACTGATTTCTGGCTTTATTCCATTGTGGTTAGAGAGGATACTTGATGTTTTAAGACTTGTTTTGTGTCCTAACATATGGTCTATCATTGAGAATGATCATGGCTGAGAAAAAAATGCTAACTTTAATAGGCACTGCCAAACAGCTTTCCAAATAGTTATGCAAATTTACTCTTCTGTCAACGATGTGTGACAATTTCAGGTTTTCTATGTCTTTTTCTTTTTCTTTTTTTAGACAGAGTTTTACTCTGTTGCCCAGGCTGGAGTGCAGTGGCACGATCTCGGCTCACTGTAACCTCTGCCTCCCATGTTCAAGCGATTCTCCTACCTCAGCCTCCCGAGTACCTGGATTACAGGTGCCTGCCACCATGCCCAGCTCATTTTTGTATTTTGAGTAGAGATGGGGTTTCACTATGTTGGCCAGGCTGGTCTTGATCTCCTGACCTCAAGTGATCCACCCATCTCAATGTCCCAAAGTGTTGGGATTACAGGTGTGAGCCACTGCTGGTTTTCTGTATCTTTTTATCTTTCACCAAAACTCTTGGTTTTGTCAGCCTTTTTCATTTGTCCATTCTGCTGAGCAATTACTAACATTTCAGTGTAATTTTGTTTTTTTCCTAATGATTAAGAACACCTTGGCTGGGCGTGGTGGCTCATGCCTGTAATCCCAGCACTTTGAGAAGCCCAGGCAGGTGGATCACTTGAGTCCAGGAGTCCAAGAAGAGCCTGGGCAACAAAGTGAGACACTATCTCCACAAAAAAGTTTTTTTTTTTTAAGTAAAATTAAAAAAAAAAAAGAACACCTCATTATAAGCTAACTGGCCATTTGGGTATATCAGTACAGTTTGAGTATCTGTTATGTAAAATATTTCAGATTTTGTTCAGATTTTGAAGTATTTGCATATATATAATAAGATGTCTTGGAGAAGGGACCCGAGTCTAGACACGCAATTCATTTATATTTCATGTATACTTTATACATGTAGTCAGAAGGTAATTTTATATGCTGTTTTTAATAGTTTTAGACCTGAAACAAAGATAACAGGTATGGCATTTTCCACTTGTGGCATCATGTCGGTGTTCAAAAGTTTTGGATTTTCAACTTTTAGATTATGAATGCTCATCCTGTATCTTATTTTGTAAAGTTCCTATTCTTCTGTTCAGTTTTTAAAAAATTACCAGTGTTTTTATTGATTTGTAGACATGTTTAATTATCTTGGATAGGAATCTTTTATTGTATATATTGTTAGAAATATAGTCTCCTACACTGTAGCTTGTATTTTTAATCCCAGTGGTGTCTTTTTTTGGAGGGGTGTGGGGTAAGACTATAGGCATGAGCTACCACCACACCTGGTAAAGTTTTTTATTTTCCTTTTCTTGTAGAGATGGGTTCTTGCTATGTTGCCTAGGCTGTCAGTGGTGTCTTTGGTGAACACAAATTCTTATGTTTAATGTAGTCTACTTTATCAGCCTTACCCTTTATACCTAGCGCTTTTTATGTTGTTTTTAAGAAATCTTTGTTTATTGCAAATTCATGACTGGATTACCACTTAGAAACTTTATTGTTTTCCTTTTACATTCAGATCTAATATACATCTGGAGTTGAATTTTAGTCATGGAAATATGGGATCAATTGATTAGTTGAACAGGCACCTCATGTTAAAAAGAAAATGCTTTTCTCACTATACTGCAGTGCCACCTTTGTCATAAACCTAGTGACTGTATATGTGTGGGTCTCTTTCCAGATTCTGTTTTATTTCATTAGTTTATTTATAGATTCTATTTTTTCCCTTCAAATTTTATTGTAAGTTCTGGGGTACATGTGCAGGATATGCAGGTTTGTTACATAAACGTGTGCTGTGGTGCTTTGCTGCACAGATCAACCCATCACCTAGGTATTAAGCCCAACATCTATCAGCTATTCTTCCTGATGCTCTTCCTCCTTCCACCCTCACCTCCAACAGGCCCCAGTGTGTGTTGTTCCCCAACCCCACCATGCATCCATATGTTCTCATCATTCAGCTCCCACTTATAAGTGAGAACATGTGTTTGGTTTTCTGTTTCTGCATTAGTTTGCTGAAGGTAATGGCTTCCAACTCCATTCATGTCCCTGCAGAAAACATGATCTCGTTTCTTTTGTATGGCTGCATAGTATTCCATGGTGTATATATACCATGTTTTCTTTATCCAGTCTATCATTGATGGGCATTTAGGTTGATTCCATGTCTTTGGTATTATGAATAGTACTGCAGTGAACATATATGTGCGCATGTGTCTTTATAATAGAATGATTTCTGTTCCTTTGGGTATATACAGAGTAATGGAATTGCTGGGTCAAATGGTATTTCTGCCTCTGAGGAATTGTTGCACTGTCTTCCACAATGGTTGAACTAATTTACATTCCCACCAACAGTGTAAAAACATTCGTTTTTCTCTGCAACCTCGCCAGCATCTGTTGTTTTTTGACTTTTAGATAATAGCCCTTCTGACTGGCCTAAGATGGTATCTCATTATGGTTTTGATTTGCATTTCTCTAATGATCAACAATGTTGAGTTTTTTTTCATGTTTGTTGGCCGCCTGTGTTTCTCCTTTTGAGAAGTATCTGTTCACGTCTTTTGCCCACTTTTTAGTGGGGTTGTTTGTTTTTTTCTCGTAAGTTTGTTTGAGTTCCTTATAGATGGTGGATATTGACCTTTATCAGATGGATAGATTGCAAACATTTTCTCCCATTCTGTAGGTTGTCTGTTTACTCTGATGATAGTTCCTTTTGCTGTGCAGAAGCTCTTTAGTTTAATTAGATCCCATTTGTCAATTTTTGCTTTTTTTGCAATTGCTTTTAGTGTTTTCATCACGAAATCTTTGCCTTTTGCTGTATCCTGGATGTTATTGCCTAGGTTGTCTTCCAGGGTTTTTATGGTTCTGGGTTTTACCTTGAAGTCTTTAATCCACCTTGCGTTAATTTTTGTATAATGTATAAAGAAGGGATCTAGTTTCAATTTTCTGCATATGGCTAGCCAGTTCTCGCAATACCATTTATTAAATAGGGAATTCTTTCCTGTTACTTGTTTTTGTCAGGTTTGTCGAAGATCAGATAGTTGTAGGTGTGCAGTCTTATTTCTGAGATCTCTTTTCTGTTCCATGGGTCTATGTGTCTGTTTTTGTATCAGTACCATGCTGTTTTGGTTACTGTAGCCCTGTAGTATAATTTGAAGTCAAGTAGCATAATGCCTGCAGCTTTGTTCTTTTTGCTTAGGATTGTCTTGGCTATTTGAGCTCTTTTTTGGTTCCATAGGAATTTTAAAATAATTTCTTCTAATTTTGTGAAGAATGTCAGTGGTAGTTTAATGGGAATAGCATTGAAACTATAAATGATTCTTGGCAGTATGGCCATTTTCACGATATTGATTCTTCCTATCCATGAGCATGGAATATTTTTCCATTTGTTTTGTCCTCTCTAATTTCCTTGAGCAGTGTTTTGTAGTTCTCCTTGAAGAGGTCCTTCAATTTTCCAACCTAGCAAAACAGGCCAACATTCAAATTCAGGAAATACAGAGAACTCCAGTAGGCTACTCCATGAGAAGATCAACCCCAAGACACATAATCATCAGATTCTCCAAGGTTGAAATGAAAGAAAAATGTTAAGGGCAGCCAGAGAGAAAGGCCAGGTCTCCTACAAAGGGAAACCCCATCAGACTAACAGTGAACCTCTCAGTGGAAATCCTATTTATATATTCTTTTAGCCAACAACATGTCTCAATTAATGTAGATTCATAAGTTTCCTTACCTAGTAGTATAAATTATCCAAATTCCTTAAGATTTAAGGAAGTTCTTTATGATTTTCTTGGCTGTTCTTAGCCCTTTATATTTCTACCCAAATTTTAAAATGAGCATTTCAGCCCATTTACTTTCCTTAATAAGATTCCTTCTAGAACTTTGATTAGAATTGTTTTTGAATCAATAGATAATTTCTGGGAGAACTTCCTTTTTTTTTTTTCTTTTTGAGACGGAGTCTCGCACTGTCACCCAGGCTGGAGCGCAATGG
This sequence comes from Homo sapiens, assembly GCF_000001405.40. NCBI lineage: Eukaryota > Metazoa > Chordata > Mammalia > Primates > Hominidae > Homo > Homo sapiens. The sequence continues at coordinate 51,021,722 of NC_000003.12, forward strand.
TGCGATCTCAGCTCACTGCAACTTCCGCCTCCTGCATTCAAGCGATTCTCCTGCCTCAGCCTCCTGAGTAGCTGGGATTACAGGTGCCCACCACCACGCCTGGCTAATTTTTTGTATTTTTAGTAGAGAAGGGGTTTCACTGTGTTGGCCAGGCTGGTCTCGAACTCCTGACCTTGTGATCTGCCTGCCTCGGCCTCCCTAAGTGCTGGGATTACAGGTGTGAGCCACCACACCTGGCCGAGAATTTACATTTTTTAACAATGTTAAATTATTTAATCAGTGAATGTGATCCATGTCACCTTTAATATTTCTCAGAAATGTTTTAGTTTTCAGTATAAAGCCTTGCTTATCTTTTATTAGCTTTAAAGTTAGAAATTTGTATTTATTTTTTCACTTGTAACTTTAAGTTTTTAAACAATTTACTTTGTAGTTTTTTATTATAGGTAGATAGACTTGATTTGATTTTGTACATTGACTGTATATTTAGTGACCCTGTTAAATTCATTTATTAAATGTAATGATTTATTTGTAGATTCTTCTGGAAGTTCTTTGCTCATAATTCTGTTGCCTATGAATAATGACAGTTTAACATTTCCACTTTATCTTAGATTTCAGCACTTCTACTGTAATGTGCTTTGGTCTGGATTTCTTTTTATTTATGCAGATTGGAGTTCTTAGCACTAATTGAATTATGGCTTGATGTCTTTCTTTGACTTAAAAGAACTATGTTTTTAAATATTGCTTCTGCTCCATTTTTCTTTCTTCTCTTTCTGGAACTCCAGTTACATGTGTGTTAGATACATGGAACATACTGCTAATGTGTATGTTACCAGCGTACACAATAGTTAACATTTAATTTATGCATATAAAATTTCTTATAGATTCTGGGTATTAGTCCTTTGTGGGATGTATAGTTTGCAAGTATTTTCTCCCATTCTATAGGTTTCTTGTTTACTCTGTTGATTGTTTCTTTTGCTGTACACAAGCTCTTTAGTTTAATTAGGTCCAAATTGTCAATTTTGGTTTTCTTTGCCTAGGCCAGTGTCCAGGAGAGTATTTTCTAGTTTTTCTTCTAGGATATTTACTGTTTCACTTCTTAGATTTAAGTTTTTAATCTACCTTATGTTAATTTTTGTATATGGTGAGAGGTAGGGGCCCAGTTTCATTCTTCTGCATATGGTTAGTCAGTTTTCCCAACATCATTTATTTAATAGTGTACTTTCTCCATTGTTTATTTTTGTGGGCTGGGTTAAAGATCAGTTGGTTGTAGGTGTTAACTTTAGATAGCCTAATGAGTATGTGCCTTGGCTATGGTCTTTTTGCAATGAATTTTCTAGGAATTCTTTGAGCTTCTTGTAGGTAGATATCCAGATCTCTAACAACGCCAAGGAAGTTTTCCTCAATTATTCCCTCAAATAAGTTTTCCAGACTTTTATACTTCTCTTCTCCCTCAGGAACACCAGTTATTCTTAGGTTTGGCCATTTTATATAATCTCATATTTCTTGGAGACTTTATTCATTTCCTTTTTTTTTTTCTTTATCTTTGTCTGATTGCATTAATTTGAAAGCCTGTCTTTGAGCTCTGAAATTCTTCCTTCTCCTTGTTCGTCTATTGTTGAAACTTTCCACTGCATTTTGTATTTTCCTAAGTTTGTCTTCCATTTCCAGATGTTCTGATTGTTTTTTGTTGTCGTTGTTGTTCTTGTTGTTTTTTGAGACAGAGTCTCGCTCTGTTGTGCCATGGAGTGCAGTGGTGTGATCTCGGCTCACTCCAACCTCTGCCTCATGGGTTTAAGCGATTCTCCTGCATCAGCCTCCTGAGTAGCTGGTACTACAGGTGCACACCACCATGCCCGGCTAATTTTTGCATTTTTAATAGAGACAGGGTTTCATCATGTTGGCCAGGCTAGTCTCAAACTCCTGACCTCAGCTGATCTGCCCGCCTTGGCCTCCCAAAGTGCTGGGATTTGGCATGAGCCATCAGGCCTGGTCTGATTGATTTTTTCTTTATAGTTATCTATCTCCCTGGAAAATTTTTCATGCATATCCTTGACTGTTTTTTTAATTCATTTTTGTTGGTTTTCACCTTTCTCTTGTATTTCCTTGAGTAGCTTGATAATCAACCTTCTGAATTATTTTTGTCTCATTTCAAATATTTTATCTTCATTTGGATTCATATCTGGAGAGCTATTGTGACATTTTGGGGGTTTTATGGAACCCTGTTTTGTCATATTACCAGAATTACATTTCTGGATTTATTTCTAATTTGGATAGCCTATTTTTTCAAATTGTTACTGAATTTATTTTTTACTAGACTGTGTTTTCTTAATGGTTTTTTTTACTTTAAGGGTCTGACTTCAATGTTTGTAGTAAATTATTTTAGCCTAATTTGATTCTTGGGGCTTGGTTAAGACTCTGTATGAGTTCCTTTGTTATAGAAAGTCTTTGTGCAATGGCTTTCCCATATGATGGTTGTAATAGTTATTATGTACTTGGTGTGTAGGCCAGTTCACTGTCTCCTATTGGGTTGGAATGGCAGGGATTCCTTAAAGCTTATCTCATTCTCTCATGGTGTATGGTTTATTTATTTATTCAATTTTTTCCCCAGTATTTTATTAACTGAGTTGATGATTCAGGCTTTAGGCCAGTTGTGGATGTATCCCTGGGTAGTCACTGGTTGTAGCTAAAGCAAGTTGGTAGATGTAATACCCAATGGTGGGCAGAGGTCCCAGCCTTGATGAAGGTAACTGGGGGGTCAGGGGTAGATCTCAATTAGATGTTCTGAGATTTTATCAGGGTGAAGGGTGAGAGCTACCTCAGCTTCCCTGCTAGGCCAGCAGAAAAGCTTTCCACCTCACAGCTTTACTGTTTTCCCAGTGTTCTGGCTGTTCAGATCAGACAGGCACCTCTTCTTTAGGAATATTGATGTTCCATGTAGGGAGGAATTGTGATTCTGCCTTTTGTGCAAGCCTGCATCTGGGCAGTGCTCCTCCTGTGGGGCTGCAGTCATCCTGAATTGTTCCCTGAATTGGGGAATGTCTGCAAGGGATCCAGTGATGTGACATAGACTCTGAGATTCCTTGGTTGTAGATAGGCTTAGTGTGCTGCCTTTCTTGAATGCTGGTAATACTAGTAGTGAACTTGTCACGTGGACAGACTCAGGACCTTTGGTTTGCCAGGGTGTTGCAGGCAGTGATGATTGCCGAGGTCATGCAGCTGTTTTCTCCTTCTTGGGCACAGTGTTATTCTATCTAGAGATGGTGTCAAGATCTGTGTTGGTTGGCCTCCAGCCAGGAGGTGTTGCTTTCAAAAGAGCACCAGCTGCCGTAATAACAGTGGGATTTGAGCTTGCCCTAAGTTGCCTAGGGGAAGTATTCTGGTTTCTTAGGTGATGGGTGGGGCTACAAGTCTCCTAAAAGTTTATGTCTTTTGTATTAAGTTACCAGGGCAGGTGGAGAAATACCACCAGGTTGGGTCAGGGTTAGGTGGGCCTGAGCTCTGATTCTCCTTGTGCAGGGCAGGCTAAGGCCCCTGTGAGAGACCAAGGTGGTTCTCAGGTCGCTGGGGTAATGTTTCACAGGGGAGTATAACTGCCTCTGCTGCACAGAGGAGTTTACAAAAGGAGTGGGGAGTAGTGGGCAGCAGTGAGCCTTACCTAGTTCCCACATCGTTTTCAAGGTCGGTGTCACTCCTGCGGTGCTCTGGTGACAGCACCTGGTTTAGATCTAGGCAGTCTGCACACAGAATTCAGACCTGCCCCAGCCTATAAGCTTCCCCACAGAGATAGCAACCACAGCTTTCAGGCCGCACCCCTCCCCGTCTTTCTGCAAAGTCACGTGCCCAGCTTCTGCACTCCTGTCTGCAGCTCACTTCCTGCTCATTCCCCAGGTTCTGTTCATGGGGTGTTTGTCCTCTCTTGAGATTATATCACAAAATTCAGTTGGGAGCTGCATTTACCCTGTGAATTCTCCCTCGTTGACCGACTTCCCCAAGGGCTCCTGTGAGATATAGTCAGGAATCACTTCCCTTGGTTCACACTGGAGACTGGGAATGCCTGCAAGCCCCTTCCCACTGTTGCTTCTACTTTTATATTTTATGCCACTTTCTAAATTTGATCCAGCTCTTGGTAGAGTTTAAGGTCTTCTTCCATGGCCTGAATTTTCAGATTCCCCAGTGAGGATGTACTCAGAGGCAGACTCTCCCCTTCTCACACTCTGAGAACTTAGTTTTTCACCTGTCTCATGGAGTAGGCTGCAGCCTGCCATTTGTTTCAAAGGGTCTGTAGATTCTTTTGATTTTTCTATTAAGTTCCTGTGTTGGTTCTTGCTTTAAAAAAAAAAATTCACAGTGTGAATCTCTACACACTATTCTGACCTTCCAAGTGGGAGAGGCAAGCTAACACTGCCTCCAATCTGCCATTTTGAAAAAAATAAAAAATGAAAAAATGAGGGTTTGTATTATGAAGTGACGTTGGATTTTATTGAATGGTTTTTCTGAGTCTATTGAGATGGTCATATGTTTTTTTTTGTTTTTAGTTCCATTGATGTGGTGAATCACATTTATTGACTTGTATATGTTTACCATCCTTGCATCTCAGGAATAAAGCCCATTTGATCATGATGAATTATCTTTTGATCTGCAGCTGAATTTGGTTTGCTAGTATTTTGTTGAGAAGTTTTGCATCTATGTTTATCAGGGATATTGGCCTGTAGTTTTTTTTTTTTTTTTATTGTGTCCTTGTCAGCTTTGGGTATCAAGATGATACTGGTTTCATAGAATGAGTTGGGGAGGCATTCCTTCTCCTCAATTTTCTTGAAGTAGTTTCAGTATGATTGGTACCAGCTCTTTTTTTGTGTATCTGGTAGGATTCAACTGTGAATCCATCTGGTCTAAGGCTTTTGTTGGTTGCTAGGCTTTTTATCACTGATTCAGTTTCATAACTTATTATTGATTTGTTCATGGTTTCAATTTCTTCCTGGTTCAGTCTTGGGATGCTGTGTGTTTACAGGAATTTATCCATTTCCTCTAGATTTTCTAGTTTGTGCACATAGAGATTTTTGCAGTTATCTCTGGGAATCTTTTGTATTTATGTGGCATCAGTTTTATTATTTTGGATTGTGCTTATTTGGATTTTCTCTTTTTTCTTTGTTAATCTAGCTAGCAGTCTATCAATCTTTTTTTTTCAAAGAACCAAATTTCTTTTTGATCCTTTGTATGGTTTTGTTGGTTGCTATTTTGTTCAGTTCTCTGATTTTAGGTATTTCTTTTCTTCTGCTAGATTTTTATTTAGTTATTATATTTCTAGTTCTTTTAGCTGTGGCACTAGGTTGTTAATTTGAGATCTTTCTATCTTCTTGATGTAGGCATTTAGGAGTATAAACTCCATTTAGCACTGTTTTTGCTGCATCTGAGAGGTTTTGGTGTGTTGTGTTTCTATTTGTTTGAAATAATTTTTTTTTGTTTCTGCCTAATTTTGTTTTTTACGCAAAAGTTGTCCAGAAGCAACTCATTTAGTTCCCATGTATTTGTGTGGTTTTGAGAGTTCCTCTTGGTATCGATTTCTAATTTTATTCAACTGTGGTCCAAGAAGATGCTTAGTATGCCTTTGATTTTTTTTTTCAATTTATAGAGACTAGCTTTTTGGCTGAGCATGTGGTCAATCTTAGAGTATGTTCTATGTATAGATGAGCAAACTGTATTCTGTGGATTTTAGGTGGGGTATTCTGTAGATGTCTATTGGTTAAGTATCCAATTTAAGTCCAGAATTTCTTTGTTAGTTTTTTGCCTTGATGATTATCTAATTCTGTCAATGGGGTTTTGAAGTCTCCCACTATTATTGTGTGGCTGTGTGGCTGTTTTCTTAGGTCTAGTTGTAATTGTTTTATAAATCTGGGTGCTTTGTTGTTGGGTGCATATATATTTAGGATAGTTAACTCTTCTTGATGAATTTAACCCTTTATCATTATGTAATGCCCTTCTTTGTCCTTTTTATTGTCTTTGGTTTAACATCTGTTGTATCTGATATAGGAATAGCACCCCCTTCCCCTTTTTTTATTTTTCATTTGCATGATCTTTATCTCTTTACATTGAGCCTATGGGTGTCATTACATGAGACATGAGTCTCTTGAATGCAGTAGAAAGTTGGATCTCATTTTTTTTTTCATCCAATTTGCCACTCTGTATCTTTTAAGTGGAGCATTTAGGCTGTGTAGGTTCAACTTTGATATTGATATATGAGATTTTGTTTCTGTCATAGTGTTGTTAGCTAGTTACTTTGTAGGCTGGAATGGTAGTTGCTGTATAGGGTCTGTGGGTTTTGTACCTTTTTGTGCTTTTGTGTAGCAAGTATTGTTCTTTATTTTCATGTTTAGAGCTCTCGAGCATTTCTTGTCGGGCTAGACTGGTGGTGATGAATTTTCTTAACGTTTGCTTTTCTAGGAAGGATTGTATTTCTCCTATGAAGCTTAACTTAGTGATACATGAAATCTTGGCTGGCATGTTTTTTCTTTAAGAATGCTAAAAATAGGCCCCCAATCTCTTCTGGCTTATAAGGTTTCTGCTGAGAAGTCTGCTGTTTGTCTGGTGGAATTCCTTTTATAGATAATTTAGCCCTTTTTTCTAGCTAGTTTTAAGATTTTTTTTTTCACGTTGATCTTGGATAATCAGAATACTGTGTAACTTTGGGATGTTTGTCTTGTGTATCTTGCAGGTGTTCTCTTAATTTCTTGTAGCTGCATGTCAACCTCTAGCAAGATTGGGGAAATTTTTCTGAATTATACCCTCAAATACGTTTTCTAAATTGCTTACTTTCTGTTTTTTTCTCTCAGAAATGAAAATAAGTCATGGGCTTGGTTGCTTTACATAATCCCATATTTCTTGAAGGTTTTGTTTTTTTAAATTGTTTTTTCTTTGATTTTTGTCTGAGTGGGTTGACTCAAAGACTGGTCTTCAAGCTGTGAAATTCTTTCTTCTAATTGGTCTAGTCTGTTGTTAAGGTTTCCAATGCATTTTGAAATTCCTGTAGTGAAATTTTAAATTCCAGTTCTGTTTGGTTCTTTTTTTAATATAGCTATGTTGTCTTTCATATCTTGATCATTTCTCTGGTGACTTTGTATTGAATTTCAACTTCCATGAGAATCTCATTGTGTTTTCTTGCCATCTGTATTCTTAATTCTATATTGTCATTTCAGACATTTTAGTCTGGTTGGCATCCATTGCTAGAGAGCTAGTGTGATCCTTTGGAGGTGAAGAAACACTGGCTTTTTTTATTGCCAGAGTTCTTGTGCTGATTCCTTTTCATCTGAGAGAGCTGATGTTTCTTTTTTTAAAAATTTACTTTAATTTTAATGGGCTTTTTTGATTTTTTATTCTTCTTTCCCTTGAGGATATGACTGTGCTGTATGTTGTATATGATCATTTCTCTTCATTTCTGCATGCTTTCAGAGGGCCAAGGTTTTGTATGGGTTCCTTGGTTACAGATAGGTTCATGTAGTCATTTTCTGAGATGCTACTTGCAACGATGTATTTTTCTTTGGTTGTGTAATTCAGGCTGCAGTCTGGTAGATGGTGTCTAAGAGTAAGAGCCAGCAGGTAGGCTTTTACTTAGTTCATGCTTGCTCACCCTCTGCGGGGCTGGAGCTGCCATAAAAGCATGAAAAGCTCTCTCTCAGCATGTGCTTGGCTTTCAGTGGGGGTGGGGCTGCCAAAGAAGCACAAAAATCATTCTTTTTCAGTGCACACCCACGAGGCCCCAGTGGGAAAGGCATCTGCCATGTCTGCAACAGTGCACTGGGGAGGGGAACAGGGGGAAAGAGATGATTCTCTCTTCATGTTCATTCCCAGGCTTTGGTGGAACCCCCTGAAGTGGTTGGTGCCACACCTGCATTCCCTTTGTCCCAAGGCGGGGCTTTGGTGTGCTGCCCTCCTCCTTCCCTTAGGTGCAGTTTGTGTTGAAGGTTATATCTCCAGGGGACCCACAACTCCCTGGGGATCCAACAGTCCCTCATGCTTGCCAGAGTCAGAGTGGGTTGTGGGGTATGTCTGCTGGTGGTCTAAGGGTGCAGTGGCTCAAGGGTGGAGAATCTCTCATCAGGGCAGTGGTACCACATGTGCACAGCTAGCATGGCACCTGCCATCTCAGTCTGCATCTGAAGGGGCAGGTTCAGCACATCTGCTCAAGGTGGCCACCTGGTTCTCTGTTCCTGAGAAGATCTCTAATTGCCACCTATTGTGTTTCCCTGGGACACGGGGTCGGGGGGTGGGCCAGAGGCGCTCTCCAGCAGTTTGGCAGTAAGCAGATTATCAGAGGGGGAAGGGGAGGAGGAAAGCACTCTCTCCTACTCTTTCTACTGGACTCTGACCTCCTTGGAGGTCAATGCCAGACAGACTTTTGCTGCTCATTTTCTGTGCGCCCCACTTCTTTGGTTGGGCATTCCAACAAGTCCTGGCTCTCCACCTTCCATTTTGCACTCCAAACTTGACCATTCACTAATAACTTTGATCTTTTTTCTGAGAAGAATTTATGCTGTTCCTAGTTGGCCATCTTTTGGTCTGTTTCAGTTGACTGTTTTTTCCATGGTCATGTCTCCTGGTAGGCCTGATAATTTTTAATTGAATCCCAGATATCACGTATGAAAAATTATAGAGGCTTTGCATGCTGTCCTCTTCCCCTATAGAGTGCTCACCTTATCCCCTGGCTATTTGAGTAAGGCAGATTCTTTGATATGGCAGCATTATAGTCATGGTAAGGTATAGTCTACCTCTGATTAGTATCCATTTTTAGGATACACCCTCTAGTGGTTCTAGTTGAGAGGCTAGGTTGTTTACTGTGTGTTGTTTACCTTCTTGTCAAGTTCTGGATCCAATTTTTGTCTCCAAAACACTGCTAAAATCTGTTCTACTTTTAGTTTACTTTCTGCTAGTCATTTTAGTACTGAGTAATAAGCATTTTAAGAATCAGCAAATGTGTCAAGAGGAATAACATCTCCAAGAGCATAGAGCACACCTAAATAGGCTTCTGTTTTCTTTTAAATCTTAGCCCCTCAAGTTTTGACAACCTTGGCAGCACAAACCCCAATTTTTGTCTTCCCCGTCCTGTGTGATTGCCTAAAGCTCTCATCTATTAGTGGCCATCCTCTCTCTGGCTTCTTAGCCTTTCTTGCCAACCTAAGAATCATTAAATCTCTGATTGGGAAAATGGCATGCAAAATGTTGGGCTACCCCACTGAGTTTTCCTTCTTTCCTTGATCTTTGCTTTGTAATGCCTGGCTGTCTTGAAAACTCTTTAACTTCAAAAAGGTATGCTTTGTACTTTTTCATATGTTTTAGCTGTACTCACAGGAACTTTGGGCGGCTGGAAACTATCATCACTAGGACACAGAAATTTTCATACTTTTCAATTTGCTATGTCTATAACAATTACTTTTTTCTTCTATATTTTATTGTCATCCTTTTTTGATCAGCTACTTTGTTGGTAATAGATATTTGGGTAGGTTAGAGCTGAAATCAAAGCTTTAGTGGATATCTATCCTGATCAATTTTAAGGGTTGAGCCTTAGAAAGGTGAGTACAAGATCATAAAACCATACTGATCACTGCAGTTTTTGTTACGTCTCCAAGAAAACTCTGGCCCATGATTATACCTTTAAACTCAGGGATAAGCAGCATCAGGAGGAAGCTGTCTCCTTATGTTTTAATCCACCAGCCTTAAAGTCTCTGAATGGGGAGCAAGAGGATAAAGGAGTCTATGCCAGCACTTATTTTCATCAGTACTTTGTCCCAGCAAAGCTTGCCCTTTATCCTGATTTTACCATGTTGATATGGCAACCCTAATTGTTGTTACTGATTTTATGGTGAAAGAACCAGCAATAATGTTCTTAGTTAGTATTTTTGGAGGGACAAAAGCAGTATTCAAAATAATGCCTCATACTAGTTACCTTCCTGCTGTGTTTTGAATGTTTGTATCCACCTCTAAATTCATGTCGAAACTTAAGCCCCAATGCAGAAGTATTGGGGGTTAAAAGAAATACCTCCTTTTAGGAGGTAACTAGGCCACGAGGGCTCTGCCCTCATGGATGAGATTAATACCCCTATAAAAATGCTGGAGGGAACTTCCAGCATGTGAGAACATAGCATTCATTCCTTCCAGAGGATGTAGCAACAGGGTACCACCTTGGAAGCAGAAAGCAGCCTTTATCAGATAATGAGTGTAGTGTACTGGTGCCCTGATCTTAGACTTTCTAGCTTCCAGAATTGTGAAAAATAGATTTTAATTGTGTATAAAGTACCCAAGTATAAGTATTTTGTTACAGCTGCGCAAATTAAATGAAACTAAGACACCACCTTCCACATAGACATCAGTTTAAGATATTCTTGAGTGTCCTCAAGTACCTCCCTCCTCGTGTGTGTGTGTGTGTGTGTGTGTGTATAAGTGTGCATGTTAATTCCAAGAATCTCTACTTTATTTCTCACTTCAGTGATTTTTCCACAGTTTATTTTGGGAGAGGTAGCTGGCATCCCAAACTAGTTCGCAATCTTGATAAAACAGAAAATTGCTTACTTTAGTAGTCTTAGTAAGAATATGATTTAGTCCCTACAACTTAAGTTTCATGTCAGTGCCCCCAAATCCTAAATTGATACACTACTAAACTTTTTTATTGAGAAATAATTTACATAGACTATATTGCACACATTTAAAATATAGTTTTTATTAATTTTGACATTGGTATTCTTGTTTTGAAGTTTATCTTCTTTTGATTTAGCCACTCCAGCCTTCTTATGCTTATTGTGTTTGCATGATTATTTTTTTCTTCCAACTATTTTCAATCTTGTGTTCCTATATAAGGAGACTTCAAAAAGCTCATGGATAAATTTTTTCTTTTACTAGATAAAAATGAAAAATGTGGAAGCTGGGTACAGTGGCTAACATCTATAATCACAGCTACTCAGGAGGCTGAGGCAGGAGGATCGATTGAGGCCAGGAGTTTAAGACCAGCATAAGCAACATAATGAGACCTTGTCTCTAAAAATTTAAAAACAAAAATTAGCCAGGCATGGTGGCACCTGTCCTATAGTCCCAAGTACTTGGGAGGCTAAGGTGGGAGGATTGCTTGAGCCCAGGACTTTGAGGCAGCAATGAGCTGTGATTGTGCCAGTGTACCCCAGTCTGGATAACAGAGCAAGATCCTGTCTCAAAAATAAAATAAAAATATAAACTTTACTTCTCAAAATAAGCTCCATCAAGTTTAGACTCTTCTGTATCAGCCATTTAGTCCATCTTGAGAACTGAGGGTCTTGGAAATTTAACTATGTCAATGTAGTCCTTTCTATTATTAACTGAAGAAAAGTGGATGCCCTTTAAAGATTTTTTAAGATTAGGAAAGAAGTCAGAAGGAGCCAGATCAGGACTGTATGAGGTGGTGCTTGATTTCCCATTAAAACTTTCACAGAATTGCCCTTATTTGATGAGACGAATGAGCAAGAGCATTGTCATAGTGGAGAAGGACTCTGGTGAAACTTTCCCAGGCATTTTTCTGCTAAAGCTTTGGCTGACTTTCTCAAAACAATCTCATAATAAGCAGATGTTACTTCTTCAGCCCTTCAGAAAGTAAACAAGCAAAATGCCTTGATCCTTCCTTAAAACTATTGCTATGACCTTTAGTCTTACTTGGTCCCCTTTTGCTTTGACTGGCCCACTTCCACCTTTTAGTAGCCATTGCTTTGATTGTGCTTTGTCTTCAGGATCATACTGATAAAGCCATGTTTTATCTCCTGTTAACAATTATTTGAAGCAATGCTTCAGGATATAGATCATACTTATCTAAAATTTCTGTTGAAAGCTCTGCTGTTGTCTGTAGCTAATCTGGATGCAATGCAACAGTTTTGACAGACATTGAGTGGAACATTTGCTCAACTTTAATTTTTCAGTTATAATTGTGTAAGTTGAACCAATTGAGATATCGGTGGTGTTGGCTGTTGTTTGTGCAGTTAATCATTGGTCCTTTTCAATTAGGACATGAACAAGATTAATTTTTTCCTCACAAATTGATGTGGTGGGTGGTCTGTGGCTGTAGGCTTCATCTTCAACAACGCCTCATCCCTTCTTAAAACAAGTTATCTATTTGTAAACTGCTTATTTCTTCGGGGCCCAAAAGTTTATGGCAAAAGTCTCTATAAGCTTTTTGTAAAGCATCAATGATTTCACCATTCTTCCACTTAAGCCTCACAGTAAGTTTGATGTTTGTTCTTTTTTCAGTTTTACAGAATTCAGGTTGCTCTGATTGCAGCTCTTTTCAAGTTAATGTCTTATCGTTCTTAGTAGCTCAGACTAGTTCTTGTTCAGACTTGTGTCATATTAGCTTGTTATGTTAGTGTGAATTTATTTTGGTGCAAAAAATTTTTAATTGATGTATAGTTTTTTCATAATATGCATTTTCCGTGAATTTTTTGAGTTCGTATTGAAAGTACATCTCTTATAGGTGGCATTTAAGTGCCTTTTAATTGGAGTTTTTATTCTATATTGAGATTTAATGCAATCATTGATATTCTTTGTATTCCTAGCATTTCATTAGCTTGTTCCATATGTTTTTTTCCCTTTTGCATCTTCTTTTGGATTATTTGAATAATTTTAAGAATTCTATTATAATTTATGTATCAGCTTTTAAGATATACTTCTTTGCATTATTTTTTGGTTATTACAGTAGGAATTATACATTCATAGCTTTTTATAGTCTACTTGGAGTTAGTATTGTTCCACTTCACATGAAATGTAGATACTTTACAACTGTGATGAGTATATTTATAAACATACATCCTATTCTATTCTTTGTTACATTCATCATCTCTATTAAATCTTTATATATCATGATTCCTTAAGACAGTGTTATGGTTTTTTCTTTAATCAATTATATTTTAAAGAAATCAATAGCAAAAATAGTCCTCAATATTTATCCATACATTTACTGGTTCCAGTGTTATTCATTTCTGTAGATTTAGGAGTGGAGTTTCCCCTTGGGAAAGTTCAGTATAAAAACTTTAGCATTTCTTTTAGTGTGAGTTTGGTGATGTCTCTCAGTTTTCTTTTTCTACAAATGCCCTATTTCACTTTCATTTCTTTAACAGTCTTTATTTCTAGATATAGAATTCTGGGATGATTTCTTTTCTAATACATTAAATATGTTATTCCATTGTGGTCTGGCCTCAGTTTCTGATGATCATGTGATATCAGTGATCATGTTCTGCTCTATGTGATTCATTGTTTTCCTCTGACTTTTTAAGATCTTTATTTTTTTATATTTAGTAGTTTGACTATGGTGTACCTATGCATTAATTCCTTTAGTCTGTTTGCGATTCATTGAGCTTATTATTGAATATATATTATGCATTTCTTGTAGTTTAGAATTTCTAAATTTACACCCTTCACCAATATTGGGAAATTGTCATTATTTCTACAAATATTTTTCTGCCTCATTCTCTCTTTGTCTTTTTCTCTCCTTTTCCAGCCCTCAGATTCTAATTATGTTAGATATTTTAAATTTTTTCCACAAGTCTTTGAGATTGTTTCTTTTTATTCTTTGTCTTTTCAGATGAAATTCTGTTGATCTTTCAAGTTCACCAACTCTTTCGTCATTTTTATTCTGCCATTAAGCTCATGCAGTGATTTTTAAATTTCTCATACTGTGTTTCTGTTCTAAAATTTCCAAATAATTCTTTTTTATAATTTCTTTTGAGATTTCTTATTTTGTCATTTATTAAGGGCATATCATTCTCTACCTCACTGAGTGTAGTTTTAGTTAACTCTTTTAAAGTATTTGTCTGATAATTCCAACATCTTATCATCTCAGGGTTGACATCTGTTGACTGTCTTTTCCTCTGAGTCTGGGTAAGCTTTTCCTGGCTTATCAGATGTTGGTTAATTTTTTATTGTGTCCTAAACATTGTAAATGTTATAGAGAATCTAGATTCTTTTTTGTTGATCCTGAGAGTACTGGTGTTTTTGTTGTATAGTTGGTTAATTTGGCTAGACTGAAGCTATACACTGTTATGCCTATGGCAGGCAGTGGCTTAGATCTCAATTCATTTCTCTAAACCCCTTGAAAACAAACTGCTTTCAGTTTGCTCTGTGCATGCATAACTCAGAAATCAGCCAAAGACTTGATCTGCATTTAAACACAGAAGTCAGGGTCACCCTTATCAGGCTTTCTCCTTTTTAGTATTTTTTCTCCCCTCACTAGTGCCCTGGTTGCCTATAATCTTCTCCTGATTCCCTTGGCCAGAAAGGTGACTGGCTTTTTTCAGAGTTTTAGCAGATATGAAGACAGTAGATGTCCTTAGGGCAAAGTATCTAAAAAAATTTTTTAAACATCACTGGGGATGTGGTGGTACTTCATGGTAGTCACTTGCTCCATACTCCCTTCCAAAATCTGCCTGCCTTCATTCAGTCTTCAGAACTCTCATATGATTGGTGTTTTGTATTTTGCCCAGAGTTTATAGCTGTCATTTATAGGAGGATCAATTTGCTAGACACTTACTCCTCCCTCTGGGGAGTGGAACTCCAATACTATATTCCTCCTTGAGAGAATGGGATGAAGTACAGTTGTGATCTGCAGAACCCTGGTATCTGGTACCCTATGGCTATAATATAGTCAATCTTTCATAAAATTTATCTTTCCTGTTAATTTCTGATTGTAGAGATCAAAATATTCATTGCCTGACAGTCTGAGAGATGATTCATTTAAATGGGTGAACATTCTACCTTTAGGTAGTTTATCTTATGATGTAAGTCTTATACCTGTTACTCTCTCATGGTCATATATCTAAAATAGTACCTTAAAGGTTTAATATGTCTTAAAGAACAGAATGCTGAACTTCATACTATACCGTACTCTGATGCCCTTAGCTCTCTTTCCAGCTAAGGCTCCATTTCTCTTTACTTTAGATGTATTTGGAGTCACGACTAGGTTAATTTTTTTTTTTTAACAAAACATGTCGATATGGTTTGGCTGTGTTCCCATGCAAATCTCATCTTGAATTGTAACTCCAACAGTTGCCATGTGTCATGGGAGGAACCTGTGGGAGGTAATTGAATCATGGGGTGGGTCTTTCCCATGCTGTTCACCTGATGGTGATTAAATCTCGAGATCTGATGGTTTTAAAAACGGGAGTTTCCCTGCACAAGCTCTCTCTTTGCCTGCTGCCATCCATGTAAGATGTGACTTGCTCCTCCTTGCCTTCTGCCATGATTGTGAGGCTTCCCCAGCCATGTGGAACTGTAAGTCCATTAAACCTCTTTTTCTTCCCAGTCTCAGGTATGTCTTTATCAGCACCTTGAAAATGGACTAATACACATCTATTTATATGTTTTATATTTTTGATCACCTTTAAGACTTGGGGAATTTTTTTTCCTTTTAAATGATAAAATATACATAGAGCAGAGTATGTAAATAATATAGGTACAGTTTAAAAAAATATAATGCAAACAGCTGTGTAACAACCACCTATATTAAGAAATAAAACATTAACAGTACTTTAGAAGTCTCCTGTGTTCCCCTTCCTACTGAAATGACCATTATCTTTATTTAAAATTTTTTTTTAATTCCATACGTTTTTGGGGAACAGGTGGTATTTGGTTACATGAGTTAGTTCTTTATTGGTGATTTGTGATATTTTGATTGTGGTCATAATCATTTCCTTGCTCTTTTTCTCTATAGTTTTCTTCCTATGTGAACACCTCATGAGGTTTTTATTCATTCCTTTCCAGAAATATTAGTCATGTATTACATGCCCGACATTGTTATAGGTTCTAGAGTTGCAACAGTTAATTAATATACACTATCTTTGCCTTCATGGACTTTACAGTTTACTGATAGAACTTTTGTAGTTAATTTCATTAAATTACCTCTCAGAGAACCTATAAGGAGATTTATTGAGTAGGGTCATATCTATGGAGCATAATCAAGTGTTTTTTCTTCTTCGTCTCATTGTTTTATTCATTAATCAAATAGTTTTTGAGTACTTAAAGGAATTGTGTTATGCCTTAGAAGACAGTCTTTAGAACTATCAGAAATAGATTTCTGTTGTCAAAACTACCAGTTTATGGTATTTCATTACAGTAAACGCAGCTGACTAAGACACCTTAGAAAGAGAATGCAGCCTACCAGACTGTTTAGGAACCAGTGTGAATTCATCTAAAGAAAAATGTGTCAGCCAGAGGAGTAATTTTTAAACAATTGAAACATAGAAAAAAGAAGGGAGAATCCTCTGGGATATTACTGGGAGTGGAACTGCTGGATTGTAGGGTATGTGCCTATTTAATTTTGCCAAATCACTCCCCCAAATTGCTGGCTAAGCTGTACTTTTACCACGATTTTTGCAATTCTGGTGGATAGAATCACAGAGTCAAATGCTAGTGTTGTCTATCCAGATACTTTTTTACTGAAAGGGAGCCCTATTAATCTGGCCAACTACTAATTCCATTTTTAGGGCACATCTCTGCTGGTAAGTTAGGGTATGTATAGGGTATATATGGTAGGTGGGCAGGGTTTTAGGATCTAGGCAAGAGATAACTGATTTCAGGAGTCAGCTATGAAATGAAATAGAATTTAAGATTGGGTGAGAAAAAAGTAAAAGCTAGGTACTGTAGTAGAAACCAACTGTTCATAATAATCATATCTAGTGGAGATTTCATGAGCCCCAGTTCATAGAAGAGAGGCATTTGTATAGCAGAGAGAGATCTGGTTTCAATACACTGTGGAGATGAACACATCAGACCATCACACTGTGACTTCTTTATAAACATTTAAATGATACCAGATTCCCCTTGTTAAAGTTTATTCCAAATGAGTAAGATTTTGATGTTTTAACTCTCTGTGTACAGTGTTGGTAAGGCCAGTGCTAACATCTGGCTTTATTACTGTTTCTCACTGTATAGTGATAACTTGGCATATTGTTTTGTTTTGTTCATTACAGTTTCTTTTGGACCCCAAGTAAGGGTTGAAGTAATCATATTCCCTGGTTCATGGCACATTATTGTCATCAGTCAATTTAATGATCCTCTCTAATCTTATTTGTATATGGCTGTTTTTCCCCTTTATTCCATATCCCATCTCCTGTTCTCCCACACATATATTAAGATAAGTACAGGCATGTATTCTAGTTTTTTTTTTGGATATGCAGTTATTTCCAAAAGATTTTATATATGTGTTTTAATTTATATAAAAGTTATTGAAACATATATTTCTCTACACAGAATAATGTTGTATACATATTATTTAATTTTATTATTATTATTATTTTTGAGATGGAGTCTCGCTCTGTTTCCCAGACTGGAATGCAGTGGCACGATCTCGGCTCACTGCAACCTCTGCCTCCTGGGTTCAAGGGGTTATCCTGCCTCAGCCTCCTGAGTATCTGGGACTACAGGCATCTGCCACCACACCCGGCTAATTTTTATATTTTTAGTAGAGATGAGGTTTCACTATGTTGGCCAGGCTGGTCTCAAACTCCTCACCTCAGGTGATCTGCCCGACTCGGCCTCCCAAAGTGCTGGGATTATAGGGGTGAGCCACCGTACCCAGCTTATTTTTTATTTTTACTTCTAGTTTGCCTCCAGTTTTTTGCTAGGATAAAAAGTTCTGAGATAAACATCCTTATAAATAAATGTTTCCTCAAGGACCAGTGTGAGAGTTCCTCTGGGATATTACTGGGAGTGGAATTGCTGGATTGTAGGGTACATGCCTATTTAATTTTACCAAATCACTCTCCAAATTACTGGCTAAGCTGTACTTTTACCATGATTTTGGCAATTCTGGGGGCTATTAAGTGGCATCTTACTTTTTCCTTTGCATTTTTCTGATTAGTAGTATTGTTGATAATTGCTTTATTTGTTATTCAGATTTCTTTTTCTCTGAATTACTATTTGTTATCTTTTGTCTATTTTTCTTTTGGGTTTGTTTTTTCTTGATTTGTAGCAATTCCTTATAATTTTTTAGATCTCTCATTGTCAGTTTTGGCTGTTATATATATCTACTCCCAGTCTATCATGTCTGCTCTCTACCCGCAGTCTATCATCTGTCTGTTACCTTTGAGATTCTTTCATACTGCAGAAATTCTGAATAGAAATGTAATCACCCTCGGGTTTCTGCATTATAGCTTGTGCTTTGAGGTCTTTTTTTTTTTTTTTTTTTTTTAACATATAAGACCTCATCTTATTTGTTTTCTCATTTCAAAGTGACAAAGATATTCCTACTACTTTTTATATTATTAGCTCCATAATTTTACTTTTCACATTCATGTCTTTAAACCATCTGGGACTCACTGTCCAGATGGAAATTTGTAATCTCTACTTTTCTCAATATGATAAGCCAGTTTTCTCTATACCACCTACTAATCAATCTGTTTGTACTTCATTGACTTCTAATGCTGTCTCTACCAAATACCAGATTCCATGTGTGGTTTATTTCTAGGCTCTTCTTTTATTGTCTGAAATGTGCCAGTTTTTTTTTTTTTAATCAAAATGGCTTTGTGATCTGTCTTAATATATGACAAGGCATATCTTACTACCGGCATACACCTCAGAGGTACTGTAAATGTGGTTCCAGATTACTACATCAAAGTGAATATTGCAATAAAGCAAGTCACATGAATATTTTGGTTTCCTAATGAATATAAAAATTATGCTGAAACTATACATACCTTAATTTTAAAATACTTTATTGCTAAAAAAATGCTAATTATCATCTGATCCTTCAGCCAGTCATGATCTTTTCTCTAGTGGAGGGTCTTGTCTAAGTATTGATGGCTGCTGACTGATCAGTGTGGTGATTACTGAAGGTTGGTGTGGCTGTGGCAATTTCTTAAGACAACAAATTTGTTGCATCAATTGACTGTTCCTTTCATGAAAGATTTCTCTGTAGCTTGCAATGCTGTTTGATAGTATTTTACCCATAAACTTCTTTCTGAATTGGAGTCAGGCTTCTCCAACCCTGCCACTACTTTATCAATAAAGTTTATGTAATATTCTAAATCTTTTGTTATAATTTCAATAATGTTCACAGCATCTTCACCAGGAGTAGATTCTGTCTCAGGAAACCACTTCCTTTGCTCATCCATAAAATGCAACTCCTCATTTGTTCAAATTTTATCATGAGATTGTAGCAGTTGAGTTCTGTCTTCAGGGTCCACTTCTAATTATAGTTTTCTTGCTAATTCTACCATATCTGCAATCACTTTCACCATGGAAGCCTTGAACCACTTGAAGTCATTCATGAGGGTTGGCATCAACATCTAAATTTCTGTTACTGCTGATATTCTGACTTCCTCCCATGAATCAGAATTGCTCTTAATGGCCTCTAGAATAGTGAATCCTTTCTAGAAGATTTTCAATTTACTTTGCCCAGATCCATCAGAGGAATCACTATCTATGGCACCTACAGCCTTACAAAATGTATATATATATATATATATATATATATATATATATATATATATTTTTTTTTTTTTTTTTTTTTTTTTTTTTTTGAGACAGAGTTTCGCTCTGTCGCCCAGGCTAGAGTGCGGTGGTGCGATCTTGGCTCACTGCAAGCTCTGCCTCCTGGGTTCACGCCATTCTCCTGCCTCAGCCTCCCAAGTAGCTGGGACTACAGGTGCCCACCACCATGCTTGGCTAATTTTTTGTATTTTTAGTAGAGACGGGGTTTCACTGTGTTAGCCAGGATGGTCTCGATCTCCTGACCTCATGATTTGCCCGCCTCAGCTTCCCAAAGTGCTGGGATTACAGGCGTGAGCCACCGCACCCGGCCCAAAATGTATTTCTTAAGTAATAAGACTTGAAAGTGGAAATTACTCCCTGATCTGTGGCCTGCAGAATAGATCTTGTGTTAACAGGCATGAAAACATGAATCTCCTTGTACATCTCCATCAAGATCTTAGGTAACTAGGTGTACTTTCAAAGAGCAGTAATATTTTGAAAGGAATCTTTTTTTCTGAGCAATAGGTCTCAGCGGTGGGCTTGAAATATTCTAGTAAACTAGCTGTAAACAGATAGGCTGTCATTTAGCCTTTATTATTCCACTTAGGGAGCATAAGAAGAGTAGAATTAACATAATTCTTAAAAGCCCCAGGGTTTTTGGAAGGGTAAATGAACATTGCCTTCAACTTAAAGCCACTGGCTGCATTAACCTCTAACAAGAGAGCCAGCTTGTCCTTTGATGCTTTGAAATCAGGCACTGACTTCTCCCTAGCCATGAAAGCCCTAACTTATTCACAGCTGAATTCTACCATATATACAAAGAAGAGCTGGTATTATTTCTACTGAAAACTATTCCAAAAAATTGAAAAGGAAGGACTCCTCCCTAACTCATTCTGTGAGGCCAGCATCATCCTGATACGAAAACCTGGCAGAGACACAACAAAGAAAAGAAAACTTCAGGCCAATATCGTTAATGAATATTGATGCCAAAATCCTCAACAAAATACTGGCAAACTGAATCCAGCAGCACATCAAAAAGTGAATCTACCACAATCAAGTAAGCTTCATCCCTGGGATACAAGGTTGGTTCAACACAAGCATATCAATAAATGTGATTCATGACATGAACAGAACTAAAGACAAAGACCACATAATTATCTCAATAGATGCAGAAAGGGCCTTTGATAAAATTCAGTATCCCTTCATGTTAAAAACTGTCAATAAACTAGGTATTGAAAGAATATACCTCAAAATAATAAGACCTATATATGACAAACCCACATACTGAATGGGCACCATCATACTGAATGGGCAAAAGCTGGAAGCATTCCCCTTGAAAATGGGCACAAGACAAGGATGCCCTCTCTCACCACTCCTGTTCGACATAATATTGGAAGTTCTGGCCAGGGCAGTCCAGCAGGAGCAAAAAATGAAGCCCATTCAGATAGAGAGAAAGGAAGTCAAACTATTCCTGTTTGCAGATGACATGATTCTGTATTTAGAAAATCTCATCATCTCAGCCCAAAAGTTCCTTAAACAGATAAACAATGTCAGCAAAGTCCCAGGATACACAATCAATGTGCAATAATTGCTAGCATTCCTATAGATCAACAGTAGTAGAGCCAAGAGCCAAATCATGAACAAACTCTCCTTCACAGTTGCCATAAAAAGAATAAAACACCTAGGAGTACAGCTAATCAGGGAGGTTGAAAGATCTCTACAAAGAGAACTACAAACCACTGCTCAAAGAAATCAGAGATGACGCAAACAAATTTTAAAAAATTCCACACTCATGGATAGGAAGAACCAATATAATTAAAACGGCCATACTGCCCAAAGCAACTATAGATTCAATGCTAGTCCATTAAACTACCATTGACATTCTTTACAGAACTAGAAAAAACTATTTTAAAATTCATGTGTAACCAAAAAAGAGCCTGAATAGCTAAGGCAATCCTAAGCAAAAAGAGCTGGAAGCATCACACTACCTGACTCCAAACTACTGCAGGTCTACAGTAACCAAAGCAGCATGGTACTGGTACAAGAACAGACACACAGACCAATGGAACAGAACAGAGAACACAGAAATAAGACCGCACACCTACAACTATCTGATCTTCAACAAAACAGACAAAAACAAGCAATGGGGAAAGGATTCCCTATTCAATAAATGGTGCTGGGATAACTGTCTAGCCATAGGCAGAAGATTGAAACTGCACTCCTTCCTTATACCATATTCAAAAATTAACTCAAGATGGATAAAAGACTTAAATGTAAAATCCCAAACTACAAAAACCCTAGGAGACAACCTAGGCAATACCATTCAGAATATAGGCACAGGCAAAGATTTCATGACAAAGACACCAAAAGCAATTGCAACAAAAGCAAAAATTGACAAATGGGATCTAATTAAACTAAAGAGCTACACAGCAAAAGAAACTGAATGGGGTAAACAGACAATCTGCAGAATGGGAGAAAATTTTTGCATTATATGCATTCAGCAAATGTTTGATATCTAGTATCTATAAGGAACTTACACAAATTTACAAGAAAAAAAAACCCTTTAAAGAGTGGGCAAAGGATATGAACAGATACTTTTCAAAAGAAGATATACATGCGGCCAACAATCGTATGTAAAAAAGCTCAACATCACTGATCATTAGAGAAATGCAAATCAAAACCACAATGAGACACCATCTAATACCAATCAGAATGGCTAATATTAAAAAGTCAAAAAATAACAGATGCTGGCAAGGTTGTGGAGAAAAAGGAATATTTATACACTGTTGTTGGGAGTGTAAGTTAATTCAGCTACTATGGAAGACAGTGTGGCAATTCCTAAAAGACCTAAAAACAGAAATACCATTTGATCCAGTAATCCCAATATTGTGTATATACCCAAAGGAATATAAATAATTTTATGATAAAGACACATGCATATGTTATGTTCATTGTAGCACTATTCACAATAGCAAAGACATGGGATCAACCTAAATGTCCATCAGTGATAGATTGGATAAAGAAAATGTGGTGCATATATACCGTGGAATACTATGCAGCCATACAAAAGAATGAGATTATGTCCTTTGTAGGGACATGGATGGAGCTGGAGGCCATTATCCTTAACAAACTAACACAAAAAAACAGAAAACCAAATACCACATATTCTCACTTATAAGTGGAAGCTAAATGATGAGAGCACATGGACACATAGAGGGGAACAACACACACTGGGGTCTTTCAGAGGATGGAGGGTAGGAGGAGGGAGAGGATCAGGAAAAACGACTAATGGGTACTAGGCTTAATACTTGGGTGATGAAATAATCTGTACGACAAACCTCCATGACACAAGTTTACCTTTGTAACAAGCCTGCACTTGTATCACTGAACTTAAAAAAAAAAAAAAGCCCTAAATGGCATCTTCTTATCTTTTTTTAATAGAAGGCCGTTTTGTCTTTTCCAGTAGAAGGCTGTTTTGAAAATCTGTTGTTTCCTGTACCCATGTTCATCAGTGATCTTAGCTAGATCTTCTGAATAACTTGCTACAGCTTCTCCATCAGCACTTGCTGTTTCACCTTGCATTTTTATGTTGTGGAGATACCATCTTTCTTTAAACCTCATGAACCAACCTCTTTTAGCTTAGACTTTTCTTCAGCAGCTTCCCCACCTCTCTTCGCATTCATAGAATTAAGGAGAATTAGTGCCTTGTGCTAGATTTGGCTTTGGCATAAGGGAATATTGTGGTCATTTTGGTTGACTACCCAGACCACTCAAAAATTTTTTTTATATTAGTAATGAGACTGGTTTGCTGTCTTATCATTTTTGTGTTCACTGGAGTAGCACTTTTAATTTCCCCCAACAAACTTTTCCTTTGCATTCACAACTTGGTTGTTTGGTGCAAGGGGCCTTGCTTTTGGGCTGTCTCAGCTTTCAACATGCCTTTGCCACTAAGCTTAATCATTTCTAGCTTTTGATTTAAAGTGACAGATGCATGACTCTTGTTTTCCCCTTCAACACTTAGAGGCCCATTGTAGAGTTATTACTTGACCTAATTTTAGTATTATTTTGTCTCAGAGAATAGGGAGGACTGAGGAGAGGGAAAGAGATAGGGGAATGCCTGATTGGTGGAGCAGTGACAATACAGACATTTGCGATTAATTTCTCCATCTTATATGGGTGTGGTTTTTAATGCCCCAGAACAATTACAATAGTAACATCAGAGATCACTGATCACACACAGTTCACCATAACAGACATAATAATAATGAAAACATTTGAAATATTGCAAGAATTACCAGAATTCCAGAGACACAAAGTGAGTACATGCCCTTGGAACAATGGAGCTGATAGACTCACTTGGCACAGGGTTGCCTAGTTTTGCAATTTGTAAAAACCGTAATATCTGTGAAGCTCAATAAAGTGAAATGCAATAAAACGAGGTATGCCTGTATTTAGTAGGGCAGGTCTATTTTTATTTCTCATCTTTTGCAAAGTTGATGTAGCTATTCATGGTCTTAATTCATAGGATATCATACTTTTGTTTGTAGAATTTCTTTATTTAAAAAATGTCTTGGTATTTATAATGGAATAGCATTGAAATTAGGGATTAATTTTGAGATATTTCATTTATTTAAAATATCAAGTCATTCTTACCATGAGCATCTTATTTTATTGTCTTACATTTTTTAGGTTGTACTTTTTATTTTGAGATAATTATAGATTTCCAGGATGTTTAAGAAGCAGTACAGATGGGTAGCAGCTCTCCTGCTCATGGACCCTGACAGCAGGCCTGCAGCACTGTAGTTTTAGTATGCAATTGGAAGTAACATTGTTATCAGCTTAAAATAGACTGTCATAAGAAGTTTTACAAAAGCCTAATGGTAACCACAAAGAAAAAAACCTGTCATAGATTTTTAAAAGATATAGAAAAAAGAATGAAATTATATCACTACAAAAAATCATTAAATCACAAAGGAAGAGAGGAGGAGGGGAACAACATAAATACAAAACAGAGAAAGTAGTTAACAAACTGTTAATAGTAAGTCCTTAACTGCCAAGAATTATTTTAAATGTAAATACATTAAACTCATTAAGCAAAACATGTAGAGTGACTGAATGGATTTTAAAAACAAGATCTAATTATATGTTGTTTGTAAGAGAGTCACTTTAGCTTTAGGAGACACATAGGCTAAAAGTGAAAGGATGGAAAAAATATTCCATAAAAATGGTAACCTAAAGAGAGCAAAGGTAGCTAGCTATATGTGTATCAGACAAAATAGATATTAAGGCAAAAACTGTTGTGAGAGACAGAGAAGGTTTTTGTATAATGATTGAATCAATTTAACAGGAAGATAGAACAATTATAAATATATATGCACTCATCATGATACCTAAATATATAAAGCAAACATTGGCATATCTGAAGGGAGAAATAGCAATACAGTAATAGTAGGAGACTTCAGTTCCTCACTTTCAATAATGGATAGATCAGACAGAAAATCAATGAGACAGCAGTCCTGAACAACAGTATAGACCAAATGACCCAATAGACATACACAGAACATGCCACCCAATAGCAACAGAATCAGTATTTTTCCAAGTTCATTCTCCAGGATAGATCACGTACTAGATCACAAAATAAGTCTTAACACACTTAAGAAGTTTGAAATCACTTTAAATATATTTTCTAATAATAGTGGAATGAAAATAAAAGTTTACAAATACATGGAAATTAAACAACACTCTTGAATAGTTATTAGGTCAAAGAGCAAATTAAAAGAGAAATTAGAAAGTTTCTCAAGGCAAATGAAAATGAAAACAAAGCATACCAAAATGTATAGGATGCAGGAGAATCAGTACAAAGAGATAAATTTATAGTGATAAATATCTACACTTTAAAAAGATCTTAAATAAACAGTCCAACTTTATTATGCCTCAAGAAGCTAGAAAAAGAAAACTAAGCCTAAAGTTAGAAGGAAGGAAAAATAAAAATGAGAGCAGAGACATAGGTGGGAATTGAACAATGAGAACACTTGGACACAGGATGGGGAACATCACACAGGGGCCTGTCATGAGGTTGGGGGAGGGGGAGGGATAGCATTAGGAGATATACCTAATGTAAATGATGAGTTAATGGGTGCAGCACACCAACATGGCACATGTATACATATGTAACAAACCTGCACGTTGTGCACATGTACCCTAGAACTTAAAGTATAATAAAAAATATATAAATAAAAATAAAAATTAGAGCAGAGATAGAGAATGGAAAACAATAGAAAAAAATCAAAAAGATGGTTTTTTGAAAAGAAAAATAAAATCAACAAACAGGTAGACTAAGAAAAGAGAGAGAAGACTCATAAATAAATTCAGAACTGAAAGAAGAGACATTACAGCTGATGCCACAGAAATGATGGACTATTATGAATAATTATATGCCAGTAAATTGACAACCTAGAAGAAATGGATAAATTACTAGAAATATACAACTTCACGAGGCTGATCAAGAAGAAGGATAAAGCCTGAACAGACCAATAACAAATAAGGAGATTGAATTAGTAATCAAAAATCTCCCAACAGAGGAAATCCCGGGACCAGATGGCTTAACAGCTGAATTATACCAGGCATTTAGAGAATTAATCCAATCCTTGTTAACGCTTATAAAAAAACAGAAGGAGGAGCACTTCCAACTCATTTTATGAGGCCAGCATCACCATATTACCAAAGCGAGACAAAGACGCTAAAAGAAAAGATAACTTCAGGCCACTATTCCTAAGAACCTAGATGCAAAAACCCTCAAAAAAATATTCAGAAACTGAATTCAGCAGCACACCAAAAGGATCATACATCAAACCAGTAATCCTGGGATGCAAATATGGCTCAACATATACAAATTAATTGATACAGTATACCACAATAGCAGAATTAAGGATAAAAATCATATGATCATCTCAATAGATGGGGGGAAAGCATTTGACAAAATCCAGCATCCTTTCATGATAAAAAAAAAAAACTTTCAACAAATTAAGTATACAATGAATGTACTTCAGCATAATAAAGGCTCCATGTATGACAGCCTCACAGCTTATATCATACTCAGTGGTGAAAAGCTGATGGTTTTCTTCTAAGATTAGGAATAAGATAAGGATGCCTACCCTTGCCACTATTCAACATGGTACAGGTTGAATATCCCTTAGCTGAAATACTTGAGACTGCAAGTATTGTGGAATTTTTTGGACTTTGGAATATTTGCATATATGTAATGAGATATCTTGGAGATGGGACCCCAAGAAACTTTAGAATTTCTAAACATGAAATTCACTGATGTTTAGTATACACTTTATACACATAGCCTGAAGGTAACTTTGTATAATATTTTAAATAATTTCATGCAGGAAACGAAGTTTGTTTACATCAAACCATCATGAAGCAAAGGTGCCATTATCTCAGCCATCCATGTGGGTAGTCTGTGATTGTTTGGCATCATCATCATTCCTGACTGAATTTATATGCTAGCAATAAGCAATTATTTTCTTAAACTTACACGTAAGTACTTAACAGTAAAAACTATGGGAGGCTGAGGCAGGAGAATGGTGTGAACCCAGGAGGCAGAGCTTGCAGTGAGCTGAGATCGTGCCACTGCACTCCAGCCTGAGCGACAGAGCGAGACTCCATCTCAAAAAAAAAAAACAACTATGACATGCCATTAATACAATGGAAAATAATGTGTTCAGGGTAACGAGCAGCACAGCAGTATCACCAGAATACCTGTATCAGCTTTTAAACAACAGCAACAACAAACAGTAGCAGGCTTTCGGTCTCTACTTACAATGCTGTGTTTTGATTAAAAGGTTACTGTAGGCTAGGCGCTGTGGCTCACGCCTGTAATCCCAGCACTTTGGGAGGCCAGGCAGGCAGATTCCTTGACCTCAGGAGGTCCAGACCAGCCTGGGCAACATGGCAAGACCTTGTCTTTACAAAAAATTCAAAAATTAGCCAGGCATGGTGATGCATGCGTGTAGTCCCAGCTACTCAGAAAGTTGAGATGGGAGGATCGCTTGAGCCTGGGAGGTGGCGATTGCAGTGAGCTGAGATTGTACCACTGCACTCCTGCCTGGGTGAAAGAGTGAGACCGTGTCTCAGAAAGAAAGAAAGAAAGAAAGAAAGAAAAAGAAGATTACTTACAGTGTATTTTAATTGTTTTGGTGAAAAGAAATATCAGGAGCAGTTGAGGGACCTGGAAGTTGGTCCTCTAGGGATCAGGAGGCATTATGCTGGTTCCTTTTTTAAATGGCTAGCTAACTTTATGGGTCAGTTTTCTTTCGAGGGTACTAAATAAACTGTTCTGTACCAGTGTTTTGCCTGTGACCCATCATATGGGGTTAGGTGTGGAATTTTTCACTTGTAATGTCATATTGGTGCTCAAAATTTTAGAATTTTGGAGCATTTTGGATTTTTGGATTAGCGATGCTCAACCTGTACTGAAAGTCCTAGCCAGAACAAATAGACAAGAAAAAGAATAAAAGGCATTCACATAAGAAAGGAAGGAGAAAAATTATCTCTTGTTTTCAGAAAACATGACCTTATGTGTAGAAAGCCCTAATGGGTCCACACACACACACACACACACACACACACACACACCCCAAAAAAACACTGTTAGAACTAATAAATGCATTTTGTAAAGTTGCAGGGTAGAAAATCAACACACAAATATCAGTTGCATGTCTGTGTACTGATAAAGAAATATTTGAAATTAAGAAAATCCCATTTACAATAGCATCAAAAAGAATAAAATATTTAGGAGTGAAATTAACCAAGGAAATTGAAGATCCCTGCAATAAAAAAAATACAGCTTTGATGACAGAAATTTAAACAAATGGAAAGACATTTCATGTTCATGGATTGAAAAAAATTAGCTGGGCGTGGTAGCTTATACCTGTAATCCCTGCTACTCAGGAGGCTGAGATGGGAGGATTGCTTGAGGCCAGGAGTTTGAGACCAGCCTGGGAAACACAGCTAGACCCTGTCTCTACCAAAAACAAAAACACAATTACCCGGACATTATTGTGCACACCTGTAGTCCTAGCTACTCGGGAGGCAGAGGTGGGAGGATCACTTGACCTTAAGAGTTTGAGGCTACACTGTGCTGTGATTGCACCACTACACTCCAGTCCAGATTACATAATAATATTTTTATGTAGCTTAAAACCAATATTCTGTTCAGTAAACAGCAGGCCAGTTGATACATGAGATTTATAGAATTGTAGCACATTGGGGTTCTCCAAAGAAACAGAATCAATAAGATATATATAGATATATACATAAAAGGAGATTTAGTCTAGAAATTGACCCACACTTATAGAGGGCAAGAAGTCCCATGATCTGCTGTCTGCAAGTTGGAAAACCAGGAAGGCCGGTGGTATAATTCAGTCTGAGTCAGAACCTGAGAACTGAGAGACAAATGGAGGGCAGGAGAAGATGAATGTCTCAGCTCAGGCAGAGAGTGAATTGACCTTCCTCTGCCTTTTTATTCTTCTCAGGCCTTCAGCATGTTGTATAATACCCATCCATATTAGTTCTTCTTTACTCAGTCTGCTGGTTCAAATGCTGATCTCTTCCAGAGGTACCCAGAAAAAATATTTTACTAGATATTTGTGCATCCCTTAGCCCAGTCAAGTTAACATATTAACCATCACGTATAGCATTATATGATTATAGATAACCACATATATTTTAATGAAAATTAAAAGTAAAAATGTTTTAATTTTTATTAAATTTTTAGCTTTACACTTTGTGATGTAACAGTTTGATGGCAGTTCATTGGTTTCAGGTCTAGGACTTAGTAATGCTCAATTTGTTTCACTTTTGAGAAAAAAAATTGTAAATAGTTTCTGTCTACCTTATTCAGAGTAACATGTTCTTCAAATGTAAAGGTTGGCTTAGTCAAGAGGGTACAGAATTTCTTTATATAAAGTTTTTAAAAATAGATAAAACCAAACAATTTTTAAAGGGATATATAAGTAAATTTAAAGGAAGAAAAGGATACAAATTAAGAACATGGTTACCTGTAAGAAGTTGAAAAGGATTATTATTTATTATTAGAGAGGTGCACGTAAGACTCAATGGCAAAGGCCAGATGTGGTGCCCTGGCAGGGGTGCCTTGGTCATTATTTGGAAACACAACTAGAAGACTTGTTGATGTTTGGGACCCAGGCTCAGAGCAGAGTGTCTTTTGGAGGCAAGGCAAGAAATGTGGTATGGTAATAGTCACAATCACAGAGCCCTTACTAGGTACTAGGCACAGTTAACCCCTGTAATAATCCTTGGTAGTTGACCATATTCTTTTTTCTTTTTGTAAAGGGGTGAGCAAATTGAGGCACACAAGTAGTAAATTTGCCTAAGGTACTGTAGTTGGCAGAGTTGAGATAGAAAACCAACCATTCTGACTCTAAAGCCAATACCCTTTCCCACTGTGTTAGGCCATTCTTGTGTTGCTGTAAAGGAATATGTGAGATTGGGTAACTTACAAAGAAAAGAGGTTTAATTGGCTCACGGTTCTGCAGACTGTACAAGCAAGGCCTTGTATTTTCTCAGCTTCTGGGGAGGCCTCAGGGAGCTTTTACTCATGTCAGGAGGCAAAATGGGAGCAGACACATCACATGGCAAGAGTGGGAGCAAGGGGGTGGGAGAGGTGCCATACACTTTTAAACAACCAGATCTCACATGAACTCACTCATCACCAAGGGGATGGGGCTAAGCCATTCATGAGGGCTACACCCCATGATCCAAACACCTCACACTAGTCCTCACCTCCAGTACTAGGGATTGCATCTCAACATGAGATTTGGAGGGGGCATTTGAACTATATCACCCACTATGCTCCATTGTCTCTATGTTAAAGAATTATGAAACTCCAGAGGAAGGATGAGTAGTAGGAAGGCAGGAAATTATCTGGATAAATTTCACAGATTTTTTTGAAGTTCTCAGCTTTTTATTTTCAGTAGGTAAGACAGAGTCATTTAAAAGGACTAGAGTAGGCTGGGTGCAGTGGCTCATGCCCGTAATCCCAGCACTTTAAAAGACCAAGGTGGGTGGATCGCTTGAACCTGGGAGTTCAAGACAAGCCTGGGCCACATAGCAAGACCTTGTCTCTCTAAAATACAAAAAATTAGCTGGGCATGGTGCACCTATAGTCCCAGCTACTTAGGATGCTGAGGTGGCAGCATCACTGGAGCCTGGGAAGTTAAGGCTGCAGTGAGCCGTGATTGTGCCACTGTACTCCAACCTAGGCAGCAGAGCAAGACCCTGTCTAAAAAATGAATGAATGAATGGACTAGAGTAGACTAGAGGTAGGAGTTAACGCAACATAATGCCTTTAATAGAGAGTTCCTGGATGCCCTTGGAATTTCAGCTCTTTTCGTGTGAAAGGACTGAGCCTGCTGCATGCCAGTGTGCACTTTCTGCTTTTTTCCTTTATTTGCCTTAGCAAGGAGACTCAGATCTTGAAGGGGCTTGGTTGGCAGGGTAGCAACTATCATTTCTGCTTTGTATGTACTGTCACTAATGTGAAAGCTGTGAAGGGACAGATGCTATATGTAATCAAGAGACAGAGCTTTCCATAGGGTATTCTTTTACTGTGGAATGTGTTTCATTTCTCATCCACTCTAGGAATGAGAAGTATAAATGGTCTAGCTTTTGTGTTGATTCTGAGAGGGATCATTGCACTAGTGCAGGTTTGGCTGGTTCTATTTATTTAAAGTAATAAATAGCAGTGAGGGCTAAATTGAGACTGCTTAACTTTGTGACCCATAGCAACCCAGTTGGGGTGGAGGATGGAGGAAGGCCCTTTATAGTAAGGATTATTCAGTTTCATCTTTTAAAAAAGTCAAAGATATATATATATATATATATATATATATATATATATATATATATGGATTTTAAGTTATATATTACAGACTACTTGGCATTGAACAAAAAAATAGCTTTAAATTCCTGTCCCTATCTCTCCCCATTCCTGATTCTCACTCCCCATTTTTTAAACCCTCTTAGTTGTTTCTTCTGGTGTTTTACATTTCTAAATAATGTTATTTTAATGTATATCTTGACTTTTCTATTTAAGTTACAGTTCAGTGATCTTCTTATTATAGAAGATAAGAATTAAGCTCCGAATGCTCTTGTCCCTACATACATACTTTTCCCTTCCCCTTTCAATACTTCCAAACTAGTTGTATCACTATTTTTTTTTTTTTTTTGATGGAGTCTTGCTCTGTCCCCCAGGCTGGAGTGCAGTGGCATGATCTCGCTCCCTGCAAGCTCTGCCTCCCAGGTTCACACCATTCTCCTGCCTTAACCTCCTGAGTAGCTGGGACTACAGGCACCTGCCACCATGCCCGGCTAATTTTTTGTATTTTTAGTAGAGATGGGGTTTCACCGTGTCAGCAAGGATGGTCTCTATCTCCTGACCTCGTGATCCACCAGCCTCGGCCTCCCAAAGTTCTGGGATTACAGGCATGAGCCACCATGCTGGGCTGTATCACCATTTTTTGAACCAATGTTTAGTTGTTACTATGCCTGTGTAGCCACTTCACATATAGTGAATTAAGGTTACATTTCCTTTGTTGTGTAACCTTGTTTTTCTTAGGGTTAATAATTGTTTCTCCTTTTTAATTTGCTTTATTTCCTTTGTTTTCTATGTTTCAATCTTTTGGCATAAATGAAAATCTGACTATGTTCAAGCACTTCAGGTATTTTATCAGTTGAATTTTTTTCTCAATTATATCCTGCATGGACTCTGCCACCTTCTTTGTTAATCTAACCTGAGAATTTTCTTTGCTTCTCTCCTAGGTCCCTTTGTCTCTTAGGTTAAGTCAGTGTTGCTTTAATTCTTGGTAAACTTCCTCATTTGGTGAAGCACTTTCCCCGTAGCTTCCTAAAAAAAAAAAAAAAAAAAAAAAAAGAGTTTGTGGGAGAATTTTTATTTTTGAAGTTTTACATATTTAAAATGTATTTAGCTTACCCTTACCTTTGATTGATAGCTTGGCTGGATATATACTTCTTTGTTACAAATAAGATGAAAAATTTTTAAAGCATTGGTTCATTATTTTCTAGCTTCCAGTATTGTTGTTGAGATGTTCCATGTCTTGTCCCAATGCCCTTCTAGTTCCTGATCCTTTTATTGACAAGTTGTTTTTTATGAAAAATTTAGTAGTATCTCTTTGCCCCAGTGTTCTGAAATTTTACAATGATTTGCTGTAGATTATTTTCACTGATAATGCTGGCTAATCAGCCAATTCTTTTAGCCTAAAAGCTAATTTCTTTCAATTCTAGGACATTTTGTTTGTATTTCATTTTTTGATATTTCCCTCCTCTTTGTTTTCACAGTTCTGTCTTCCTAGAACCCTTTGATTAGAGTTGGACATCTTCAAATGATGCACTAATTTTCTTACATTTTGTCTCCCATTTATCTATTGGATTGCATTACCTTTTCATTCTGCTTTCAGGCAGGATTCCTCAATTTTGTGTTCCATTATTTTACTGTTTTTTAATATTAAATTACGACTAGCCTGCTTTTAACTTCCAAAAGCCCTTTTGGGTTTTGGGGGTTATGCCCCTTTATTATGCCCTATTCTTCTTTGGATGGATGTGCTATAATTTCTGTGGTCTTGTAAAATATTAATTATTTTTTCTTTGAAATTTTCTTTTATTCTTGTCATTGTGTCTGTTTCCTCCAATATCTATTTTTCTGATTGCTTTGGTCTCTTTCCTTCATGTTGGAAGCTTTCCTTATTATATGGTGTTCTTTGTCCATTCATATTTAAGAATGAGGCATTAAAATGTTGACAGAAAGCTCTGTGAATTGGGCTAGTATTTATCAATTAGTGAACATTACTTTAGAGGGATTAGAAGAGGGCCTGGCTTTTGATGGAAAAAGTAGAGCAGCTGTCAATATTTCTGGATCTTTTCCCCTGGGCTGAGTTTTCCTAAAGAGGAATCTTCTCCATTCTTCATATGCAGGTATCAGCCTGGTTGTTAACATCTGGGGAGCTCGATGTGGAAAGCACACTGGGAAAGGGTTGGGGGTAAAGGGGGATAATACTTCTAGGCTTCAGAGATTTCTGGTACCTCCAGTCTCAGAGCCTTTCTGCAGAGGCTTGCATCTTACTGATTTCTTCCCTGTTTCCCACCCTCCTCACTTGTCTTCCTCCACCTTACTCTTAGGGCTTTTTTAGTTTTCTATTCTTTGACAAGTCATCTACTTTCCAGCTTTCACCTTTAATGTTTGGTGGAGTGGATAGTTGTGCATGGGAAGGATTGAGGCTGGCTTTTTATTAGTCTCCCTAAGAAGAGATGCCTATGGACACATCGAGGACTGACTTTAAGTAGAGATTTGATCTGTCCTGTGTAGTAGGAGTGACTGTGAGCCTGAGAACGCCTCAGCTGTTTACTGCCCACTGTTAGGTAAGTCTGCCTTGTTCAGAATTGTGAATGGATGCCCTTCACTTGGCATCTATCCATCCGTGAATGGATGACTTCAGCAACTACAGCCTCCATTGTCATATCTCTAATATTTTTTCTACCTTTCTACCTTTGGTGTTGTTCCTTTCTTATGAAGATCTGCTCTGTGGAATAGAAAGATTTTTACAAATCTTAGCTCTCCTGCAAATATATGTGTTGTAAGAGAGGATTAGAGCTATAATGCTATTTGTTATTTGGAATATCAACTCTATAATGGAGGATGTATTTGGGCTGGGGATAGACTGAGGATGATATCATGGCCCTTGAGATGTGGAGGAGTTAGATGTATGTGCCAAGGAAATACATATTGTATGGATACTTCCTCATATTAATGAAGAGAAAAAGAATTTTCATATCGCTTCTTTGCATTTTCATTTGTTGTAAATATGTGCTTGAAAATCAGTGTGAATTAGCTTTGGTTTAGATACTGTTTTGTTTCACAAAAATTTCTATCTTTTGTACTCAGTTGCTGACTATGTTGTTCGGCAAACTAAAATGAAAGTTTAGATTCCTGGGTTTAAAGGTATTTTATTATTATTATTTTTATTTTATTTATTTTTTGAGACGGAGTCTCGCTCTGTTCCCCAGGCTGGAATGCAGTGGCACAATCTCGGCTCACTGCAAGCTCTGCCTTCCAGGTTCACACCATTCTCCTGCCTCTGCCTCCCGAGTAACTGGGACTACAGGTGCCCGCCACCATGGCTGGCTAATTTTTTGTATTTTTAGTAGAGACGAGGTTTCACAGTGTTAGCCAGGATGGTCTCGATGTCCTGACCTCGTGATCCACCCACCTCAGCTTCCCAAAGTGCTGGGATTACAGGCGTGAGCCACTGTGCCTGGCCATTTAAAGGTATTTTTGACATAAAGGTCATTAGGGTTCCAAGTACTGTAGTCTAGAAATCTTTTCATTATATTGGGATGAGTTTTGGAATATAAGAAAACATCTAGAATAGGATTAGAGGTTACTTCATGAGAAGAGACTTGAAGATTAGTAGTAATGAAAAAAGAATGCTGTTTTGGGAGTTTTGAATAAACTCAAGTTCTTAATGGTTAATTTGTTAAAAAGAAAGTGAGAAAAAACCCATCTACTTATGTATAAAGGAATATTCAAAAAGAAAATGTAAAATAGGGGAGATCTGGTAATCTTCCCACAACAACATTGGAAGGAAACAATGTTTATCTTCCATTAAATTGATTTTGATGTAAAGTTTTTAGTACTAGTGGCAGGACATTATTCTCTTTGAGGATAGCAAAATTTCTGATGTCATTTTTATTTAATTAGATTTTTATGATGCTGTGTTTATATTAATTGGTCCGTAAGCATATGTAGTTTTAAAATAAAGGTAATATACTTTCTGGCAAATGCCCTACAACTTTGCTCATTTACTGACTTAGAGGCATCACTGTGGCACAACGTTTCTTTCCATACTGGGTTAAAAATAATTTAGCAAAAATTATCTTTAAAACAGGAGCACTAAAACATATTCTTTTTTTCTGCAGAGCTCCAGGGATTGTTTCACAACAGTGAGGCAAATTGTACTTGGCATGCGTTTGTAAAGTAGTTTAATCATTCTAAATTTATGGTTTCTGCTGACTCTTCAGTGTACTTTCCAAATAATCTGTGACTGATCTTGACAAATATTAGTCTGTAGGGTTTTTGCAGAGGCTGGATGTGTTGCTAAGATGAGCTATACAGATTTCTTCTGCCCAATCTCCTCCTCATTGAATTTTCCTTTTATTTTAGCAGTGACAGGAAATAGGGATGATTGTGCCAGAAAACAAAACCTGTAGTGCCAACCTAATTATACTGTTACTTTAATCCACTGAGGAGCAGGTCTCTAAGTAGAAAAGGATTGTTTTTCCTGAGTGAGGTATTCAGCTGTTTTGTGGCATCAGATCATTCTAGGTGAATGTATGCTCTGGTGCTAGTCACCCAGATTGCTCACCTTGAGTGGTATATACTGTCTTATGCTAACAAGCCCAAGAACACAGTGCGGTGTCGGAGCAATGTTGGTGGAGCCTCTACTGCTAGGGTCTCTGGTCAGAGAGGTCATTAGGTTGGCCCGGAAAAAGAAATTAACACCACATTGGTTATAATAACAGTGCTGCTTTACTTAATCCATTTCCTTCTTTGTGCATCTTTACACAGTTGGTGTAGGATAAGTAATTTCATTTTCATGTATTTGGAAACAACTGATTTTCTATTGAAAAAAATTGTGTAATTGTTTCAGTTACCTACATAACAAACCATCCAAAGCTTAGTGGCTTAAAATAACTATATTTTTCATTCTTTTCTGGATATAGTGAACTCAGTTGGGCATTTTTCATTTAGGGTTTCTCATTTTGTTGCAGTTGAGTATTGGTAGGGGCTGTAGTCCTTTGAAGGCTCAGCTGGGCTAGGTATCCAAGATTGCTCACTCACACCATTGAAACTCCTTACTTATGGCCTCAGCTCCCAAGAACATGCATTCCAAAATGCAGGAAGCAGAAGCAGCCAGACTAGTTAAAGGCTGAGAACTGGCCTAGCTCACTGCTGCCATATCTGTTGGTCAGAGCATATTCAGGGCCTGCCCAGATTCAAAACTGTGGGAAAATAGATTCCATGTCATGCTGGAAGGGTATCAAAGTCACATTATTGCAAAAGACCACTTGTCATGGGAGATATTGTAGTTATCTTTGGAAAATGCAATCTGTGAAACTCTTGATTAAAAAAAACCATGTACAATGCCTTAAAAGACTACATTTGTATATTCTTGCATAGATAGTGTGTGTTTGTGCGTGTGGCATAGATATTGTATATGTGTATTGTGCATTTATGTATGTATTACATGTGTATGTGTGTATATATGTACATGTATATGCATTAATATACACATACATAATACGTATATGCCATCTTAGTTTGTTGGGCTGCTATAACAAAATTTTCTAAGTTGAGCAGTTTATAAACAACAGAAGTTTATTTATCACATTTCTGGAGGCTGAGAAGTCCAGGATCAAGATTGGCAGAATCAGTGTCTGGTGGGGGTCCACTTCCTCATAGTTTGCACCTTCTTGCTATGGCTTCACATGGGAGAAGGGATGAAAGAACCTCCCCTTTGGGCCTATTTTTTTTAAGGTAATAAATACAAATATTTAATTAAATATTAATAGGAAATTTGGCTGTGGGTGTATACATATATGTATAAAATAATTACATATATATGTATGTATGTATAAAATCATTTTAACTTTTATTTTAGATCTGGGGGTACATGTGTAGGTTTGTTACATGGGTATGTTGCATGATTCTGACATTTGAGATGTGAATAATCCCCTCACACGGGTAGTGAACATAGTACCTAACAGGTAAGTTTCAACCCTTGTACTTCACCCTGTCTTCACCCTCTAATAGTCCCCAGTGTCTATTGTTGTTGTTTTTATATTCATGAGTACCCAGTGTTTAGCTCCCACTTGTAAATGAGAACATACGGTGTTTGTTTTTCTGTTTCTGCATTAATTTTCTTAGGATAATGGCCTTGGGCCTATTTTATAAGGGCACTAATCCCATTCACGAGGGCTTGGCCCTTATAACCTAATTATCTCCCAAACAGTTTCACCTCCTAATACCATTGCCTTGAGGGTTAGGATTTCAATGTATGAATTTATTGAGGGGGAAATGCAGACATTTGGACCATAGCACACATGTACATTAATACACATGATGCCTCAGTATCAGTATACTTCATTAGACTTTGCTAGAAAAAAAACCACACACACACACACACACACACACACACACACACACACCCCACATCCCACATTACTTTTAATTAGTTTTCACAGATCTCAGAACTACCTAGCAATGGAACTAACTTTCTGGTCAATTCAAGTTACCACTCCGTAAGAGACTGTTTTATATCGTTTGCTCTATTCTCAAATCTCAAATACCCCTTCCCACTCTATTCACTCCCAGCTGATGATATTGCTTTTTATTTCTCTGAGAATAAAGCAGTCAGAGGAAAATTTTAGTTCTCTTATTACCAGATCTACCAGCTACCTGTATCATTACCCATATTCTGTACCCTTCCTCTCTGTGAAGAATAGGTAGGTAACACAGAGTATCAAGCCTCCTACCTAAATCAAACCCTCCCCTTTTTTCCCCAGGATCCATCTGTTCATGTCTACTCAAGGATTTAACAGCTGCATCATCAAATTTTCTCCCTCTAATAGATTATTCTCTTCAAAATTTAGTTTGAAATTTTGTCAAATCTTTTAAAAACCCTTCCTTAACCACACAGTCACATTCTGCTACCCCATTTCTCTGCTTTTAGTTACTGCAGATTCTTCAGAAGAGTTGTCTGTGCTCTTTCTCCACTTCTTCCTCTCACAATCTCACTCAAACTCACTCCAACAATTCATTGAACCTGCACATTGTGCACATGTACCCTAAAACTTAAAGTATAATAATAATAAAATAAAATAAGACATCTATTGCATATAAAAAAAAAGAAACTGTTCCTGTAGAGGTCAGTGACAGCCACCACAATGCCAAATCCCCTGGCCAATTCTCAGTTCATATTTATTTAACCCCCCAGTGCCTTTGACAAAGTCCTCCTTAAAATCCAGTTTTCTAAAATTTTCTCCCATTCTGTAGGTTGCCTGTTCACTCTGATGGTAGTTTCTTTTGCTGTGCAAAAGCTCTTTAGTTTAATTAGATCCCATTTGTCAATTTTGGCTTCTGTTGCCATTGCTTTTGGTGTTTTATACGTGAAGTCCTTGCCCATGCCTGTGTCCTGAATGGTACTGCCTAGGCTTTCTTCTAGGGTTTTTATGGTTTTAGGTCAACACTTAAGTCTTTAATCCATCTTGAATTAATTTTTGTATAAGGTGTAAGGAAGGGATCCAGTTTCAGCTTTCTACATATTGCTAGCCAGTTTTCCCAGCACCATTTATTAAATAGGGAATCCTTTCCCCATTTCTTGTTTTTGTCAGGTTTGTCAAAGATCAGATGGTTGTAGATAAGCAGCATTATTTCTGAGGGCTCTGTTCTGTTCCATTGGTCTATATCTCTGTTTTGGTACCAGTACCATGCTGTTTTGGTTACTGTAGCCTTGTAGTATAGTTTGAAGTCAAGGGCTAATATCCAGAATCTACAGTGAACTCAAACAAATTTACAAGAAAAAAACAAACAACCCTATCAACAAGTGGGCAAAGGATATGAACAGACACTTCTCAAAAGAAGACATTTATGCAGCCAACAGACACATGAAAAAATGCTCTTCATCACTGGCCATCAGAGAAATGCAAATCAAAACCACAATGAGATACCATCTCACACCAGTTAGAATGGCGATCATTAAAAAGTCAGGAAACAACAGGTGCTGGAGAGGATGTGGAGAAATAGGAACACTTTTACACTGTTGGTGGCACTGTAAACTAGTTCAACCATTGTGGAAGTCAGTGTGGCGATTCCTCAGGGATCTAGAACTTGAAATACCATTTGACCCAGCCATCCCATTACTGTATATATACCCAAAGGATTATAAATCATGCTGCTATAAAGACACATACACACGTGTGTTTATTGCGGCACTATTCACAATAGCAAAGACTTGGAACCAACCCAAATGTCCAACAGTGATAGACTGGATTAAGAAAATGTGGCACATATACACCATTGAATACAATGCAGCCATAAAAAATGATGAGTTCATGTCCTTTGTAGGGACATGGATGAAGCTGGAAACCACCATTCTCAGCAAACTATTGCAAGGACAAAAAACCAAACACCGCATGTTCTCACTCATAGATGGGAATTGAACAATGAGAACACATCGACATAGGAAGGGGAACATCACACACCGGGGCCTGATGTGGGGTGGGGAGAGGGGGGAGGGATAGCATTTGGAGATATACCTAACATTAAATGACAAGTTACTGGGTACAGCACACCAACATGGCAGATGTATACATATGTAATTAACCTGCACGTTGTGAACATGTACCCTAAAACTTAAAGTATAATAAAAAAAAAAGCCATGAAAAGAAAAATCCAGTTTTCATTTGGCTTTCATGACACATACTCTCCTGCTTTTCCTCTCACCTCACTGCTTACTCCTTCTAGTTTCCTCTGCTAAATACTTCTCACTTTCCTAACCTCTGAATGTTGGAAATCAGTGTCAGACTTAGCATGTCCAAAATTAAACTTAGTTTCCTTCTTCCAGGCATGCTTTCCAGGCCACAAAACAAGAGTGATACTTTACTCTGTTCATAACCCACATCTAGTCCGTCAGCAAATTCTGGCACCTCTACCTACAAAACATGTCAAAACTTCAAGCCCTTCTTAACATCAGCATTCTTACCTTCATCCAAGCAGCTGTTATGCTGTGAACTGTTGCACTAAATAGCCTCCTGACTGGAATCCCTGCCTTCCTCTTTGCCTTTTTATGGTTTATCTTCAATAGAGCACTCAGAGTGATGCTTTCGAGACTTAAGTCATATCACATCACTCTTCTGCTCCAAATCTCCAGTAACTTCCCATCTTGCTTAGAATAAAAGCCAAAGCCTTAAGGTGGTTTACAAAATCTGTGTTTAACCTGGTGCCTGCTGCCTGTCTGCATCATCAATCTTCCCTTTCTCAAGACACACTGACCCTGTTTTTCCTGAACATGCCATGTTTACTTCCACCTCAAGGCCTTTGCACTTGTTTCTTATGCCTGAATAATGTCCCCAGTTTTCTTAAATGTTGCCACCTTACTTCATTCAGGTGTATTCTCAAAGTTCAGCTCCCAAAAAGTCTTTCCCTGACCACTCCACCTAAAGCAGTACCTTCCCCAGTGCCCCAGCCAGCCTACCCTTGGCCACTCTGATTTTTCTTTTTATAATTTATCACCATCATTAATGATTTGCCTATTGCCTGCTCTCTAGATCAAAAGTGCCATGAGAGCAGGGACTTTTGATCACAACAAAGTGTTAGTACTCAAGAGGTGCTGCACAAGCATTTGTTAATTGGATGAATGAATGAATGCTTGTGGATGTATACATGCAATGGACTATCATATAGGCTTTGATGGGAAAATAATAATTCAAACTTTCTGTTTTATACTTAAACAGGTGATTTTGTTTTATCAATATGAAACGTATGTGTTGGAAACAAATATCACATTGCCTTTATGGCTTAATCGTCAAGATTCCAATTTTCCAGATGGTATAGTTTGCTTGGGCTTTGCTGGTTTTTGAGCTGGCAGGAATTTGTGAGTTCTCACCTTTTTCCAGCATTGTGTACCATCAGGATGCTTAACTTTTCTTCATCAGTTCATCGATTAAAGAAAGGAGAAGTTAGAGTATATGATTCCTAACATCTTCTAGTTAAAAATAATTTCTCTTTAAGATGAATCTTTAAAAGTCTAATGGGGCCAGGTGTGGTGGCTCATGTCTCTAATCCCAGCACTTTAGGGGGCTGAAGCAAGAGGATTACTTGGACCTGAGAGTTTGAGATCAGCCTGGGCAACATATCAAGACTCTATCAAAAAAAAAAAATATTAGCCAGGCCTGTAATCCGAGCCACTCAGGAGGCTGAGTTGAGGGGATTGCTCAAGCCCAGGAGTTGGAGACTGCAGTGAGCTGATTATATTACTGCACTCCAACCTGGGAGAGAGTGAGATCCTGTCTCTTAATAGAAAAAAGTCACATTAGATGATTTCTAAGTAGTATGATATTCTGAATGTTTTAGTTATAAGATCACTGCCACCTCAAAACACTACCTGATTCTACTGTTTTGTGATTTGCTGTATAGCTAATTTTATTTATAGCTTCTTTGACTTGAGCTTATTTTGGCAAACATCTTTTTTAGGGTAAATCTCATACAGATATTTTACTAACATCTTAATCTGCCTTCAGAAGCATTATTTATAGATCAGTTACATCCCAAGAATTTTAATTATACAG
The DNA here is from genome assembly GCF_000001405.40 of Homo sapiens. Classification (NCBI taxonomy): domain Eukaryota; kingdom Metazoa; phylum Chordata; class Mammalia; order Primates; family Hominidae; genus Homo; species Homo sapiens. Next base: position 51,063,635 of record NC_000003.12, read on the forward strand.
AAACCAAAATATTCTAAAATCAAGATTTCACATATCAGCAAATAGGACTTGAGTTTTTAAACTCATACATTATTTTTAAGTACATCTTTTTTCTGAAGCATCTATTCTCATGACACTTATATTTTTCTACTTTTAAGGTTAAAACTACTACCAGGTCCATAATTAAGTTTGTTAAGATGTTTCCGTTTAACTCTTACAAAGGTGACAATTTTTATTAAACTGAAAAGACTGGAAATCTGTTACACCAGAGGGAGTCGGGGAAGGACACACCGTTTAGAAAAGCTAATTAGAAAATCAGATGAGGCCTAGAAATCAGGAGTGAATTTCACTCCAGGGACTGTGGCTTTATATTGAAACATTAGTTGCTTCAAAATAGGGCAAATGATTCTTCCTCTCCCAACTTGGATATCTCTCCTGGAGAAACCAGAGTTATTGCTGGATGGTTGAAATTTTTGCTTTTATGTGAACTGCAACTTCTGTGAGGGAAAGCAGCTCTGGGCTCCTGTGTAACATTCTGTTCTAAGTTTAGTAACTTTGATTTACTAAAGAAATGAATAATCTAGGATGTGGTAGAGATAAATGCTACTTTTGCATGATCCAAATCAATTATGTTACTTTGTTGGATGTCACTACGTAGAGATTTTTGGATAGAAGGAGGTAATGACTTTCAGACTTTAAAATTAAGTTCCTCTTTATATTACCTTAGTAGTTCAGAGAAATGAGCACTTTTCATAGTTTAACTATTTCTCTTTTTCTTTTCATTCCTTTTCCATGTCTCTTGTATTTCACCCAACACCAAAAATGCCCTTTCAGAAACACAAAGTAGATCTTTTCTACAAACTACGCCATGTGATGAATGAACTTATTGACCTGCGAAGGCAGCTACTGTCTGGTCACCTGACTCAGGATCAGGTGCGGGAGGTTAAGCGGCACATCACCGTGCGCCTGGACTGGGGTAATGAGTAAGTATGAAAATTGTTTGGGTATCTCTCAGTTTCATTTATGATAACTCAGTCTTCAGGGAGTTTGCACCTATACAAAGCTTCTCTTTAATGATTCAAAGGCAATGTTATATTCTTCACTAAGCTTTCATCATTTTTGCTAGGAGCAGTTATTTGTCCTAGTTAGCGAAGGATACTCACTGGTTCTAGTTGCTGAACCTCTTTTAGCCTCTGTTTTTGCTTCTGAAAAGAAGAGGTAAATAATAGGACTAGATTATCCTATAAAGTTAAATTTCTTTGACCTCAGATTTCTTGATTCTACACCTCCTAATCAGAATACACTTGAAAATATATTTTAGTGCTTTCTTCAAATGTGAATTTAGTGTCCTTCACATTTTATAGCCATACAATGAATCTGAATGAGCATAACCTACAAATGGAAACTGTCTACATTTGTACTTCAGAATATTTTTGACTACCTTGTCATTCAGTAATAGTCTTGCATTTATGTAATAACTATGATTTGCTATTGCCATACAAGTACAATTTGAAGACTTTGGTATGGGAAGTTAGGGTATAATTTTCAGTGAATATAATTGATATATCAATAATTGATATAATAATTAATATAACTTTATAATTGATATAAATTTCAGGTGCTTTTGTCTCATTCTCTTAAAATTGGGTCCATTGAACTTTTAAGTGACCAGGTTGCCTCCTACTTAAAATATACATATACCTTAAGTATATTTATATGTGTGTCTTTAGCTCCTTATCCTTTTTGGGAGGGGCCCACCAATAAATGAAATCTATGAGCCCATTTCTGGAAGCCGGAAAGTAGATGAAAGATTAATGACAGAGTAAATCCATTATATGTGGAGGAAACCTTAGTTAATGAGAGAGTCAGTCTGCCCCACAGCTCCCAGAATCATAGAAGGTGGGATAGGTCTTGAAGCTTTGAAAAGGACTTGGCTTAAAAGAGTGTCTAAGGAACAGTCTACCCCAATCAATGAGCAGAAACCTGGCCAGGTATTTCCTCTTCAGATAAACAAATATAAAAAATGGCTACCGGGGAAAAACTGGGCAACAGGAGTGTGAACTGGGACTTTCTTGCAAAACTCTCCACATTCTGGCATTTAAGGACTTTAAAGTATAATGAGCAGATTGCTCCCGCTTACCAGAAAGGGAAACTTGCCAGTCACCTACCCATGTACAAAAAAACTCTACAATTCTTCTGCTATCTTTTAAGTTTGAATGGACAATCAGGTATCACCAGATGTTTGAAGAAAAGCTTCTACAAGACAGAGAGAGACCAAGATTAACAAAACACCTGTACACAAAGAAAGTAACCTGTCCCCAGAGCAAATTGAGATTGATAAAGTACTTTAAAACAAAACAAAACAAAAACACTTTAATATCCTCAAATCGAATCTAAAAGATCCACTATGTAGAATAAGATGCCATGTAAAAGAAGTGGAGAATGTAATTTCCAAAATAAAATACTCAGAGAAGACAAATTTTATGTAATCCCTAGGAAAATAAGACAAATATATAGGCAATACATGAGGAAAGAAATTCAGTACAAAGGCTCTACCCAGGGAGGTCCAATATCAAACATTTTGCCTTCCAAAAAAAGAACGGGGGAAATTCTGAAGGAATAATAGAAAATTTGTCAGAGCCAAAAAACAGGAATATTAAGATTGAAAGCGTCCCACTAAATATTTATAATGAATGGAAAAACAAAACAAACAAACAAAAACTCACAACGAGGCACATTAAGATAGCTTAGTATTCTAGGAATGAAGAGAAGACTATTTAAGGGTTTTAGACAGAAAAATAGTTCCTCTCACAAAAGAATAAGTATCATACTGTCCTCAAAAGTGTTATCATTAGCACTGGATGCTAGGAGATAATGAAATAATATGTTCAGAGTTCTGTAGGGAAATGATTTGCCAGCCAGAGTTTTATTTTACAAATCCCAACCATCTAATTAAGTGAGAGGGGACACAAACCATAAAGCCATTTTTAGGTATTCAGGGATGCACGAAAGTTCCCTCTCATGACCCCTTCTTAAGAAGGGACTTGCGGATGTGCTTCTGCAAAGTAGAAGAATAAATCAGGAAAGAGGAAACATGGAATCTAATCAACAGTAGATCACACCCAAATTGGTAGTGTTCATCAGTAGAAAAGAGGAAATATAACACTAAATTCGTTGTTTGTGACCTTTTTGAAGCCACAACTTTATATCTTTGTTTGTTTTGTTTAATTACACCCTATCATGACTGTTAGTAGGATTGCTTGGCACCTACCACAGACTACCTTCTATAATAGTGTATAACATGAATTTAGGTGTACCATAGATCAGTGTTCCCTAAATCTAACTTTGGGGAATAACAATTTAGTAAAATACAGTATGTTGATGTACAGCATAGCTACTAATTCTGCCTCTTCAAACCCAAACATTTTTATGTTATGAAATTATGTCACTTTTTATTTTTAAGTCAATGATAAGAATACAGTAATTGCAAATATAACATTACTGTGTGCCAAGCAAATTGGTCACAGTTGAACTGATGACACTAATAAATGTGTAATTCATTATGTTGCAGTTTAACTGCAACTATAGATTCCATTAAATAGAACTATTTCAGAACTATCAGTACCTATACCTCTTTATTATGAAACTTGAAAAACAAACCAATCTGATTTTGCAATCAAATCTGAAAATAAATAGATGATAGCTTAGAAACAAGTTCAAATTGTACTTGAAAAAGGCTCAGAACATTATAAATACCTGCCAGTAAATTACAGGGCTATTCCAATTTCATGACTTTTTCTCAATGAAATATGTTTGTGTGTGTGTGTGTGTGTGTGTGTGTGTGCGCGCGCGTTGGAGGGGTATGTATATGCATATCTTAATAAGCAAAAATGAAAAACACAGTTCCATTCCCCTCCCCACTTCCCTTCTCCCTCTTTCCTATTTCTCCTTTTCTCCCTTCCCTACTTTCCGTCTTCTTTTCTTCTCCTTTCTTCCTCCCCTTGCACTTCTTTCCCCCACCCCTCTCTTCCTTTTTTTCTTATTTTCTCCTTTCCTTCAGTGGAAAATATAGTCACTTAAAAACCTAAACAAGAACTTTGCAGGTCTGTCATTATTGAAAGGAAAAGACATGTTGCACCAAAACTGATAGGACTGTTCTTTCTGATTTCTCCTTGAGCTTACTCTTTTAAAACTTTTCTTCCTATTTTGAAAGAAAAGATGGTATATTGTAAAAACAAAGTCATTTCATACCATTAGATTATGTAAAACAGACTGTTCCACACAAAAGCTGAGAACAGATGACTATAACCATTGTTCCCATTTTATTCTGATAGTTCCACACTTCTTGTTCCACCACACTTTTATAAATGCCATAAAATCTTGAAGTTTAGCACATGTTAGCATGTGAATCAGTGTTTTCCAAATGTATTTTAATGTTTTAATTGATGTAATTAAATATATGATTTTAAACTCTTATGCCTTTTCTCTAAGCTCTTACACAGACATTATAGCTCTGCCTTTTCAGAATCTATTTCAGAAACTAGTAATTGTTATTAGTAGTGTATTGATTAAATATGTCTACATCACTATGGCAAGTACATGGTCTCACTTCATGCACTGTTGTAACGAAATGCTACTATGCCTTGGCCGGGCGCGGTGGCTCACGCCTGTAATCCCAGCACTTTGGGAGGCCGAGGCGGGCAGATCACGAGGTCAAGAGATCGAGACCATCCTGGCTAACACGGTGAAACCCTGTCTCTACTAAAAATACAAAAAATTAGCCGGGCGTGGTGGCGGGCGCCTGTAGTCCCAGCTACTCGGGAGGGTGAGGCAGGAGAATGGTGTGAACCCAGGAGGCGGAGCTTGCAGTGAGCCGAGGTTGCGCCACTGCACTCCAGCCTGGGCGACAGAGCGAGACTCCGTCTGAAAAAAAAAAAAAAAAAAAAAAAGAAGAAGAAGAAATGCTGCTATGCCTTTCTAGGACAAGAGCTCTGTTTACCCATTGAGGAAACCTAGGCTCAAAGGCACTTTTCCCAGCGTTGTATGGTGGAAGGGTAGAGCTGGTATTTGTACCTAGAACTGATCCCAAAGCCCATGTGCTTTATGCAGAACCTTATCATCTATCTAATTATGTGTGAGTCTTAAAACCAGGCACATTATTGCCAGTATTTTTAGTCATTAAGCTATTTGATCTTTGTTCTGTTCTGCAAGTGTGAATACTATTACATCCTGTGATGTATATCTGAGTAATATTCAGTTAGAACTTCCAAGGATAGGAACTGAACTGGTCCTGTAATCTTTCATTTAGAGTTTTAATTTAGTCAGGAGCTCTCCACATCTAGATAACAATTTTTTATTTTGTTTCCTGAGATTAGGAATTATTTATTTGGCCTAAAATTTGAATATTCAGACATTAAACTTATGTGACTTAAAATTATTGGCCTAAAATTTGAATATTCAGACATTAAACTTATGTGACTTAAACTTATTGGCCTATATGTAGATACTCCATAAGTAAAAATTATTAAATTGTATCAGATAGAAACCGCACTTTCTACATTGTGCTCTTTATATTTTTAGGAACTGCAATACAAGAAGGGCAGAAAGTTGTGTTCAAATTAACTAGTCATCATCTTTGCTCAAGTGTCTTACATAGAGAATTAGTCAGTTAATTATATCTACTCCAAATTTTAAAATAATTTCTCTAGTGATGTAATTTTAATTTAACTTAATATTTTCAACATCTTCTCTAAAGATGCTAAGTTTCTTCTGTCTCTAATTTCATCACTACAGTAGCTAGCTAGGTTAAAATTGCATTAACCGAGAACTGACATAGCCTAATTGATCTCTGCCTTGGAAAAATACCTAAGAAATATTTTATTCTTAGAATAATAATTTAACAAATCATACATATGTGTGTGTATATATGTGTGTATATATGTGTGTATATATATGTGTGTATATGTGTGTGTGTGTGTATATATATATATAAATTTCTGGTTCTTTTATTCTTTCTTTCTCTCCGTCTGTCATTTTTTCTTCCTCCTCCCCTTTTCTACTTTCTCATATTTTTACATATTCTAACCCATCTATATCTCTTTCTTCCCACTTAGTTTATGTCTCTCATCAAGGGAATTGATTTGGAGTAAGATACACAAGCAGTAGTTTAGTTTGTTATATGCAGAAAATATCCCCCAGTGAGTTTCCTCTTAAGTAGATTTTTAGCCAGGATCTAGAAAGGTTTATGGCTTAGTACTTTACCCTTAAGGACTCACTGATATTTTCCAGCGTTAGGACACCTGAAATTAGCAGAAGTTTTCAATGATTTCACAGTTAACGGTTCTTCCCGTACCTGGTGGTGTGCTCACTGATCAGTGTCTTGCCCTGTTCACAGTCTGGGATGTCTTGGCTATGTTTAAAGTATGTATGGTCAAAGTCCTGTCAAGTTTATGTTCAATCGACTGACTAACACACACTGTTACACAGACACTCTTTTGGCATTTTTTGCTTATCATTATAACCTGCACTCAGCACTTGGTAGGCACTATGTGAACGTATTTGAGTAATAAAGTGGATTTGTTTTCATGCCTGGTGGACACTCATTAATCAATTGATATTTGTTTCCTTCTGGTTTGATGTTTGACACAGAATCATCTTTCAAACAGTTATGACTAAATTGATTTTACAACTACTTGTAGCCATTATTACTTATTATAACTTTCACAGTTATTTTTAAAAAGACAGGTATAATGGAAATACCATAGGTTCAGAATGAGAACAACCTAGCTTGAGACAAGCCCAGCTCAACTCCTTTAACAGGCCACTTAGTTAACCTCAGTGGGCCTCAGCTTCCTTGGTTAAAAAATGGATCTAATACTGTCTACTTCCCAAAGTGCTTAGAGATGATGTACATAAAGTGCCTAGCCCAAGTAAATGTTTGGTAAAAGGTAGTAATTACTAATTATATATTTTTATATGTTATATAAATGTAAATATGCTGTGTTTTCATTAGTATAGTTCTTATCTGTATGCTGTTTTTACTATAAGCATTAGAAAAGGGCACTGCTCCACAAGAAATCTTAACATCTCCATCTTTTCTCAGCTGATACTGGGTCCCCATCCCCTGGGCTGCGGACCCCTGTTAGAAACTGGGCTGCACATCAGGAGGTGAGCTGCCGGTGAGCCAGTATTACTACCTGAGCTCCACCTCCTCTCAAATCAGTGTGAACCCTGTTATAGTGAACTGTAATGCGAGAGATCTAGGTTGTGCACTCCTTATGAGAATCTAATGCGTGATGATCTGAGGTGGAACAGTTTCATCCTGAAACTGTCCTAACCCCTGCACCCTCCCCCCGATCCGTGGAAAAATTGTCTTCCATGAAACCAGTCCCTGGTGCAAAAAAGATTGGGGACCACTGCCTTAAAGTATCCATTGTATATAATTAATTAACTTCAGATTATTTTCTATATTCTGTGGTTCAGATGGGGAAAGGAAAAAGATAAAATAGAACATAGAATAGAGAGTATAGAGCATTTAAAAGAAATAGAGATTCAGGGTCTCAGAGAGCTCCATCTGAAAGAATATTGGGTCAGGATTATGTCCCTTATTAGCTGCTGTGTCCCTAGGTTGAACATGAGCTTAGCACAGAATAGGTTCTAATATATATTTGTTGAATTATTGGAGTGAATGAATGAATGATCAATGATGGGTGAGAGAAGACCAAGTATTTTTGTGAAGACTGTTTACCTAAACAATTGGTAGGACCATTTGTGAAAACTTAGCTCTGTGCTACATCTGTATGTAGATATACATAGATGTTTGCCCCCTGCTTGTGTTCATCTGTTTAAAGAGTTTTTTATCCAGACACCATACTTCTTTGATCACAATCCCTATAACTCTAAGCTAACATTTTGGCTAGCAATGTAACATGGGGATAATAATTAAAATAACAGTAGCAATTTACAATGCCAGGTACTGTGCTGGGTCCTTTATGTGGATTAATCCTTACAACAGCTTACGATAGTAGATTTTAGACAGTGTGGTTTGGTGGTATACCCAAGATACAGACCAGCCGATCTGACATCAGAACCCATGCTCCTTAATACTGTAATGCAATGCATCTTTTGCTGTGAAGATAGAGATCATGTTGACCATTCCCTGCATTCGATGTTCACTATTCTTCGAGTAAACCATAGGAAAAAATAGCCAGGAGCCTCTTTTTGAGAGTGAAGTTTGTAGTGAACATGTATTGGTTCTCACTGTCCAACATCTCTGCCTTTTTCAAATGAGGACAGTCACTAATATAACTTTTGCAAACTACCCTTTATCCATTAAAGATAGTCTTAGTAGGAGGAACTCTTTTTGGTTTTTACCAGATCACCCATTAATTATTCTCTTATTTCTCAAGATAATGAAATTACAAAACTAAAAGATACTGTGCTCTGGTTACTTCTAGGAGAGGGAAAACACTCTGCTCTCAAGAGAGGATTAACATGAAGAATATGAACACTTGCATGACTCAAAGCTACTGTATTCTTTATGTCTAACACCATTGGTAGGATACATGATAGTTCCTCAAAGTTCTGTGGGGTGGATAAATATTTATATGGGAGGGCGGCTGACTGTACAAGCAAGCTGAGCTTGCCATGATGCTAACTAAGATAGAGTTCTTATAATGCCAGTCTCCACACATGGCCATCACTGTGTGGTGCACTACCACAGAGGAGCACATACACTCAATTCCAGACCTAATGACTTAAATGTCATCTGGATATTTCTTAAACTGTTGTTTCTAATACAATTTTTTTTTTTGAGATGGGGTCTTGCTCTGTCATCCAGACGGGAGTGTGGTGGCATGATTTTTAGCTCACTGCAACCACCGCCTCCTGGTTTCAAGTGATTCTCATGCCTCAGCCTCCCAAGTAGCAGGGATTACGGACACCCACCACCACACCCAGCTAATTTTTGTGTTTTTAGTAGAGATGGGGTTTAACCATGATGACCAGGTCAGTCTTGAACTCTGACCTCAGGTGATCCACCCACCTCAGCCTCCCAAAGTGCTGGAATTATAGGCCTGAGCCATGGCGCTCAGCTGAAAACATTTTTGTTTGAGACAGGGTCTCTCTCTGTCCCTGAAGCCCGAGTGAAGTGACACAATAATAATGCACTACAGCCTCAAACTCCTGGCTCAAGTGATCCTCCTGCCTCAGCCTCCTGAGTAGCTGGGACTGCAGTCACATGCCATCACAACCTGGCTAATTTTTTTTTTTTTTTTTTAGAGATGGGGTCTCACTGAGTTGCCCAGGCTGGTCTCAAATTCCTGATCTCAAGCAGTCCTCGCTCCCTGACTTCCTAAAAGTCTGGGATTATAGGCATGAGCTACCGCACCTAGCCATAAAAACACCTATTTTGATTATATTATTTACTCATTCTTTTTTGTTGTTGTTGTTTCCTAATTGTAGGCTAGTTCACATATATTTATAGATCTCAAATGATTAAAGAATATGTATGAAATGTTGTCTCTTCATTTTTTATTATTTTAAAAAGTTTAATGTGACTACAGAAAATTTGGAAAGTGTTTTACATATTACTATTTCAGTTTTCTGATACAAATGCTAATATCATTCTTGTGATCTTTCCATTGTTTTTCCATATCTCTATAAAAGTATTTTAAATATTTGAAATTATATCTGCAAAATTATCTTTATGTCAGTTGCTTTTTATAAGAAGGGGTTAGAAAGGATGTACTGCACCTCGCTCTTGCACTCCGTGAACACTACTGCCTTTGCATGCTCTAAGTGTTAGAAGCCGGAGGCCTGAAATTGTTTCAGATAAGTGAAGAATAGCTAATAAGAGGTGATGGAATGGAGTGTTTCTTTGATATAAGAAGTCGGGATCCCAATTGTAGAAAAATACAGTTTCATAGATTTAAATGCATTAACTTCAATTGGCATAGTTTTATCATTAAATTGTAAACCATCATGGATAAGGCCAACAGTTTATTACTGATCTTCTCATTATGTAAAACTGTGGGTTATTTTTAGCATTTGGTTCAAAAATTTTTTCTCTTTAAAAACTCATTTTTTTAATTAGTGGATAATAGAAAAAAACACTAATTGAAAAACATAAGTTTTTAACCTTTAATAGGAAAATGTTTTTTCTTTTTTTCTTGCCTGCTAGAAAGTATACATATAAATTTTAATTCTTAATCCTAGTAACCATTTTAGCCTATGCTGTTAGTACATTTGCTTCTATAATACTTTCTCCATATAGGTTTGATTTTCCATTTTTATTTTATCAATCTTACTGCAATGTAATTTTATCAGATATTTTCCTATAAACAGGGTATAAATTGTAAATGAATCTGAATTTTGGATGTGCACCTGATTTTATTTTCAATGATGAGTTTTATGCACAGAGCTTATAGATTTAGCTGTGCTAGCATGTTCTAAAATAGTTCATAGTCTAATTGAAGAGAAAAAAGAATCTTTCTTCTCTATAATCCCATGGAATGCTTTTGCCAGACACAAGAATTCATAACCCTTGTTTTGGATAGGGTGGTCACAGAGCATCTCCAAAATTCTGATGAGAGTTACAGACCCTCTCCTCAGAAAAAATTTATAATGAACACACACACAAACTCATCCGTGTCATAAGCAGTTTCAGAGGTCTACAACCCTATAAACTCCATTGAATTCCTGGTTTAGAGCTGTTGTCTTAGAGTGCAAGAAAAGAGCTAACGTTTATTGACCATAAATTACATACCATTTTGAACCCAAGTGCTGACTGTGTCCAGAGTTATTTCCACTGCCTAATACTGCCATTACCATCACTTCTTCTTACTGCCCCAAAGATCCTCCAAATACTGTTGTCTTGAGTAGTAATACTTGTTGGTTAAACTTTTATCTAATGTTTCTTAAAATATTGGTGCTAATACATATCTAGGTCTTTACCAGTATCAGTATTAGTTAAATTGAAAATGAGATGAAACTCAGCCAAATTATACATCTCTTTGAACACATGGACATGGGGAAGGGAACAACACAAATTGGGGCCTATCTGGGGGTGTGGTGAGGGGAGGGAGAGAATTAGGAAAAATAGCTAATACATTCTGGGCTTAATTTCTAGGTGGTGGGTTGTGAGGTGCAGCAAACCACCATGGCACACGTTCACCTGTGTAACAAACCTGCACATCCTGCGTAACAAACCTGCACATCCTGCACATGTACCCCAGAACTTAAAAATAAAAAATTAAATAAATGAATAAAGAGAAAAAGATACATCTCTTTGCATTTAGTAACTTTTAAGAGGTGAATTTTATGTGTTTGACTTTGAATTACACCCTGAAGATTTTTTTCATCCTAATGAAACTAATGCATAACTAAACCTTGAGCATAGCTGTCAGATGGGGAGAAATAGAAAAATAAACATGACTTTTTAATGATGTAAAGAAAACCTATCCTTAATGAACTCAAGCATGCTGATATAATGTAATACTGAATGAAACCTTTTTACCATCATGAGTGGAACTGCCTGAACTGGAATTGTGTCAACTTAAATCCCTAGCCTCATTTACCCAGAAGTGAACAGAATTAGTTGTTGCTGTATAAAGACATGTTCCTGCTAGGACAGTGTCTGATCCTCTGTCCACAAGATGTGGCAGGTATGGGTTCCCAGGCACATAAAGAGAGATAAGTAATCTGAGTACATGGCATACTGAGTGTGGTCTTTCTCTTTACTAGACATTTGGGCCTGGACCTGGTGCCTCGGAAGGACTTTGAAGTAGTGGACTCGGACCAGATTAGTGTCTCAGATCTCTATAAGATGGTAAGAAATCTAACATGAGGTAGCTTGTTCCTGCATACCTCATTTTTTCTCTTTTGTTTATTTTCTCTAATGTTATGAAACAACATTGCTAAAAATTTGTTTTGGCCTCTTTCCCAGTGTATTTAAGTGATATTCTGGCCATATCTGTCACACTAGCTTTCCAAATAGGATTCCATTGTAGTAAACTACAGATACTGGGCTTACCAAATTATCTAGGCATTACTTCTTTGTTGACTTTCTTGGTGAACCAGAGCTCCTTCAGCCTGCAGCATAACTAAAGTTATGTCTCTTTCCTCTCACCTCTTTAAAAGAGAAAGTAGTTAAAGCTGGAAAGAGCCAATTATTAGGTAATATAGAAATTGAGCCTGGAAATAATGTACTAGTCTTTCTAGAGAGACAGAGCCTGATAGATTCTTAGCTATCTGTTGGTTATTACAAAAATATGTTGGGTCGACTAATCAAGATTACATTTATAGTCTAGATGCAAAGTAAATAAATGAAGGGTACAATATTTTAAAGTAAAATAAATAGAAGAAACCTTAGGTGGTGACAGTTATGCTTAGACTAACAGACTGGATAAAAACTCATCTTGAAGAGTATGTATTTGATGAGTATATATTGGTGAGATTTATAAGTTTTAGAGTCTGTTTAATAAACTGTAATATTTTTAGGGAGCTTAGAGGGTACCAAGTATGTTGCCTGGACAAGGACCTAAGGAAATTTGCCTAAGTAATATGCAAATAACATATCAATTGCTTCTGCACATTTGTTTGTGTGTACTTACTAGCATACCCAAGCAATTGTGTTCAGTTGCTTTAACTATGCTGTATGCAGTACAATAGGTTGATAAGTGTGAGATATAGAGATTAAAGATAGCTGGATGTGGTGGCATGCACCTGTAGGTACAGCCAGCTACTTGGAAGGCTGAAGTGATAGGATCGCTTGAGCTCAGGATTTTGAGAGCAGCTTGGACAACATAGTGAGACCCATCTATTTAAAAAATAAAAAGTATGAACAAGACTTATCTATTCCCTAAAGAATCTCACTATCTAGGGTATTGGTTCCTAATCCCTTTTGGGTCATAGAAGATCAGGTGAAATTTTCTCCCAGGACAATGCAAGTATGCTTTGCATACAAAGTTTTATAATCAGTTTTAGAGAATTGATGGATAGTTTCTCCTGATGCTTGCTCTGAAGCCCATGCATGGACCCTATGTTAGAAACTCTACTCTAGTGGAATCAATAGACCACAGTCAAACAGTTGCCATACGTGTGCTGCATATATGTGCTGTGTAGCATAATTTAAGTATACAATGATGCTCTTAGAGGTAGTGACTGGTTTCCTGGGAGTAGGAAAAGAGAAGGAAAGACATTCCAAAAAGGCACACAGCATATGGAAGTGGCAGTTCCAGGAAACTATAAGACATTTCATAACTTCGGCATAGAGTACCACTAACTCATGTTAGTGAGTGGGAGTGAGGCCAAGAAGGAGGCAAAAGTCAGACCATGAAGAGCTTTGTATTTCTCAAATTAGAGTCTATCGAGTAGTCTGAAAGAAGCATGAGAGTGACATAAGCAGATACTGGTTTCAAACATTGACTCTGTCTAGAGAGAATATAAAATGCAAAAGACTGGAATGAGGGAGGAAAGAGACCCAGAGTAGTGATTCAGGTAAGAAAAATGGCTAGACAGCAATGGACAAGAAATACAATAAGAATGTAGATGTTTGGAATTAAAATTGATAAATTTTGATGATCAATTAGATATGGAAAGTGAAGAGAGAATGAGAGTTTGAAACTAAGAATTCCCCTTGGAATACTGGCTTGGAGGATGCTGTTTTCTTGGTAAAGATTTTGGATTTTATTCTTAGTGTGACAGTAAGCTTGTGAAGGTAAATTGAGCAGGAGAATCACATGATCAGCTTTACATTTTTAAAAGATGCCTTTGCTTGCTGTGTGGAAAAGGATTGGAGTGGGGCAAGAATAGAAGTAGAGAAGAGTCATTCAAGCAGGAGAACTTAATTTCAGTAGCTTGAGCTAGAGCTGGAAGAGTGAAACTAGTAAGAAGTTGTTGGATTCTGAATATATTTTGAAGTTAGAACCATAGTTGTAGATAGATTAAATTGCCATGTGTGTTTGTAGATAGATTAAATTGCCATGTGTGTATACAAGAAAGAGAAAGGTCAGAAAAGAATTATACCTGTGTTTTTGACCTGCCTAATTATATAAAAGTGAAATGGGAAACCTTGTGGAAGAAGCAGTTTGGAGAGTGAAGCAGTAAGGATCTATAGCTGTGATTTTCTTTTCACGTTTGGGATTCCTTTTAGACATCCCACCAGAGATGCTGAAAGTCTAGAGCTCATAAATGAAGTTCAGATAAAACAGTTTTAGAGGCATCATATTACATATGGTATATAAGGCTCTAGGACTGAATTAGATAACCACCTCCTTGCCCAGACCTTCATACAGTGAAACCCAGTGGCCATACAGCACTTCCAGACAACCAAGCATCAATAGACAAAGCTCTCACATAATGTTCACTATTTGGGCGATGGGTACACTTAGAAGCCCGGACCTCACAATTTTGCAATATCCATACAACAAATCTGAATCTTGAAAAAAGAGAGAGACAGAGAGAGAGAAAGAAACAGAGAGAGAGACCAAAATGAACAACATACGGAAGGAACTTGGAAGAAAGAGACAGCCCAGCAGAAGAAAATGGTGATTGCTGTCTGCAGAGAGAAATTAGGAAACAATTAGGAAACAGAGTACAACAATCCAAAGAGCTTTACAAAATTAAAAAGCAGATTACTGGAATACACTTGGAATAAAGGTTAGAAAATAGAGAAAAATCTCCCTGAAAACAGAACAGCAACAAAATAAAGTAACAGTAGGAGAGAAAACGTTTAAAAGTTTAGAGGTTCAATTCAGGAAGCCCAGTATTCAGAAGAGAGAATAAAGAAACAAAGAAAGAAAATTACTGAAGGAATCATATTAAAAACTTTCTCAGAACATGGATATGAGTCTCCAGATTTAAAGGGCCCAATGTAATTATGAAATTTCAGCTCACTAGAGATGGAGATGAGCTTAAAACTTCCAAAGAACAAAATGGATCACATACAAAGGATTTGTTGTAGGAAAAACATTTGGCTTCCTAATAGCAGCATTAAAAATTAGAAATAAGAGCATTACCTTCAAAATTCTGAGGGAATATAACATTCAACCCAGAATTCTATATTTACTCAGCCACATTATAAATCAAGTGGGAGAGTAGCCTAAAGAAAATTTTGGTCACTCAGAGTCTCAAAACAACAATAATAACAATGCTCTTTAACTCCTTTTCAGGAAACTACTGAAGAGTAAGTTATTCCTTCTAAAATGAAGGAGTAAATCAAAAGGTCTACTGTGTGTTATCCAGGAAAGGGATTCTGACACAATGAAAGCCCTCTTTATTTCATTTTCTGCTAAATTTCCTGTCTTTTTATCTCATGTATTTGCTTTTTCATACAATTAGATATGATAAAAAACAATTATAAGAGTCCACACATTTATTAAAAACCACTTAGGATTTATATGTTAAATTGCACAGTAAATGTTTTGGTTAAATCTTAAAAGTTCAAGATTCAAAAGAATATCCTTTTAGATTTTGTGTTAACATGTAAATCTATTACTGGAAATTATGAAGACTTTATATGAAACTTTCTGATTATAATACTTCTTGTCATTGATTTTAGGGAAAAAATCCTGTATGAATAAGATTATACTTAAAGTTTGCACTCATAGCATTTTTTAAATAAAAAATGAAGCCTCCATGCAAATGTTGAATGATAATGATTGATAAAAGTCTCTTTAAATACACAGTTGGATTTTGCATTCTTTTTATTTGTTTGTTTTATTTTGTTTGTTTGTTTTGAGACAGAGTCTGTCTTTGTTGCCATGGCTGGAGTGCAGTGGTGTGATCTGGGCTCACTGCAACCACCACCTCCTGGGCTCCAGCAATCTTCCCACCTTAACCTCCTAAGTAGCTGGGAGTATAGGTGCATGCCACCACACTCAGCTAATTTTTATTTTATTATTATTATTTTTATTTTTTCGGTAGAGATGAGATTTCGCCATGTTGCCCAGGCTAGTCTTCAACTCCTGGGCTCAAGCGATCCTCCCACCTTGGCCTCCCAAAATGCTGGGATTACAGGCCTGAACCACCATACTTAGCAGGATTTTGCATTCTTTATGATGAAAACCAGAGGAAGTCCTTAGTGCTCTTCAATTCTGCATCATAACAACTCTAAATCCATTTTAAACAATAGAGAATTGGTGCTGCGAAAATATAAAGTATTTCAAAAGACACCACAAACTATTTGTGTTAATCTTAGCCATGCATCTTTGTGAAATGTGACACTCAAAAATTACATAATATGAGAGTTTCTAAACTGTGGCAAGATCTAACAGAATGCTTGCATTATAGCCCCCTGCTTCATTATTATCCATCCACATTATCATGTATTGGGATTTGTGTTTGCCTGTTGTCTTCTTGTGTCAATTAATATTTTTAATAGCTCAATGTTTATACATTCATTTCTGGTATAAATCAGTCAATTAGATTATTTACTAAAAATCAGTAATTGTATATGCTTCATCCTTTCATAGATTCTGACTAGATATGCCTTATATTTCCTTGTAAGACTCACAATATTTAACACAATCCCCAACCTATATAGCAGGCAATTAATTTTGTTATTCAGTTGGTTAACATATCCAAAGCTGCATAGTTTCTTTCCATATTGCTAGACTTTTGTAGACCAAATGAACAAGAGACTTTACAGGGCTGAAAATGATTTCTCTACTGGAGAAAAACTGGCAGAGGCAGTAATGTGTTCCATGCATTTCTTAATTAATTTATATTTTTGACATACATTGCTAGGCACTTGTAGTATAAAGATAAATAAGACAGTGTTTTGCTCCCTGGAAGTGCAAAGTCTAGAGTTACGTAGCAAACATGGAAACAATGCATTACAACCCTAATAGAGGTGATGATTACACTGAAAAGGGAGGTATTGGCTGACCAGCTGAAGTCTGGTTGACAAGAGTGCCCTGAAAGAGGTTCCAGAATGCCAGTTCTGATGCCTTTCTCTGGCTGCCCATGTGGTATGCTTTCAGACTAAATCATTCTCTCAAAATTTAATGACTGAAATAAAAAAATTACTTATTATTGTCAACAGGGATGTTTCATACTGAAATTAGCTGCTTCATAAAATCCTTCTGTATATAGTTCTAATTGAAAATTTATGACTACCAAGATTAGTAGTCCTTTTAATTGGTTAACAGTAAATCTACTTGAGAAAAATGGCTTAGTGTAGCTCCTGGATATAAAATAAAACAACGGAATTTATTTTAGTCTAGTAACCTTCCAGTGAGATATGGTCAGTAAACCACAGAAAACCTGATTTGTTTTTGAATGCTTGAATTTTTTTTTTTTTTTACTTTTTTGAAACCTGTTTTATATGTGAATTTTTCTTTTGTGCATATACATTCTATATGATGTTTTGCCCAGCTGGTGGAGACTTGATTTTTATATTTCATATATATCATGGGGACATATATTTCCATGAATGAACATTAATACTCAATAATGATTAGTTAATATTGCTAATATGCACATGGATATTTAGTAATAAGCAAATATAGCTGGTCAGACACATTTAAATTAATATTTAATTGTACTTCTCTTTTATATAGGGTTAAATATATGTGTTTGGAAAAGAAATGGAAACTTCCACTGCCACAACCATTCTTCTTACCCATGTGATATGGAGCAATTCAACAAATGAGTGTGGTACCATACCTCTAGGGTCCAAAAGGAAGCAGGATGAAATCTCTCATTGTTTCGTTTACCAACACCACGCACTGAACATTTGTAAATTCACCATTATTCCTGGCCAGGGTTTACTTCTAAATGTGAATGACTTTCTATAATAACTAATTATAAAAAATAACAATTATACTAATAATAAAAATACCAATTTTGAATAATAATTATCAGCCACTTACAGTATGATAGGTAATATGCTGAGTCAGTCTGCTCAAACTCTGTGAGGTTGAGTTAGGCATAAAATTTTATAGTCACTTTTCAGATGATGAATACACAGATATAAGTGTGAGTCAAGATTCAAAACTAGGCCGGTCATGGTGGCTCACGCCTGTAATCCCAGCACTTTGGGAGGCCAAGGCAGACAGATCACGAGGTCAGGAGATTGAGACCATCCTGGCTAACACGGTGAAACCCCATCTGTACTAAAAATACAAAAAAATTAGCTGGGCGTGGTGGCGGGCACCTGTAGTCCCAGCTACTCGGGAGGCTGAGGCAGGAGAATGGCGTGAACCTGGGTGGTGGAGCTTGCAGTGAGCCTAGATCGCGCCACTGGAATCTAGCCTGGGCGACAGAGCAAGACTCTGTCTCAAAAAAAAAAAAAAAAAATTCGAAACTGGAGGGTTGCAGGGGGTGGTATCAAGATGGCTGAGTAGAGGCACCTGGCACTTGCCTTCTACTCAGTGAGTAATTAACTACATATTGAATAGAGCATCTAAGACAGAATACTGGAGTTCATCAGGGAAGTGACAAGAAACTTCAGAGTCATGGAAGGAGAGGGAAGCAAAGCAGCCAGCCCACCCAGGATAAGCTTGGAGCTAGAAGGAACTCCCCATTGTGGAGAAAAGGCATTGTTCCAGAGAGAGAGTTTGGGCCGGGCCTCACACTACCTCTGAGATTCCACAGAGGTACCACAGAGACACCACAGCACAGTGTCATTTTGAGAGCCTAGCTCCCACCAGACTGCGTTTTTCTACCCTTGGGTCCAACACACCCGAATCTCCACACCCCTGGAGCCCTGCTGACATCCCCCTATGTCCATTCAGAGGGCTGCAGCATCACAATACATACTGGACCCAGCATTGTTCCTGGGTCTCCAGCGCTTTAGCCCACACAGTGACTTATACCCTGGGGAATGGGTGGTGCAGTGCACCTAGGAGACTGCCCCCATGACAAAGAAAGCTAAAACTTGTGCTCCCTAGAACCTGAGAGCTGCATGTCTGGGGCTACTGCCACTGATAGCAACCCTGCTCCCTCCAGTGGCAGAGCCACTGCATACCTGCACACATTCAACACATTCAAGAGGCCTGGGGGACTGGTTCACCTGTGTGCATTGTCCCGGGACCTGAGGACCAATCTGCCCCATACACTGCCATGGGCACATAAGTGCATAGTCCAAGGAACTCACCTGTCACCACCAGTACCCACACATACCTTCCAGGACCTGGGTATTGACTAGCATTCCTCCTGCCACCAGCACCTGTGTTTACCACCTGGGGGCCAGAGGACAGACCTATAGGATAGGTCTGTGGGTAGGCCCACAGCTGTTGTCCCCATGTGCCATCCAGGGTGATCAGCCTGGTGAAACTGCCCTAGCTGTTGCCTGTGTACTAAGGGACCTGAGAGGTGGCACACCACTGCTACTGCCATTGCCAGTGCCATGTGTACCACCACGGGGCCTGAGTACCCACTTGATCATTATCACTAGCACCCAAGCATGCTGCCTGGAGGCCCAAGGACTGACCTTCCACCATGGGGTCCCACATATACCACCTGGGGACCTAAGGACCAGCCCATCTGATCTTCTTGTTCCTAGCTAAGCCTCACCACAGCATCTACTAACAACCACAGTCTAAGTCACTGCAGAACTCACAGACACCACTGACACTGATTATAGCTGAAGAAATCATATGGAGAGTCTGCTACTGCACTCACCTAGAATCAAATCCAAAGCACCCTACCTAACACTAAATATACATCTATAGGAAAAAGTCTTTCCCTATGTAAACCAATCTATAAAATTAGAACAAGCAGCTGTTACACTGGATGCCCACATATCAATGTAAGGACACAAGAAACATAAAAAAGCAAAGATACATGACACTTCCAAACAAAGACAATAATTCTCTAGTAACAGATCCCATAGAAAAGAAAATGAATGAAATCCCTGAAAAATAATTCAAAATAAGATTAAAGAAGCTCAGTGAGATACAAGAGAACACAGATAAACAATAAAAAATCAGAAAAGCAATTCATGAGTTGAAGTTTAACAAAGAGATATGCATCATAGAAAGGAACCAAACAGAAATCCTGGAACTGAAGCTTTAGTGAATGAAAGAAAAAATACAGTCAAGAGCTTCAACAATAGATGAAATCAAGCAAAAGAAAGACTTTCTGGCCAAGCGCAGTGGCTCATGACTATAATCCCAGCACTTTAGGAGGCCAAGGCAGGTGGATCACCTGAGGCCAAGAGTTCGAGACCAGCCTGACCAACATGGTGAAACCTTGTCTCTACTAAAAATAGAAAAAATTAACCAGGCATGGTGATGTGCACCTGTAGGCCCAGCTACTTGGGAGACTGAGGCAGGAGAATCACTTGAACCCAGGAGGCGAAGGTTGCAGTGAGCCAAGATCACACCACTGTACTCCAGCCTGGGCGACAGAGCGAGACTCCATCTCAAATAAATAAATAAATAAATAAAAGAGTTTCTGAATCTGAAGACAGGTTTTTTGACATCAATCAGATGAAAAGAAAAAAGAGTAAAGAAAGCTTATGTGACATACAGGGTACCAGAAGCAAATAAATATTCAAATTTTGGCAGTTTCACAAGGAGAAGGCATGGGCAAAGATATAGAAAACCTGCTAATGAGATAATAGCTGAAAACTTCACAAGTCTTGCAAGAGATAAAGACATCCAAATACAGAAAGCTCAAATATCCCCAAATAGATGTAATCTAATAAGATTTTAAAGGTATATATATATAATCAAACTATTAAAAATCAAAGACAAATAATTCTAAAAACAGTTAAAAGCATCATGTCACATATAAGGGAATCTCCACCAGACTAATAGCACATTTCTCAGCAGAAACCTTCTAGACCAGGAGAGAATGGGATGACAGATTCAAAGTTCTGGGGTGAGGGATTGGTGGGGGCATGAGGGGAATTGTCAGCCAAGAATACTATACCCAACAAAGCTATCCTTAAATGGAGGTTACATAAAATCTTTCTAGACAAGCAAAAACTGAGGGAATTCATCACCACTGGACCAGTCCTACAAGAAATGTTTCAGGGATTTCTGTATCTGGAAGCGAAAGGACAATGTCTACCATCATGAAAACACACAAAAGTATAAAGCTTACTGGTAGCATACATATACAAATGAGAAAGGAGTTAAACATTACCATCATAAAAAAACCACCAAATCTTAAAGGCAAACAAGAAACAAGGAAGAAAGAAATGAAGAATGTATTAAACAATCACAAAATAATTAACAAAACAACAGGAGTGAGTCCTTACCTGTTACTAACAACCTTGAATATGAACTGTTTAAATTCTCCAATTAAAAAATATAGACTGCCTGAATTGATTTTAAAAATCAAGACCCAACTATATGTTCTCTACAAAAAACTCAGTTTACCTATAACGACACACATAGACTGAAAGTGAAGGGATGGAAAAAAAATTCCATGCAAATAGAAACCTAAAGCATGCAATAATAGCTATACTTATATCAGAGAAAATGGACTTTACATCAAAAAACATAAAAATAGATAAGGTCATTATGTAATGATAAAGGGATCAATTCAGCAAGAGGATATAACAGTTGTAAATATATGTGCATCCAATACCACAGCACCCAGATATATAAGCAAATACTATCAGAGCAAAAGAGTTCAACAGACCCCAATGCATTAATAGTTGGGGACTTCAGCATTACACTTTCAGCACTGGACAGATTATCCAGACAGAAAGTCAACAAACATCAGGCTTACTCTGTTCTATAGAACAAATGTACTTAACAGACATTACAAAATATTTCATTCAACAGTATAGAGCACATATTTTTCTCATCAGCACATGGAACATACTCCAGGATACAGCACATATTAGGCCACAAACAAGTCTCAACAAATTTTGAAAAATCAAAATCATGTCAAGTATCTTCTCAGACCACAGGGAAATAAAACTAGAAATCAATAAAAAGAGGAACTTTGTAAACTGTATAAACACATGGAAATTAAACAGCATGCTCCTGAATAAGCAATGAGTGAATGAACAAATTAAAAAGGAAATTAAAAACTTGCTTGAAACAAGTGAAAATGGAAACACAACATATCCAAATTCTGTGAGATATGGCAAAAGCAGTACTAAGAGGGAAGTTTACAGTAATAAATACCTACATAAAAATTGGAAAGATTTCAAATAAACAACCTAATGGTGTGCCTTAAGGACCCCAAAAAAGGAAAAACAAACTAAACCTAAAGTTAGTAGAAATAAGTAATAAAGATCAGAGCAGAACTAAACAAAATAGAGCTGAAAAAAACAATACAAAGGATCAGCGAAACAAAAAGTTGGTTTTCTGAAAAGATAAAATCGATAAACCACTAGACTAATCGAGAAAAAAGAAGGTCCATGCTGAGACCGGTTCAGTCAGGGATACCCTAACCCAGTGACACTAGAGGAATTAAAGACACACACACAGAAATATAGAGGTGTGGAGTGGGAAATCAGGAGTCTCACAGCCTTCAGAGCTGAGAGCCTCAAACAGAGATTTACCCATGTATTTCTTAACAGCAAGCCAGTGATAAGCATTGTTTCTATAGATTATAGATTAACTAAAAGTATTCCTTATGGGAAACAAAGGGATGGGCCAAAATAAAGGGATGGGTTTGGCTAGTTATCTGCAGCAGGAGCATGTCCTTAAGGCACAGATCGCTCATGCTATTGTTTGTGATATAAGAACGCCTTTAAGTGGTTTTCCACCCTGGATGGGCCAGGTGTTCCTTGCCCTCATTCTAGTAAACCCACAACCTTCCAGTGTGGGCATCATGGCCATCATGAACATGTCGCAGTGCTGCACAGATTTTGTTTATGGCCAGTTTTGGGGCCAGTTTATGGCCAGATTTTAGGGTGTTCCCAGCAGTCCAAAATAAAGTCAGAAACAAAAAAGGATACATTGTGGCTGATGCCACAGAAGTACACAGGATCAGCCAGCATGGTGGCTCACTCCTGGAGTCCCAGCACTTTGGGAGGCCAAGGCAGGTGGATCACCTGAGGTCAGGAGTTCAAGACCAGACTGGCCAACATGGCAAAACCCCATGTCTACTAAAAATACAAAAATTAGCTGATCATGGTGGCACATATCTGTAATCCCAGCTACTCAGGAGGCTGAGGCAGGAGAATCACCTGAACCCAGGAGGTGGAGGTTGCAGTGAGCCAAGATTCTGCCACTGCACTCCAGCCTGGGCGACAGAGTGAGACTCATCCCAAAAACAAAACAAAACAAAACAAGGAATCATTAGAGACTACTATGAACAATTATATGCAAACATATTGGAAAACCTAGAGGAAATGGATTAATTCCTGGACACACACAATCTACCAAGATTGAATCATGAAGAAATGAAATGCTTGAATAGACCAGTAACAAGAAAAGAGATCAAATCAGTAATAAAAAGTCATTCAGCAAAGAAAACCCCAGAACTGTATGGCTCTACTGCTGAATTCTACCAAACTTATAAGGAAGAACTAACACAAGCTCTTTTCAAACTGTTCCAAAAAATTGAGGCAGAGAGAATTCATCCTAACTCATTCTATGAGACCAGCGTTACACATTACACTGATAGTAAGTCAGACAAGGACACAAGAAAAAAAAGATGGGCCAGTATCCTTGATGAACACAATAAATACAGACACAAAAATCCTCAGCAAAATACTAGCAAATTGAATCCAACAACATGTCAAAAAGATTATAAACCATAATCAAATGGAATTTATCCCAGTGATGCAAGCGTGGTTCAACATGTGCAAATCAATCAGTGTGATACATCACATTGACAGAATGAAGGACAAAAACAATATGATCATCTCAATAGTCACAGAAAAAGCATTTGATAAAATTTAACATCTTTTCCTGTTAAAAACTCTCAACAAGTTAGACATGGAAGGAAAATACCTCAGCATAAAAGCTGTATATGACACATCCACAGCTGACATCATACTGAATGAGGAAAAGCTGAAATACTTTCCTCTAAGACTGGAACAAGACAAAGATACCCACTTTTAATTCTCCTATTCAACATAGTACTTGAAGTCCTAGCCAGAGCAATCAAGCAAGAGAAAGAAATAAAAGGCATTTAAATTGGAAAGGTAGAAGTCAAATTGTTCCTCTTTGTAGATGATATAATCTTATATATAGAAAAACCTAAAGACTACTAAAAATCTCTTAGAACTGATATACTGATATACTTAGAACTCTTATACACTGTTGGTGGGAATGTAAATTAGTACAGCCACTATGGAAAACAGTATGAGACTTCCCAAAAAACAAAACAGAACCACCATTTGATCCAGCAGTCCTACTACTGGATATTTATCAAAAAGAAAGAAAAATCAGTATATAAATGAGACACCAGCACCCTTGTGTTTATTGCAGCACTGTTCACAATAGCCAAGATATAGAATTAATCTAAGTGTTTGTTAACAGATGAAAGGATGAAGAAAATGTGGCATATATGCACAATGGAATACTATTCTGCCATAAAAAGAATGAAATACTGTCATTTGTAGCAGCATGGATGGAACTAGAGGTCAATATGTTAAATGAAATAAGCCGGGCACAGAAAGACAAATATCTCATGTTCTATCATATGTAGGGGCTAAAAAACAAAAACAAAAACAAAAAAATGTGCATCTC
The DNA here is from genome assembly GCF_000001405.40 of Homo sapiens. Taxonomy (NCBI): domain Eukaryota; kingdom Metazoa; phylum Chordata; class Mammalia; order Primates; family Hominidae; genus Homo; species Homo sapiens. Next base: position 51,088,225 of record NC_000003.12, read on the forward strand.
TTGGAGATAGGGAATAAAAAAGTGGTTACCAAAGGTTGAGAATCGTGGGGTGGTGGGGTTGAAGAGAGGTTGCTCAGCAAATACAAACATCTAGTTAGAAGGAATAAGTTCTCGTGTTTGATAGCACAGTGGGGTGAGTGTAGTTAACAGTAATTTATTCTACATTTCAAAGTAGCTAGAAGAGAAGATTTGAAATGTTCCCAACAGAAAGAAATGATAAATGTTTGAGGCAATGAATATTCTAAATACCCTGATTTGATAATTATACATTGTATGCATGTATCAAAATATCACATGTACTTCATAAATATTTTAAAATATTATGTATCAATTTAAACATTTTTAAAAAATTGAAAACCTAGGATTCTCACTTCTGCACTTAGGTCCCTAACTTCTATATCATAGTGATGCTCATGTAATTTGAGCTTCACAATAACTTTGTAAGGAAGATAATACAGGCTCTTATCTGAATTTTATGTTCAGGAAAATGTCTCCTGGAGAGATTAAGTGATTTGTCTGAAATTTCACAGTCTTTGAGTGGCAAAGCTTGAATTAGAATCTGCTTCTTCTCATTTCAGCCAGCCAGCAGTAAAGGAACAGCATGGGGAAGTGTTTGGGAGGGAGCCCTTTATTGTTAAAGGCATCATTGTGGAAAGTCTGAAGAAGCTGGATCAGGCAGCTCAGAAAGTGGTACAGTATATGGAGAGGACAGTGGCAAAGCAAAAATTTAGTACCAGGCACCGACTTGTGACTTGTCTGTTAGTCAGATCTGGAAGGGCTCAGGTTTGAATCTGGATTTTGCCACTTTCTTGCTATGTGACCTTCAGCAAATTACGTCCATACTCTAAGCCTTAGTTGTCTCCACCAAATACGAATAACACTTATTTTACAAAGTTATCAGAATTAAATGAGATCATGAATATAAAAGGCATAGCAGACTGCCCAGCATATAGAAAGTTCTTAATAAAATTTAGTTTCTTTCCCGGTAGAGTTTATTTTTCTTTCCTTCTTTCCATAGCATTTATCTAGCCGGCAGAGTGTACAGCAAAGCACATCCCAGGTAAGCGGCTTTCCTGGGTCTTCCAGCCTTTCCCCTCAACTTTTTCTGTTAAGAGATTACAACATATGAATACACCAGGAAATGACAGACACCACTGACTTCTTGACTGTGTGGTGTCTTTATCTGAGGAGCTTTGACCTCTAAACAGTTTTGGCCAGACTCTACTTCTACTGTGCAGATTTGCATAAGCACAATTAAAGCAGACTGAAACTAAAATGAATCAGTCTGGGAGAAAATAAAAATGTTATTTAGAATGGTAACTATTACGAGGTAACAGTGTAAATCAAGCGCATTGGGGTCATAATGGCATTTCTTTAAAATGAGTTTGAAAATGGTTTTCCGGGCTGGGCGTGGTGGCTCATGCCTGTAATCCCAGCACATTGGGAGGCCAAGGCAGGTGGATCACCTGAAGTCAGGAGTTTGAGACCAGCCTGGTCAACATGGTGAAACCTACTAAAAATAAAAAAATTAGCTGGGCATGATGGTGGGTGCCTGTAATCCCAGCTACTCAGGAGGCTGAGGGAGGAGAATTGCTTGAACCCGGGAGTAGAGTGCAGTGAGCCGAGATCATGCTACTGCACTCCAGTCTGGGTGACAGAGTGAGACTCTGTCTCAAAAAAAAAAAAAAAAAAAAAAAGGAAAAAGAAAATGGTTTCCTGGAGAACTAAGATATTTGTCACCTGGTGGAGATTTTTAGTTCACTTGTAAGTTGGAATTACTGTCCCTATATTTCTTCACTGTTTACTCCTCCCAGCTGCTTGCTTGCCCACCTCAACCCAAGTCTGTTGATGCAGCATCCCCTACAAGCAGAGAAAACATCTTCAGTTTCTCAAATAATCTCCTTCAGTAGTGTGAAAAGAGTTTGTAATTTAGTTTCCACTTTTTAATGATCAATATAAAAAATAACTAAAATAAAAATCACTGGGTTTTTTTCTTCCTCATTAGGTAGATACAATGCGCCCACGTCATGGGGAAACATGTCGGATGCCAGTGCCACATCACTTCTTCCTCAGCCTGAAGAGTTTCACTTACAATACTATTGGGGAAGATACCGATGTCTTCTTTTCCTTATATGACATGAGGGAAGGCAAGCAGATCAGGTGAGAGTCACTGGAAATTCTGGTGAGGTTCTATGTTAGGATGGTATGGGTCATAGGCATCTCTGGCCATCAGAGAAGACAGATGCACAGAAGAGGCAAAACAAGATAAAGTAACCTCATCTCATTAGCTAGGAGTTTTGGCCCCAATTCCCTGTGTGCCCTTAAGTCACGTAAACCATACCATGGGTGGCTGCCTTTTTTATGACTTTTTCCACATAGAAGCTCAAAATCGAGTCTTGGCTATCACCACCTCACAGAGAGAAAAGGATGCATCTATTTAATACCACAAAAAAGGCATAGGAGAAACATAGAACCAAACAAATGCAGCAGAGACACACAGCTCCAGAGTGCAGGAAGCCCTGGGCCTTGGCTTGCTGCATGTGGAAGAGAGGGTTTGAAGAAAAAGGGGGCTGATGGTGTCTTGTCTGGGCAGCCCATGAAAGGAGAGCATCTTCTGAGTTTCTTTTATATTGCTTGGGAACTTCTTGTGTTAGGAGTGCTTTATGGCTTTTACTTGCTTTAGTACTTAAAATTCGAAAGCAGATTTTTCACTTTTCCAATTATATATTATATGTGGGAAAATTAGAAATGGAAGTTATAACAGAATGCAAAAGAAAAACAGTTAATTTATATGCCCCACAGTGCCTCTGATCTTGACAAAAATATTAATACACTATGCTTTACTTTGGCATAGGAATAAAATGATGCACCCATTGATCAGGACATGTGAATTTTCCTTATCACCAATGGCTCCTAGTATGTGCCCTTGGGAAAGTTATTGTAGAGAAGGTAGTAGTGGTATTGATGAAAGCTAAAACTGTTGCATGTAGGCAAGACTACAGGCCAGGGCTGTGTGGATATAGATTCTGGCTGCTCTTCTTTTCCTACTATCCAGATGTTTGTAAACTTTATTTGTGTGTGTGAGAGTGTGTATGTGTGTGTAAAAATCCTTTCTTCAAGCTACATTTTATGAAAAAGTCCAATATATGAAACAGATAAAACTATTCCATTATTGTGGCCCAGGAGCAATGGCTCACGACTGTAATGCCACCACTTTGGGAGGCCGAGGAGGGCGAATCACGAAGTCAGGAGTTTGAGACCAGCCTGACCAACATAGTGAAACCCCATCTCTACCAAAAATACAAAAAATTAGCTGGGCGTGGTGGCGGGCTCCTGTAAGCCCAGCTATTCAGGAGGCTGAGGCAGGAAAATCGCTTCAACCTGGGAGGCGGAGGTTGCACTGAGCCGGGATGGTGCCACTGCACTATAGCCCAGCTGACAGTGTGAGACTTGGTCTCAAAAAAAAAAAAAAAAAAAAGATGGATTGTTGGCAAGATGGCTGAATAGGAACAGCTCTGGTCTGCAGCTCCCAGCAAGATTGATGCAGAAGGCGGGTGATTTCTGCATTTCAGCCGAGGTACCCGGTTCATCTCACTGGGACTGGTTGGACAGTGGGTGCAGCCCATGGAGGGCAAGCCGAAGCAGGGTGGCGCATTGCCTCACCTGGGAAGTGCAAGGGGTTGGGGAATTTTCTCCCCTACCCAAGGGGAGCCATGAGGTACTGAGCCTGACGAACTGTGCACTCTGGCCCAGATAGTGCGCTTGTCCCATGGTCTTTGCAACCCGCAGACCAGGAGATTCCCTCTGGTGCCTAACACATCAGAGACCTGGGTTTCAAGCACAAAACTGGGTAGCTGTTTGAGCAGGCACCAAACTAGCTGCAGGAGTTTGTTTTTCTCCATAACCCATTGGCACCTGGAACGCCAGTGATACAGAACTGTTCACTCCTCTGGAAAGGGGTGCTGAAGCCAGGAAGCCAAGTGGTCTGGTTTGGCAGGTCCCACCCCCATGGAGCCCAGCAAACTAAAAGATTCACTGGCTTGAAATTCTCACTGCCAGCACAGCAGCAGACTGAGATCGACCTGGGATGCTCGAGCTTGGTTGGGGGAGGGACATCTGCCATTACTGAGGCTTGAGTAGGTGGTTTTATGCTCACGGTGTAAACAAAGCCGCTGGGAAGTTTGAACTGGGCGGAGCCCACTGCAGCTCAGTAAGGCTGCTGTGGCCAGACTGCCAGATTTCTCCTCTCTGGGCAGGGCATCTCTGAAAAAAAGGCAGCAGCCCCAGTCAGGGACTTATAGATAAAACCCCCATCTCCCTGGGACAGAGCACCTGGGGGAAGGAGCAGCTGTGGGCGCAGCTTCAGCAGACTTTAGTTTCCCTGCCTGATGGCTCTGAAGAGAGCAGCGGACCTCCTAGCACAGCGTTTGAGCTCTGCTAAGGGTCAGACTGCCTCCTCAAGTGGGTCCCTGACCCCCATATATCCTGACTGGGAGACACCTCCCAGTAAGGGCCTACAGACACCTTATACAAGAGAGCTCTGGCTGGCATCTGGCAGTTGCCCCTCTGGGACGAAGCTTCCAGACGAAAGAACAGGCAGCAATTTAATCCATCTTGAGTTAATTTTTGTATAAGGTGTAAGGAACGGGTTCCGTTGCAGTTTTCTGCATATGGCTAGCCAGTTTTCCCGACACCATTTATTAAATAGGGAATCATTTCCCCATTGCTTGTTTGTGTTAAGTTTGTCAAAGATCAAATGGTTGTAGATGTGTGGTGTTATTTCTGAGGCCTCTCTTCTGTTCCATTGGCCTATATATCCGTTTTGGTACCAGTAACACGATGTTTTGGTTACCGTAGCCTTGTAGTATAGTTTGAAGTCAGAGAGCATGATGCCTCTGGCTTGGTTCTTTTTGCTTAGGATTGTCTTGGCTATGCAGGCTCTTTTTTGGTTCCATATGAAATTTAAAGTAGTTTTTTCTAATTCTGTGAAGAAAGTCAGTAGTAGCTTGATGGGGATAGCATTGAATCTATAAATTACTTCAGGCAGTATGGCCATTTTCATTATATTGATTCTTCCCATCCATGAGCAAATGGAATGTTTTTCCATTTGTTTGTGTCCTCTCTGATTTCCTTGAGCAGTGGTTTGTAGTTCTCCATGCAGAGGTCCTTCACATCCCTTGTAAGTTGTATTCCTAGGTATTTTATTGTCTTTGTAGCAATTGTGAATTGGAGTTCACTCGTGATTTTGCTCTCTGCTCATCTATTATTGGTGTATAGGAATGCTTGTGATGTTTGCACATTGATTTTGTATCCTGAGACTTTGCTGAAGTTACTTATCAGCTTAAGGAGATTTTGGGCTGAGACGATGGGGTTTTCTAAATTTACAATCATGTCATCTGCAAACAGAGACAATTTGACTTCCTCTCTTTCCTTTATTTCTTTCTCTTGCCTGATTGCCCTGGCCAGAACTTCTAATACTATGTTGAATAGGAGTGGTGAGAGGGCATCCTTGTCTTGTGCCAGTTTTCAAAGGGAATGCTTCCAGCTTTTGCCCATTCAGTATGATACTGGCTCTGGGTTTGTCATAAATAGCTCTTACTATTTTGAGATATGTTACATCAATACCTAGTTTGTTCAGAGTTTTTAGCATGAAGCAGTGTTTAATTTTATCGAAGGCCTTTTCTGCATCTATTGAGATAAACATGTGGTTTTTGTCATTGGTTCTGTTTATGTGATGGATTACGTTTATTGATATGCATATGTTGAACCAGCCTTGCCTCCCAGGGATGAAGCCAACTTGATCATGGTGGATAAGCTTTTTGATATGCTGCTGGAGTTGGTTTTGCCAGTATTTTATTGAAGATTTTTGCATCGATGTTCATCAGGGATATTGGCCCGAAATTTTCTTTTTTTGTTGTGTCTCTGCCAGGTTTTGGTATCAGGATGATGCTGGCCTCATAAAATGACTTAGGGATGATTCCCTCTTTTTCTGTTTATTGGAATAGTTTCAAAAGGAATGGTACCAGCTCCTCTTTGTGTCTGTGGTAGAATTCGGCTGTGAATCTCTCTGGTCCTGGGCTTATTTTGGTTGGTAGGCTACTAATTACTGCCTCCATTTCAGAACTTGTTGTTGGTCTGTTTAGGGATTCGACTTCTTCTGGGTTTAGTCTTGGGAGGTGTGTGTCCAGGAATTTATCCATTTTTTCTATATTTTCCTAGTTTATTTGTGTAGAGATATTTATAGTATTCTCTGATGGTAGTTTGTATTTTTGTGCAATAAGTGGTGATATCCCCTTTATCATTTTTTATTGTGTCTATTTCACTTTTCTCTTTTCTTCTTTATTAGTCTGGCTAGAGGTCTATTTTGTTGATCTTTACAAAAAAATGAACTCCTGGATTCATTGATTTTTTTGAAGAGTTTTTTGTGTCTCTATCTCCTTCAATTCTGTCCTGATCTTAGTTATTTCTTGTCTTCTGCTTGGTTTTGAATTTGCTTGGTCTTGCTTTACTAGTTCTTTTAATTGTGATGTTAGGGCATAGATTTTAGATATCTCCCACTATTATTGTGTGGGAGTCTAAGTCTCTTTGTAGGTCTCTAAGAACTTGCTTTATGAATCTGGGTGCTCCTGTATTGGGTGCATATATATTTAGGATAGTTAGCTCTTCTTGTTGTATTGATCCCTTTACCATTATGTAATGCCCTTCTTTGTCTTTTTTGATCTTTGTTGGCTTAAAGTCTGTTTTATAAGAGACTAGGATTTCAACTCCTGCTTTTTTTTTTTTTTACTTTCTATTTGCTTGGTAAATATTGCTCCATACCTTTCTTTTGAGCCTATGTGTGTCTTTGCATGTGAGAATGGTCTCCTGCTGGGTCTTGACTCTTTATCCAATTTACCAGTCTGTGTCTTTTAATTGGATCATTTAGCCTGTTTACATTTAAGGTTAACATTGTTATGTGTGAATTTGATCCTGTCATTATGATGCTAGCTGGTTATTTTGCCCATTCGTTGATACAGTTTCTTCATAGTGTGGATGGTCTTTACAATTTGGTATGTTTTTGCAGTGGCTGATACTGGTTTTTCCTTTCCATATTTAGTGCTTCCTTCAGGAGCCCTTGTAAGGCAGGCTTGGTGGTGACAAAATCTCTCAGCAATTGCTTGTCTGTAAAGGATTTTATTTCTCTTTTGCTTATGAAGCTTAGTGTGGCTGGATATAAAATTCTGGGTTGAAAATTCTTTAAGAATGTTGACTAGAGCTTCAACCACAGCCCTCCTTGGGGTATTAAAAAAGCCTGGAACTGACAACACCAGAATCCAGAATCTCCCAGTTTCTTAATACCAACTTGATGGTGGAATTTGCATTGTCTAGTGCAAAATGCAGCCCTTTTAACATTTACATTTGATCTTTATCTTCTGGTTATACAGATTACTTTATCTAATTTTACCTGTTATTTGTTTTAAAGCTTTTCACCCCATCTTACCCAACTTTTAGTGGAGAAAGGTAATACTCAAAAGCTCTCTCAATTCTTATAACAGCATATAAAACATTTCATGCTCATTAAACTAACACCCTTCATTCTCTCATTCTTTTCAAATGTCAATCCTTAAGTGACATAAATAAGGTTAGCAAAAAAAAAAAAAAAAAAAAAAAAAGAATGTTGACTATTGGCCCCCATGCTCTCTGGCAAAAAAAAAAAAAAAAGAATGTTGACTATTGGCCCCCACGCTCTCTGGCTTGTAAAGCTTCTGCAGAGAGATCCACTGTTAGTCTGATGGGCTTCCCTTTGTGGGTAACCCGACCTTTTCCTCTGGTTGCCTTTAACATTTTTTTCTTCATCTCAACCTTGGTGAATCTGACGATTATGTGTCTTGGGGTTGCTCTTGTGTCTTGGGGTTGCTCTTCTCAAGGAGTATCTTTGTGGTGTTCTCTATATTTCCTGAATTTGAATGTTGGCCTTTCTTACTAGGTTGGGGAAGTTCTCCTGCATAATATCCTGAAGAGTGTTTTCCAACTTGGTTCCATTCTCCCCGTCACTTTCAGGTACACCAATCAAACATAGGTTTGGTTTTTTCACATAGTCCCATATTTCTTGGAGGCTTTTGTTCATTCCTTTTCTTTTCTTTTTTTTTTCTCTAATCTTTTCTTCACACTTTATTTCATTAAGTTGATCTTCAGTCTCTGATATCCTTTCTTCCACTTGATCAATTCGGCTATTGATACTTGTGTATGCTTCACGAAGTGAAGCTGTGCTGTGTTTTTCTGCCCCATCAGGTCATTTATGTTCTTCTCTAAACTGGTTATTGTAGTTAGCAATTCCTCTAATCTTTTTCAAGGTTCTTAGCTTCCTTGCATTGGGTTAGAACATGCTCCTTTAGCTTGGAGGAGTTTGTTATTACCCACCTTCTGAAGCCTACTTCTGTCAATTCACCAAACTCATTCTCTATCCAGTTTTGTTGCCTTGCTGGTGAGGAGTTGTGATCCTTTGGAGAAGAGGCGTTCCGGTTTTTGGAATTTTCAGCCTTTTTGCACTGGGTTTTCCTCATCTTCGTGGATTTATCTACCTTTGATCTTTGATGTTGGTGACCTCCGGATAGGGTTTCTGTGTGGACATCCTTTTTGTTGACGTTGATGCTATTTCTTTCTGTTTGTTAGCTTTCCAGGTCTGCTGGAGTTTGCAGGAGGTCCTTTCTAGACCCTGTTTGCCTGGGTATCACCAGCGGAAGCTGCAGAACAGCAATGTTCCTTCCTCTGGAAGCTTCGTCCCAGAGGGGCACCCACCAGATGCCAGCCAGAGCTCTCCTGTATGAGGTGTCTGTCGACCCCTGCTGGGAGGTGTCTCCCAGTCAGGAGGCACAGGGATCAGGGACCCACTTGAGGAGACAGTCTGTCCCTCAGCAGAGCTCAAGCGCTGTGTTGGGAGATCCGTTGCTGTCTTCAGATTCACAGGCAGGAGCATTTAAGTCTGCTGAAGCTGTGCCCACAGCCACCCCTTCCCCCAGGTGCTCTGTCCCAGGGAGATGGGAGTTTGTTCTGTAAGGCCCTGACTGGGGTTGCTGAGTTTCTTTCATAGATGCCCTTCCCAGAGTGGAGGAATCTAGAGAGGCAGTCTGGCTACAGAGGCTTTGAGGAGCGCAGTGGGCTCCACCCAGTTCGAACTTCCAGGTGGCTTTGTTTACATTGTGACAGGAAAACTGTCTACTCAAGCCTCAGTAATGGTGGCTGGCCCTCCCCTTACCAAGCTCCAGCATCCCAGGTTGAATTCAGAGTGCTCTGCTGGTAGCGAGAATTTCAAGTCTGTGAATCTTAGCTTCCAGGGCTCCATGGGGGTGGGATCTGCTGAGCTAGACCACTTGGCTCCCTGGCTTCAGTCCCCTTTCCAGGAGAGTGAACGGTTCTGTCTCACCTCACTGGCGCTCCAGGCGCCACTGGGGTATGAAAATAAAACTCCTGCAGCTAGCTTGGTGTCTGCCCAAACGGCCGCCTAGTTTTGTGCTTGAAATCCAGGGCCCTGGTGGCGTAGGCACCTGAGGGAATCTCCTGGTCTATGAGTTGCGAAGACCGTGGGGAAAGCGTAGTATCTGGGCCAGAGTGCACTGTCCCTCATGGCACAGTCCCTCACGGCTTTCCTTGGCTAGGGGAGGGAGTTCCCTGACTCCTTGTGCTTCCCTGGTGAGCCAATGCCCAACCCTGCTTCAGCTCACCCTCCATGGGCTATACCCACTGTCTAACCAGCCCCAATGAGATGAGCTGGGTACCTCAATTGGAAATGCAGAAATCATCTGCCTTCTGCGTTGATCTCGCTGGGAGCTGCAGACCAGATCTGTTCCTATTTGACCATCTTGCCAGCCACCGATCGGAGTTTTGCTCTTTTGCCCAGACTGGAGTGCAGTGATGCGATCTCAGCTCACTGTAACATCCGCCTTCCGGTTTCAAGCTGTTCTCCTGCCTCAGCCTCCCGAGCAGCTGGGATTACAGGTGCCCACCACCATGCCCATCTAATTTTTGTATTTTTATTAGAAATGGGGTTTCACCATGTTTGCCAGGCTAATCTTGAACTCCTGACCTCGTGATCTGCCTGCCTTGGCCTCCCAAAATGTTGGGATTACAGGTGTGAGCCACTGTGCCTGGCCCAAAGTCCCATTCTTACTCTCTTGGAGTTTTTTCAGCATTCAGGATACCTTGCATAAACTAAACTTTTTCTTGAAAATCAGTTGCTTCTATAATTGAAATAGAGGGCTCTCCCTGAGAGTCAAGCATTCTACCCAAATGAGATAATCTGCCTCTGTGAAAATCTTAGGGGACCCTGGAGATAAATTTTATTTTAAAATGATGGGCGAGCACTTTTTTATTAAAGCAAACAATTTTGTTTCCCTCTGCAAAAGAGGTTATGTATGTAATGCAGCTAGAGCTTATCTGCAGGATTTAGGCAGTCCACTAATAGACCTGCAATTTAGTCTTGGTCCTTCGACCCTAGGCCCCATCGTATAGTCTAGCCTGTCTTAACTTGGTCCAGGACATAGACTCCAGCTCACTAACCAACATTTTCGCAAAGATTTTCTGTGAGTTCCAGCAGAAATAAGAGAGGAGCTGGTACCTTGTCTCTGGTAACTGTTAACATCACTTTCTTTTTCTACCCTGCTCTCTGGTCTGTCATTGTCAGTATACTTAAATTCCCTAAAAATTACGAGGGGCTAGAGAAATTAATAGTATTCTCTCTTTTTCTTTCTCTTTCTCACACATCCACAAAGAAAGCTAATGATTTCTGTGCCCTATGGATGAGGAGGCCAACAAATGGATGTTTAAGTGAAACTTTATAATCCTGTTGCCCTGCTAAGTTTTTCATCAGTATATTTTGTTGCATAACTCAAAACTGAAAATATAGACAGAATGAATTCAAATAGGGTTTAAAGCTAAATATATTTCATACTAGTGGTCAGACTGTCTTGACATGCTTCTACATATATGCCCAACACATCAGCTCTTACTCGGAAGCATTAAAGTGAAAGTCTTTTGAGAGATAGACACAGTGAAACTTTTACTTTAGATATATACTTTGGCCTGTGGTTAAACCTGCCTTTTTCATCTGAAAATAAGATCAGAAACTGCTGTTCTGTATATGCCATCCTTCATTATGTTCTGAGTCTAACTGTTAGGCTGTGGAAAATTTTTAATGTATCATCCTACAGAGTCTGGATAACAACAGTGAAAGAAAAGATCAGGTTCTTTAGAAAGTTTCACATTGTTTACAAGAAATTTGACTTCTTCTCTGCCTAAAAATACGTAGGACAAAGTAGAGCAGAATGACTGATGCGTCTCACATATCAAAAAAATCCTCTGTGAGGAGAGGAATGTGGAGAATTAAGTGAGATCAGAGGTAGAAGTTACAGTGTTTGGTAAAGTCATTTATTTATGCACCAAATGTTTATTTTTACACCTGCTATGTGCTTGTGCTGTTATAGGCTCTAGTAATATGGCAGTGGATAAAACACACAAAAATCCATGTTCTCATGAAGCTTACATAGTAGGGACAGACAGTAAATAGAAATAAGTAAATTGTATCATATTTGAAGGGATAAGTGTTATGGAATAGAAAAAGTAAAGCATAAGGGAGATTTGCTGTGCTAAATAAGATTGTCAGGGTAGGCCTTACTGAGAAGGTACACCTACTGTGGGGCTACCTTCCAGGGAAGAGACTTAATTTGTCCCATCCTCTCATCCTTTGATCTCTAAATGATTTCTAAATTAATGAGGTGGAGCCAAGGGATCAAATTACTGGCAGCCATGTCACCCTTATTTACTTAAGGATAAATAAAAAAAACTAGATAAAGAAAGAAAGAAAGCCTTTACAGTGACCAGATGACAGACGATGGTGGCTTGGATTCTGGCTATCTTCTAAAGGTAAAGCTGTGCTTATTTTGTTTCTGGTATGGTGGAGTAAGCCCCTGACAGTCTGGCCCTCCTACAGTTAACACTGAGCAAAATCCAAAAACTACCTGACGGTGCTGCCAAATGAATAAAGCAGGCAGATATTGTAAGGCAGTAAAAAGTTGGAGAAAAAGATCAACATGAGGTGAATTTTCTGTTTTTTGTGGTTTTGATCTGAAAGTGAGCTGTAGTCCTAGCATAGTATAGAGTGTCTGAAACTCCATTAGAAAGCCTGCCATATTTTTAGCCTGAGGAACCAAGAGATGGAACCTGGGGCAAGTATGGCCACCAGAGGGAGTTCTGGAGAGAAGAGAGCAGGAAATGGGAATCTCAAATTCTATGTATGAGCTCTACCCATGTCACTGGCTCACCTCTGAACCATGCGTATCCAAGGCAGACGCAAAGCAGCTAGCAACAAAGGCTAAAAGAAAACTGTGATTTGACCCACCACAGGAGAAATGGAGATTATAGATTAAGTCTAATCAAGTTAATTCACCATTAAAACAAAAATACTAATTCTCTTCAGAATATAGCAGAATTCAGATTCTCTACAATGTAACATTTACAAGGTCCAGGATAAAATCCAAAGTTATGGGATAACCAGAAAAATTAGTTACTTCAACAAAGCAATAGCTAAATTTAATTTATCTTTTTTTTTTTTTTGAGATAGGATCTTGCCCTGTTGCTCAGGCTGGAGTACAATGGCACAATCATGGCTCACTGCAGCCTCAGTTTCCTGGGCTCAAGTGATTCTCCTGCCTCAGCCTGCTGAATAGCTTGGACTACAGGTGCACGCCACCACGCCTGGCTAATTAAAAAAAAATTTTTTTTTTTTTGTAGAGATGACATCTTGCTATGTTGCCCAGACTGATCTCGAACTCTTGGCCTCAAGCGATTCTCCCACCTCTGCCTCCCAAAATGCTGGGATTATGGGCATGAGCTACCATGCTCGGCTTAGTCTTTCTTTTTTTTTTTTTTTTTTGAGACGGAGTCTCACTCTGTCGCCCAGGCCGGACTGCGGACTGCAGTGGCGCAATCTCGGCTCACTGCAAGCTCCGCTTCCCGGGTTCACGCCATTCTCCTGCCTCAGCCTCCCGAGTAGCTGGGACTACAGGCGCCCGCCACCGCGCCCGGCTAATTTTTTGTATTTTTAGTAGAGACAGGGTTTCACCTTGTTAGCCAGGATGGTCTCGATCTCCTGACCTCATGATCCACCTGCCTCGGCCTCCCAAAGTTCTGGGATTACAGGCGTGAGCCACCGCGCCCGGCCTCGGCTTAGTCTTTCTTAGAAAATTGCAAGGCGGTAGAGATCATCAGGATGCTGAAAAGGAAAATAGATAACTTGTGGTAGAATGATACTCCATTGTGAACAAAGTGGTGGTAAACTTTTGAAGATGTTTTTCAACTTACAGTGAAAACTAGAAAATAGCCATAATATGTACACACTAATTCCTCCCTCTGTTCCTTTTCCTTAGAATATTACTAATGTAAGCAAAAATGTTACAGAGCCTGCTATGAGCTGGTAACATTTATCAAATGAACAAATGACTTATTATAAACTCTCAAGATGGAGTTCCAGCATTAAATCTATAGTTGCAAAAAAGGCTTCGTGTAGAATCCAGCTGAATTCAGATTAAGGCATTCTAGGCTTTCTCCCATTTCTACTCCTGCCTCAAAGCCAGGCTCACAGAAAGCATGATTTAAACAGACAGTCACTTCCCCTCTGATCCCAGCATCCACTTGGCTAAATCTCACATTTGCAAAGTACCACTAAAGCTTTTCCAGAGTTGGGGATAAAGGAAAATATGAAGGAATCAAAGAAAATACAAGCTTGAAGTTTGTTACCTTTCTTGAACTTCTTTTAAAAAGTTTTGTTGTCATTAAAATATATTTAGCTGGGGAAATTTTAACTAATTTGTGTTTATCTGAAAACGTGGTACTTGGAGAAACAGCTCAACTGTAAGGCCTGTGGCTGGTGTCTTTGGAGTTACAATCATTGAGGGTCTCTGGACACAGACTTCTAGTGACCGGAGGTGTTTCTGTCAGAGCCAGAGCATTTATTCATAAACTGAGGATTATTTTCTCTACTTTTACATTTACAAAGCAATGTAAAATATCTGCCTGGCTGTAGATCAGGATTTATTAAAGATCATCTCAAGACAGAGCAAGATTTTAAAAACTGGATATTTTAATCTTCACATGGAAGTGAAGAACACAAGGTACTGGATTCTGTCAGCAAATCAATCAGTATGTCAGGATTTGTATTTTGAGGAATGTGCTAAATGGTGTTTAAAAACAAAGTCTGGATCAGTATATCAGGGTTTATATTTTGAGGAATGTGCTAAATGATGTTTAAAAACAAAGTCTGGAGACTCATGAGAGAGAATGGAAAATTGAGTGACATATATGTATACTTGCTGTCCATGGAGTAAGCTGTGTGGCTGTTGTTAGGGTAACTAGAAATCAGCTACAAAAGAACAGAAGAAATAGTGTTGTAGAAATAGCACAAACAAAAGGAAGCCCTGAGACGAGATGGCTCCTTTGCAGTGCATGGGAACCAGGAGTCCAATAATTATGACTCATTAGAAAAGGTTAAATGGTATGAGAGAAAAATAGAAATTTAGAATTTCAAATATAAAATATATACAATTATGAGTTTTTAAAAATCAGTTCTTGGTTAGAAAAGGGAAAATATTTTGTTGATGTGTAAACTTCTAATGGCATCTAGAGATATGGCTGCTGGTTTCTGAGAAGGAATGCTCCAAATATGTTTCCCTCTGAGCACATTTAGAACAGAGACTCCCTTGGAAATAGATTCTGCCAGTTGTTTACCTTGAACTCAATTGTCATTAAAACTACTATTCCCCTCCCACTGCAGGAAAGCCACAATACACTTTATATGGACTCTTCAAATCAAAATTGTAAAACTCTTTATTAAATGTCTACCTGCTTGTTGCTATTAAGTTTTGAACCTAAATATATAAAACGATATCTTTTTCTTTCAAGGGGCTCTAATGGAAAATATAAATATTTCAGCACCCCAAGACATAGAATGGAGAGAAATATATAGCAGATGTACTAAACCAATGGTGGTGCAGGCCCAAGAGCTGTGCTACAATGAGAGCCTGTGCTACAATGAGACTACAGAGCAAAGTAGGTGACATGCTCATGCACAAAAAAGGGAATAGAACAGAAGAGATAAATTCTAGCATCTCAAAAAGTGAAAGCAAAGCTAGTTTATAAATGGCACAGGAAAATGAGCCTTATTGTCGTCCTGTTTATTCAACAAAAATCATTTTACCTTTCTTGATTATCTACCTTTACCAAACTTAGCCCTGAATTACTTTCTGTCATTTCTAATAAATCTACCCTCAAAAAATTGATAAGCTACTCCCAAGATACTTAAGCCATGTGCAATAGTCTCATAGAAGGTTCAAAACAATTCTCCAAATGCTTAAAGCAGGTTGACTCTATTTAGTGCCTACAATGTGCCAGGTCCTATTCTAAGTCCCAGATATCAGTGAAAACTAGTAAAATACCTCTGCCTTCAAGGACTTAATATAAATCTATTGCCTTATGTGTACAAAGGAAGGATACATTTCTTTGGCCAAGTTGGACTCTGTGAGCTTCCTGAGCTATGTTTGTGCTCAAGGAGAAAAAAAACTGGGAGGATATTCACTTATCCAACTACACAATGGGATGAGCCCTGTTCTAATGTCCTGGGGATATACTAGGGAGCTAGACAGCAATATTTCTACCCATAATGGGGGATGAGGGAGAAGCAGACAAAAAACAGGATGAGTAAGTAAAATATGCGACATGTTCAATTATTTATATACAGATATTATATGTATTAGAAAAATAAAGCAGAGAAGGGAGCTAGAACATGGGATAGGGGAAATTTTTGATAGGATAAATGAGGAGGGAGTTTTACTCAGAGGATGACAATTGAGTAAAGACCTAAAAGAATTGGGGCAACAATCAGGTGAATATTTTGGAAAAGAAGTTTCCATGTACAGGGAACCACAGCAACTTCAGAAGCTCTCAGGCAGAAGCATGAGCCTGAGGACAGCAAGGATACCAGTGTCATTGGAACAAAACGAACAAGGACATAGGACAAAGTAGACCGTGAAGTCAGAGAAACAAATGTCTGGCCTTGGCGAGGGAGTGGTAGAGAACTGTGGGGTTTTGAAGGCTATTGTAAATGCTTTGGATTTTACTTTAAGTGAAATGGGGACCATTGAAGGTTTCTGAGGGGAAGAGGGACATGTTCTGACTTGGGTTTTAACCTGTTCACTGTAGTAGCCATGTTGACAGTGAATTGTGGGAAATGCAGGCAAAAACAAGACCAGTTGGGAGACTTAATATAATAATATCAGGAGAGATTGGGTTTGGACCAGTGGCAGCAGTAAAATGGCTTTATATGAAAATGTTAACAGTGATTATGATTGCCTCTGAGTGAACAATTTTAGTGGGATTGTGGACAATTATAGCTTTCTGCTTTTGCTTTTAAGTAATTCCCAGATTTACTTTAGTAAACACTTATAATCTGAGAAAAATATATAAACAACAATGAAGAGTTGCTCAGGGTATTGTCAGAACGTCTAGGAGGATTTCCCATTACTTTTTTAATTTTTAAAATGTTTTTAATATTTTTGAGACAGGGTCTTGCTCTGTCTCCCAGGCTGGAGTGAAGTGGTAGAATCACAGCTCATTGCAGCGTTAACCTCCTAGGCTCAAGTAATCCTCCAACCCCAGCCTCCTGAGTAGCGGGACTACGGGTGTACACCACCGCACCTAGCTAATGAGAATTTCCCATTTATTCCTGAGGGTTAGGAAAAGTTTTCTGGAAGAGATAATGGGAAAGCATGAGTACTCCTACTAATCTTTGCAGTGAGGGGCAGAAGGTATTCCAAGCAAAGGAGAGAGTGTGAATAAAGACTTGGGAAATAAGCAGTGGCAGGAAGCACCACAAGCATTTGATGTTGTTATAGTATGAATGGTGAAATCAGAGATGAGGGAAAAGAGTGTTCTGTGCCAACTAAGGGTCTTGGGCCTTATGTATAAAGAAGATGATAAAGAACATGATTGAATTTTAAGGAGGGGCCTGGCATAGTCATCTTTAAATATCAAATCATCCCTCCAATGGTGAGGATCTCATAGTGCACAGATAATGTGCAGAGGTTGGGTCTGAAGTTTAAATAGTTTCTAATAAAGTTAAGCATATGCCTACTCTGTTTCAGCAGTTCTGCTCCTAGGTGTATACCCAAGAGAAACAAGACATGTGCCCATAAAAAAGACAAACAAGAATGTTCATTGAAGCTTTGTTCATCATAGCCAAAAATTGGAAACAAATCACATATCAACAGGAGAATTGATAAATAATTGTATCTATATACATACATTGTATCTATATATAATGGAATACTACTTAACCATAAAGAATGAAGTATTGATACAGCAACATGAATGAATCTTGAAAGCATTATGTTGTGTGAAAGAAGCCAGACACAGACTCCTGCTCCAAGATGGCCAATTAGATGGAGCCAGAAGAACATTTCCCACTGACATCCCGACATTGGGAAGATGGTTGCACTCCTAGCACATCTTCAGAGGGAAGACATTGCAAGCAAATGGAGGGAAGACATAGAGGCTGGATTGAAGGGGGAAGAAGCTGGGAATTCTGCATGGGGCTACCATGCACCAGGATTCATTCCTGACCTTCAGCAACTCCTGCAGAGGGGGTGAGTTGAACAGACAAGGAACAATCTGCTCTTGCCACAGGCCCCACAAATCCTGGCAGGGAGAGATCCCTCAACCACCACAGACACTTATGTTGACAGGGAAAGCTGCTTAGAGAAGTAGTAGGGGCAGAACTCTGGTCAGGGTGGAGCCCAGAGGGTTTGGTGTGGGAGCATCTGTAGTGGAGCATGGCCAGAGATGCCTCTCCCGCTAGGCTTCACTTGCTCCAATAGGAGACTTTAGCCCCTAGAGGAACTGTCTGACCTGAACTCTGCAAGGTGATCTGGCCCATGAGATAGAGCCGGGTCAGACCTGAGCACCCCTCAGTTGGCTAGCCTCTCCCAGGGCCCCAGCCTGGCTGTGCCTGCATCAGTGCAGCCCTCAGGTAATTTGTGGGTACCCACATCATAGCTCCTGCACTGGCAGGCCACGCTTGGTCGGCAGAGAGCTCCAGCATAGCAGCCCCCACTGACAGGCTGCAGCCCACCCACACCCTTCCTCCACTGCAGCCTCCCCATGCCACTTTGCCTGCACACACGTCACCATGGCCGCTCTCTATATCACTTTGCAGGCATGTGTGTGTGTGCGTGCACCCTGCCATGCCACACCTGCCTACATGAGTGTCCTTGCCCTTGCTTCCCCCTGCCACACCGCCATTGTTTTCAGAATGTTGGTGGGCTCCTTTCCTCACCAGTGCCTTGCCCCTGCACCAGGGGTGCTGGCATAAAACTAGGCATGGAAAATAGTGGACTTGCCCCTAGCCCTGAGCAGCCACTGCTGCCGGCATCAACGCATACAGTGGATACACACAGTCCTGCTCCCACCAGTACCCTGCCCCCGTGCTAACACCACCATTGTGCAAATGTGAGCATAGTCACTAATAGGAGGGGGTGCCCCCCCCAGCCATACTTCAAATGCTTGAATGGAAGCTGGCACCTCAGTACCCACTAGCACCCTGCCCCAGCAGACAAGTGTGCTCCCCACTGCATTGCCGCTGCCATTGGCACATGAAAACAAGATCCCGCTGCCACCACCATATGAAGTACTTTGGTTGGCACCACCCAGCAGAGTGTTGTGACCAGCAGTCCCAGAGCACCTTGACCCCTCCAGTGCAGCAGATTCCTAATCTCAAGCCAGATTTCAAAGCCAAGCTTGATATCAGTTTCCAGAGTGAAACCAGACATTATAGAAGTCCTGAGCTGAGCCTTGGTCTCCTAAAATCTTCCAGTAATGAAGCTAGTTGACTGAACCCATCTTATATCACAATCAAACCCCCAAGGTCATTAAGTAGTATAAAAGGGAAAAAAAAACCATCCAAAGGATAGCAGGTTCAAATATTGAAGGAATATTAGCCCACAAAGATGAGAAAGAACCAGTGCAAGAACTCTGACAACTCAGAAAGCCAGAGTATCTTCTTTCCTCCAAACAATTGCAACAGTTCTCCAACAAGGGTTCTTAACTGGGCTGAGATGGCTGAAATGACAGAAATAGAATTCAGAATATGAATAGGAATGAAGATCATTGAGATTCAGAAGAACGTTGAAACACAATCTAAGGAAGCTAAGAATCACAGTAAAACAATACAGGAGCTGACAGACGAAATAGCCAGTATAGAAAAGAACATAACCAATCTGATAGAGCTGAAAAACACTCTAGAAGAAGTATTAACAGCAGAATAGACCAAGCTGAGGAGAGAATCTCAGAGCTTGAAGACTGGCTTTCTGAAATAAGACAGACAAGAATAAAGAAAAAAAGAATGAAAAGGAACAAACAAAACTTCCGATAAATATAGGATTATCAAGAGATTGAATCTGCAACTCACTGGCATCCCTGAAAGAGATCGGGAAAATGGAAAGAACTTGGAAAACGTATTTCATTATATCATCCATGAGAACTTCCCAACCTAGCTAGAGGGCCAACATTCAAATTCAGGAAATGCAGAAAACTCCCAGAAAATACTTCACAAGAGGATCATCCCCAGTACATGTAAGTCATCATATTCTTCAAGGTTGAAATGAAAGAAAAAATATTACAGGCAGCTAGAGAGAAAGGACAGCTCACCTACAAAGGGAAGCCCATCAAACAAATAGTGGACCTCTCAACAGAAACCCTACAAGCCAGAAGAGATTGAGGGCCAATATTCAACATTCTTTTTTTTTTTTTTTGAGACAGAGTCTTGCTGTGTTGTCCAGGCTGGAGTGCAGTGTCATGATCTTGGCTCACTGCAACCTCCACCTCCTGGGTTCAAGCAGTTCTCCTCAGCCTCCCAAGTAGCTGGGATTACAGGCACATGCCTGGCTAATTTTATGTTTCTAGTAGAGACAGGGTTTTGCCATGCTGGTATCATCATTCTTAAAAAAAGGAAATCTCAGCAAAGAATTTCATATCCAGCCAAACTAAGCTTCATAAGCAAAGGGGAAAGAAGATCCTTGTCAGGCAAGCAAATGCTGAGGAAATTAGTTACCACCAGACCTGCCTTACAAGAGCTTCTAAACGAAGCACTAAATATGGAAAGGAAAGACCATTGCCAACCACCACATACACACACTTAGGTACACAGACCAGTGACACTATAAAGCAGCCACACAAGTTAGCAAATAGCTTAAACAAATAAACACGAACACAGGATAAAATTTACACATTCACTACTAACCTTGGATGTAAATGGGCAAAATGCCCCAATTAAAAGGCACAGAGTAACAAGGTGGATAAAGAAGCAAGACCCAGTGGTATGCTGTCTTCAAGAGACCCATCTCACATTCATTGATACCCATAGGCTAAAAATAAAGGGATGGAGAAAAATCTACCAAGCAAATGGAAAACAGAAAAAAGCAGGGATTGCAATCCTGATTTCAGACAAAACAGATTTCACACCAACAAAGATCAAAAAGACAAAAGAGCATTATATAATGGTAAAGGGTTCAATTCAACAAGAAGACCTAACTATCCTAAATATATATGCGCTCAACACAGGAGCACTCAAATTCATAAAGCAAATTCTTAGAGACCTTCAAAGAAACTTAGACTCCCACACAACAATAGTGGGAGACTTCAACACCCCACTTACAGTGTTAGATCATCAAGGCAGAAAATTAGTGAAGATATGCAGGACCTGAACTCAACACTGGACCAAATGGATGTGATAGACATCTACAAAACTCCACCCCAAAACAACAGAATATACATTCTTATCTGCACATGGCACATACCCTAAAATTAACTACACCGTTAGACATAAAACAATCATCAGCAAATACAAAGCAAGCAAAGTCACATCAACCACTTTCTCAAACCACAGAGCAATAAAAATAGAATTCAAGAATAGGAAAATCTCTCAAAATCACACAATTACAGGGAAATTGGACAACTTGCTCCTGAATGACTTTTAGGTAAATAATGAAATTAAGGTGGAAATCAAGTTCTTTGAAACTAATGAGAACAAAGATACAACATATGAGGATCTCTGGAACACAGCTAAGACAGTGTTAAGAGGGAACTTTATTGCACTAAACACTCATATCAAAAAGCTAGAAAGATCTCTAACAACCTAACATCACAACTAAAAGAACTAGAAAAGCAAGAGCAAACCAACCTCAAAGCTAGCAGAAGATAACCAATACCAAAATCAGATCTGAAGTGAAGAAGATTGAGACACAAAAAAATTCAAAAGATCAATGAATCAAGATGATTTTTTGAAAAAAATAATAAAATAGTCCATTAGCTAGACTAATAAGAAAAGAGAGAAGACCCAGCCAGATGAAATGGCTCATGTCTGTAATCCCAGTACTTTGGGAGGCCAAGTCCAGAGGTCCAGGTGGACCACTGGAACCTGGGAATTTGAGACCAGCTTAGGCAACATGGCAAAACCCCATCTCTACAAAAAATACTAAAATTAGCCAGTCATGGTGGCACACACCTGTAGTCCCAGCTACTCGTGAGGCCAAAGTGGAAGGATTGCTTGGATCTGAGAGGTAGAGGTTACAGTAAGCCAAGATCATACCACTGCACTCAAGCCTGGGTAACAGAGTGAACTCTGTCTCAAAAAAAAAAAATTCAAATAAACACAATCTGAAATGACAAAGGGAATATTACCACTCACCGCATAGAAATACAGGTAACAACCAGAGAGTATTTTGAACACCTCTGTGCATGCAAACTAAAAAATTCAGAACAAATGGATAAATTCCTGGGTACATACACCCTCCCAAGACTGAACTAGGAAGAAATTGAATCCCTGAACAGACAAATGACAAACTCCAAAACTGAATCAGTAATAAATAGCCTACCAGCCAAATAAATAAATAAATAAATAAGCTCTAGACCAGACGGATTCACAGCCAAATTCTACAGATATACAAAGAAAAGCTGGTGCCATTCCTCTGAAACTATTCCCAAAAAATGAGAAGAGACTCCTCCCCAACTCATTCTATGAGGTCAGCATCATTCTGATACCAAAACCTGGCAGAGACACACCACCACCACCACCAACAACAACAGACACTTCAGGCCATTATCCTTGATGAACATTGATGCAAAAATCCTCAACAAAATACTAGCAAACCAAATCCAACAGCACACCAAAAAGCTTATCCACTGTGATCAAGTAGGCTTTATCTCTGGTATGCAAGGTTGATTTCAACATACTCAGATGAATAAATGTGATTAAACACATAAATAGAACTAAAGATAAAAACCCCATGATTATCTCAATAGATGCGGAAAAGGCTTTCAAAAAAATTCAACATTTCTTCATGTTAAAAACTCTCAATGAACTAGATATTGGAGGAACATACCTCAAAATAATAAGAGCCATCTATGACAAACCCACAGCCAACCTCATACTGAATAGACAAAAGTTGGAAGCATTCCACTTGAAAACTGGCACAAGGATGTCCTCTCTCACCATTCATATTGAACAGATTGTTGGAAACCTGACCAGAGCAATTAGGGAGAACAAAGAATTAAAAGGCCTCTACGTAGGAAGAGAAGAAGTCAGTCTATCTCTGTTTTCAGATGACATGGTTCTATTCTAGAAAACCCCATAATCTCGGCCCAAAAGCTCCTTAAGCTGATAAACAACTTCAGCAAAGTTTCAGAATACAAAATCAGTGTACAAAAATCACTAGTATTCCTATACCCAACAACAGCTAAGCTGAGAGCCAAATCAGGAAGGTAGTCCCATTCACAATTGCCACACACAAAAATAAAGTATGTAGGAATACAGCTAATCAAGGAGGTGAGAGATCTCTACAATGAGAATTACAAAACACTGTTCAGAGAAATCAGAGATGACACAAACAAATGGAAAAACATTCCATGCTCATGGATAGGAAGAATCAGTATTGTTAGAATAGCCAAGGCAATCCTAAGCAAAATGGACAAAGCAGGAGACATCATGCTACTCTACTTTGTTGTTTTAAATACACTAACTTTAAAATATACTACAAGGCTGCAGTAACCAAAACAGCATAGTATTGGTACAAAAACAGACACATAGACCAGTGGAACAGAATAGAGAGACCAGAAATAAGGCTATACACCTACAACTATCTGCTCTTTGACAAAGCTGACAAAAATAAGCAATGGGGAAATGATTCCTTATTCAAGAAATGGTGCTGGGATACCTGCTTAACCATATGCAGAAGATTGAAACTGAACCCCTTCCTTATACCATATGTAAAAATCAACTCAAGATGGATTAAAGACTTAAATATAAAAACCCTGGAAGACAACCTAGGCAATACCATTGTGTACATGGGAACAGGCAAAGATTTCATGATGAAAACACCAAAAGCAATTGCAACAAAAGCAAAAATTGACAAATGGGATCTATTTAAAGAGCTTCTGCATGGGAAAAGAAACTATCAACAGAGTAAACAGACAACCTACAGAATAAGATAAAATTTTTGCAACCTGTGCACCCGACAAAGGTCTAATATCCATCTATAAGAAACTTAACACATTTACAAGAAAAAAACAACTTCAATATAAAGTAGGCAAAGGACATGTACAGTCACTTTTCAAAAAAAGACATACACGTGGCCAAGAAGCATATGAAAAATTCAGCATCACTGATCATTAGAGAAATGCAAATCAAAACCACAATGAGATACCATCTCACACCAGTCAGAATGGCTACTATTTAAAAGTAAAAAATAATAATAATAACAGATGGTGGTGAGGTTGTGGAGAAAAGGGAACACTTATACACTGTTGGTGGGAGTGTAAATTAGTTCAACCATTGTGGAAAGTAGTGTGGCAGTTCCTCAAAGACCTAAAAACAGAACTACCATTTGACTAAGCAATCCCATTACTGGGTACATACCCAGAGGAATATAAATCATTCTGTTATAAAGACACATGCATGCATATGTTCATTGTAGCACTAATAAATTTTTTGGAAAAAAGAATAGAGAAAAAATTATAAGTAAAAAAGCCAGACTCAAAAGGATACATATTGAATGATTTTGTTTATGTAAAGTTCAAGAATAGGCAAACCTGAACTATAGTCATGGTTGGTAGTATTCACTAGAAAGATCACAACAGAACCTTTTAGATGGTGGAATTAATTCTGCATCATGATATGCCATGGTGATTCCCTAAGCAAAAATTCATCAAGTTGTATACTTAGATTTGTGCCTATTGCCATATGTAAACTGTACTTTGGTACATTAAGAGAGAAAAAGAAAGATGGCATAGTTTGCAACCTGGATAGTGGAAGTGACAATAAAGATAAAAGGACACATTCAAGAGACTTGTTTTTAGAGGTATGTGAAGTGGGAGGGGCGACTGTTGAGTGTATGTAGAAGCCATTAGCCACAGGAGGGTATGCAAAAGGAGTGGACAGGTTTTAAACCAGGAGTTCTTAATCTTAAATGCACATACAATTAAAGTTTTTAATATCCTGGCCACTCTACAGATTAATTAAAACAGGATTTCTCAGATGATTTCAATGTGTAGGAAAGGTGAAGAACTAGTGCCTGTGACAGCTGAGCTCAAGGACTCTGTTGGATTTTGGGTAGAGCTGCTACATCTAAAAGGTATTAAGAGGGTATTATAAGTAATTTGTTACTAATACAGTGCTGATTTGAAAAACATTTACTTCTTATAAATTTGAGTGGATTTGAGATTATATCTATAATATTCTTCTTGTTTATTTATTCAAAACACATTGTATGCCCACCATATATAAGATATTGTTCCAGCTGCTGGGGATTCAGCATAAAACAAGACAGAGAAAATCCCTGTATTCTTGTAGTTTATGTTCTAGAGGGGGAGATAGAGGATAAATATATATATATATAACTGGCATGAGGTAAATTCTTCAAAGAAAATGAAGCAATGAGAATCACAGAAATAGGGCATGGCACTTTTTAAAGTAGGGCAGTTAGGCATGACCTCTCTAAAGAGGTGACACTGACTCTGCAGGTTATTAAAACATTGAACATTTCAGGACCCCAGTGACTGACCCCACAACAATTCCCCTTCAGTTGCCAAACTCTGGGCTTCCTCAGCCATTGACCTCTAGAAGACCCCAGTAATCTACTGGTATTGGCCCCCACATACTATTGCTAGAAGCTGTACCATCACTAAAACTCTGAAGCTTCTCGAACATTAATCCACGTACCAGAAACACTAATCCACCCTGACTCCAGAGCTGCTGACAGCTTCCCTTGGACTATAAATCAGACAGACTTCCAGTCATAAGACACTGAGACACTGCAAGACCCCAGATAAATCACTGGACTCACATAGATGTCTCCATCAGTGATCTAATATACCTGTTAATCCCTCATACCCCAACACTGATACTCAGAATTTTCCTGTATTCTGCAGTGCCCAGTAGTTCAACAAATCTTTTGTCATTATAGTTCTTTCAAACCTTGCTATTTGAAGTTTGATTCAAAGACAAATAGCGTCAACAAAATTTGAGAGTTTGTTAGAAATTGATTGTCACGGCCTGTAATCTCAGCACTTTGGGAGGCTAAGGAGGGAGGATCACTTGAAACCAGGAGTTTGAGATCAGCCTGGGCAACAAGCAAGACCCCATCTCTACAAAAAATAAGAATTAGCAAGGCATGGTGGCACATGCTTGTAGTCCCAGGTACTTGAGAGGCTGAGGTGGGAGGATGACTTGAGCCCTGGAGGTCGAGGTTGCAGTGAGCCATGATTGCATCACTGCGTTCAAGTCTGGGCAACAGAGCAAGACCCTGTCTCATAAAAAAAAAAAATGCCTGAATGATTGGAATGGTAGATATATAGAAAGAAGTCTAGGCCAGAGATTTAGATATTAGCAATCAATGATTGTTGACATCAGAACAGTGCGCCAAATAACCAAGGGGGAATATTTTAGATAAAGAATTGGATGAAGGAAAAAGGAAGAAGACCTAGCTAAGTAGACTGTAAAGGAGCAGTCAGACGGGAGAATCAGTAGAAGCCAACAAAGGAAACATTTCAAGAGCAGAGATAGGGTGAGGCAGGGACGCTTCCTGTGGCCAACATTATTTCACACCAGCATCAATGCCAGAGGCTGCAGAGGAATGACACAATGATAGGATTGGATATGGAGGCCATCAGTGGAGATTTTAGTTTAAATAAAGTGTTTTGAATTTTTGGATAAGTAGAAACTTAACCAAAGTTGGCTGAGGAATGAAAGAGCAGTGTAGGAATATAGAGGCAGAAATGAGGATACCTCTGTAGAAGTTTGGTGAAAAACAAAATGGACAGGGTTAGGGAAGGCTTTTTTGTTGTTGTTGTTTCTTTGTTTTTATTGTTATTTTACTTTAAGTTCTGGGATGCATGTGCAGAACATGCAGGTTTGTTACATAGGTATACATGTGCCATGGTGGTTTGCTGCACCCATCAACCTGTCATTTACATTAGGTATTTCTCCTAATGCTTTCCTTCCCCTTGCCCCCCAACCCCCAACAGGCCCCAGTGTGTGATGTTCCCCTCCCTGTGCCCATATTTTCTCATTGTTCAGCTCCCACTTACGAGTGAGAACGTGCGGTGTTTGGTTTTCTGTTCCTGTGTTAGTTTGCTGAGAATTATGGTTTCCATCTTCATTCATGTCCCTGCAAAGGACATGAACTCACCCTTTTTTATGACTGCATAGTATTCCATGTTGTATATGTGCCACATTTTCTTTATCCAGTCTATGATTGTTTGGCATTTGGGTTGGTTATCTATTGTGAATAGTGCTGCAATAAACATATGTGTGCATGTGTCTTTATAGTAGAATGATTTATAATCCTTAGGGTATATACCCAGTAATGGGATTGCTGGGTCAAATGGTATTTCTAGTTGTAGATCCCTGAGGAATCGCCACACTGTTTTTCCCAATGGTTGAACTACTTTACACTCCCACCAACAGTGCGAAAGCGTCCCTATCTTTCCACATCCTCTCAAGCATCTGTTGTTTCCTGACTTTTTAATGATCGTCATTCTAACTGGCATGAGATGGTATCTCACTGTGGTTTTGATTTGCATTTCTCTAATGACCAGTGATGATGAGTTTTTTTCATATGCTTGTTGACTGCATAAATGTCTTCTTTTGAGAAGTGTCTGTTGATATCCTTTGTTCACTTTTTGATGGGGTTGTTTGTTTTTTTCTTGTACATTTGTTTAAGTTCCTTATAGATTCCGGATATTAGCCCTTTGTCAGATAGGTAGATGGGAAAAATTTTCCCCATTCTGTAGGTTGCCTGTTCACTCTGATGATAGTTTCTTTTGCTGTGCAGAAGCTCTTTAGCTTAATTAGATCCCATTTGTCTATTTTGGCTTTTGTTGCCATTGCTTTTGGTGTTTTAGTCATGAAGTCTTTGCCCATGCCTATGTCTTGAATGATATTGCCTAGATTTTCTTCTAGGGTTTTTATGGTTTTAGGTCTTATGTTTAAGTCTTTAATCCATCTTGAGTTAATTTTTGTATAAGTCGTAAGGAAGGGATCCAGTTTCAGTTTTCTGCATATGGCTAGCCAGTTTTCACAACAGCATTTATTAAATAGGGAATCCTTTCCCTATTGCTTGTTTTTGTCAAGTTTGTCAAAGATCAGATGGTTGTAGATGTGTGGTGTTATTTCTGAGGCCTCTCTTCTGTTCCATTGGTCTATATCTCTGTTTTGGTACCAGTACTGTGCTGTTTTGGTTACTGTCACCTTGTAGTATAGTTTAAAGTCAGGCAACGTGATGCCTCCATCTTTGTTCTTTTTGCTTAGAATTGTCTTGGCTATATGGGCTCTTTTTTGGTTCCATATGAAACTTAAAGTAGTTTTTTCTAGGCCAGACGTGGTGGCTCATGCCTGTAATCCTAGCACTTTGGGAGGCCAAGGTGGGCAGATCATGATGTCAGGAGATCAAGACCATCCTGGCTAACACAGTGAAACCCCGTCTCTACTAAAAATACAAAAAATTAGCTGGGCGTGGTGGTGGGCACCTGTAATCCCAGCTACTCGGGAGGCTGAGGCAGGAGAATGGTGTGAACCCGGGAGGTGGAGCTTGCAGTGAGCTGAGATCGCGCCACTGTACTCCAGCCTGGGCTACAGAGTGAGACTCCATCTCAAAAAAAAAAAAAAAAAAAAAAGGGTAGTTTTTTTCTAATTCTGTGAAGAAAATCAATGGTAGTTTGATGGGAATAGCATTGAATCTATGAATTACTTTGAGTATTATGGCCATTTTCACGATATTGATTCTTCCTATCCATGAACATGGAATTTTTTCCATTTGTTTGTGTCCTCTCTTATTCCCTTGAGCAGTGGTTTGTAGTTCTCCTTGTAGAGGTCCTTCACATTTCTTGTAAGTTGTATTCCTGGGCATTTTATTCTCTTAGTAGCAATTTTCAACGGGAGTTCACTCGTGATTTGGCTCTCTATTTGTTTATTATTGGTGTATAGGAATGCTTGTGATTTTTGCACATTGATTTTGTATCCTGAGACTTTGCTGAAGTTGCTTATCAGCTTAAGAAGTTTTTGGGCTGAGACGATGAGATTTTCTAAATATACCATCATGTAATCTGCAAACAGAGACAATTTGACTTCCTCTCTTTCCATTAGAATATCCTTTATTTGTTTCTCTTGCCTTATTACCCTGGCCAGAACTTCCAATACTATGTTGGATGGGAGTGGTGAGAGAGGGCATCCTTGTCTTGTGCCAGTTTTCAAGGGGAATGCGTCCAGCTTTTGCCCATTCAATATGACATTGGCTGTGGGTTTGTCATAAATAGTTCTTATTATTTTAAGATATTTTCCATAAATACCTAGTTTATTGAGTGCTTTTAGTATGCAGGGCTGTTGAATTTTGTTGAAGGCCTTTTCTGCATCTATTTAGATAATCATGTGGTTTTTGTCATTGGTTCTGTGTATGTGATGGATTACATTTATTTATTTGTGTATGTTGAATCAGCCTTGCCTCCCAGGGGTGAAGCTGACTTGATTGTGGTGGATAAGCTTTTTGATATGCTGCTGGAATTGGGCTTCCTAGTATTTTATTGAGGATTTTTGCATCGATGTTCATCAGGGATATTGGCCTGAAATTTTCTTTTTTTATTGTGTCCCTGCCAGGTTTTGGTATAAGGGTGATGCTGGCCTCATAAAATGAGTTAGGGAGGAGTCCTTCTTTTCATGTTGTTTGGAATAAGTTCAGAAGGAATGGTAGCAGCTCCTCTTTATACCTCTAGTAGAAATCGGCTGTGAATCCATCTGATCCTCGGGTTTTTTTGGTTGGTAGGCTGTTAATTACTGCCTCCATTTCAGAACTTGT
The DNA here is from genome assembly GCF_000001405.40 of Homo sapiens. Lineage (NCBI taxonomy): Eukaryota > Metazoa > Chordata > Mammalia > Primates > Hominidae > Homo > Homo sapiens. Next base: position 51,117,648 of record NC_000003.12, read on the forward strand.
TGGTCTATTCAGGGATTCACCTTCTTCCTGGTTTAGTCTTGGGAGAGTGTATGTGTCTAGGAATTTATCCATTTCTTCTAGGTTTTCTAGTTTATTTGCTTTTAGGTGTTTATAGTATTCTCTGATAGTAGTTTGTATTTCTGTGGGATCAGTGGTGATCAACCCTTTATAATTTTTAATTGTGTCTGTTTGATTATTCTCTCTTTTATTCTTTATGAGTCTGGCTAGCAGTCTATTTTGTTAATCTTTTCGAGAAACCAGCTCCTGGATTCATTGATTTTTTGAAGAGAATTTTGTGTCTCTGTCTCCTTCAGTTCTGTTCTGATCTGAGTTATTTCTTGTTTTCTGCTAGCTTTTGAATCTGTTTGCTCTTGCTTCACTAGTTGTTTCAATTGTGATGTTAGGGTGTCAGTTTTAGATCTTTCCTGTTTTCTCCTGTGGGCATTTAGTGCTATAAATTTCTCTCTAAACACTGCTTTAGCTGTATCCCAGAGATTCTGGTACATTGTATCTTTGTTCTCATTGGTCTCATGGAACTTTTTTATTTCTACCTTAATTTCATTATTTACCCAGTAGTCATTCAGGAGCAGGTTGTTCAATTTCCATGTAGTTGTGCAGTTTTGAGTGAGTTTCTTAATCCTGTGTTCTAATTTGATTGCACTGTAGACTGAGATACTGTTTGGCATGATTTCCATTCTTTTGCATTTGCTGAGGAGTGCTTTACTTCCAGTTATGTGGTCAATTTTCGAATAAGTGCTATGAGATGCTGAGAAGAATGTATATTCTGTTGATTTGGGGTAGAGAGTTCTGTCTATGTCTATTAGGTTTGCTTGGTCCAGAGCTGAATTCAAGTCCTGAATATCCTTGTTAATTTTCTGTCTCGTTGATCTGTCTAATATTGACAGTGGGGTGTTAAAGTCTCCCACTATTATTGTGTGGGAATCTAAGTCTCTTTGTAGATCCCTAAGAACTTGCTTTATGAATCTGGGTGCTTCTGTATTGGGTGCATATATATTTAGGATAGTTACCTCTTCTTGTTGCATTGATCCCTTTACCATTATGTAATACCCTGCTTTGTCTTTTTTTTATCTTTGTTGGTCTTGATCGTGTTGGTTAAAGTCTGTTTTATCAGAGACTAGGATTACAACCCATTTTTTTTTTTGCTTTCCATTTGCTTGGTAAATATTCCTCCATCCCTTTATTTTGACCCTATGTGTGTTTTTGCACATGAGATGGGTCTTCTGAATATAGCACACTGATGGGTCTTGACACTTTATCCAGTTTGCCAGTCTGTGCCTTTTAATTGGGGCATTTAGCCCATTTACATTTAAGGTTAGTATTGTTATGTGTTAATTTGAACCTGTCATTATGATGCTAACTGGCTATCTTGCCCATTAGTTGATGCAGTTTCTTCATAGTGTCCATGGTCTTTACATTTTGGTTTGTTTTGCAGTGGCTGATACCGGCTTTTCCTTTCCATAGTTAGTGCCTCCTTCTGTAAGGCAGGCCTGGGTAGTGACACAATCCCTCAACATTTGCTTGTCTGTAAAGAATTATATTTCTCCTTCACTTATGAAGCTTAGTTTGGCTGGGTATGATATTCTGGGTTGAAAATTCTTCTCTTTAAGAATGTTGAATATTGGCCCCCACTCTCTTCTGGCTTATACGGTTTCTACAGAGAGATCTGCTGTTAGTCTGATGGGCTTCTCTTTGTGGATAACCTGACCTTTCTCTCTGGCTGCCCTTAACATTTTTTCCTTCATTTCAACCTTGGTGAATCTGACGATTGTGTGTCTTCGGGTTGTTCTTCTCAAATAGTATCTTTGTGGAGTTCTCTGTATTTCCTGAATTTGAATGTTGACCTGTGTTGCTAGGTTGGGAAAGTTCTCCTGGATAATATCCTGATGTGTGTTTTCCAACATGGTTCCATTCTCCACATCACCTTCATATACACCAATCAAATGTAGGTTTGGTCTTTTCACATAGTCCCATATTGGAGGCTTCGTTTGTTCATTTTCATTATTTTTTCTCTAATCTTGTCTTCACGACTTATTTCAGTAAGTTGATCTTCAGTCTCTGATATCCTTTCTTCTGCTTGATCAGTTCAGCTATTGATACTTGTGTATGCTTCACAAAGTTCTTGTGCTGTGTTTTTCTGCTGCATCAGGTCATTTCTGTTCTTCTCTAAACTGGTTATTGTAGTTAGCAATTCCTCTAACCTTTTTTCAAGGTTCTTAGCTTCCTTGCATTGGGTTAGAACATGCTCCTTTAGCTTGGAGGAGTTTGTTATTACCCACCTTCTGAAGCCTACTTCTGTCAATTCATCAGACTCATTCTCTGTCCAGTTTTGTTGCCTTGCTAGCAAGGAGTTGTGATCCTTTGGAGGAGAAGAGGCATTCTGGTTTTTGGAATTTTCAGCCTCTTTGCACTGGTTTTTCCTCATCTTCGTAGATTTATCTACCTTTGGTCTTTGCTGTTTGTGACCTTTGGTTGGAGTTTATGCATGGTCGTATTTTTTGCTGATGTTGATGCTATTCCTTTCTGTTTGTTAGTTTTCCTTCTAACAATCATGGCCCTCTTCTGTAGATCCACTGGAGTTTGCTAGGGGTCTACTCCAGATCCTGTTTGCCTGGGTATCACCAGTGGAGGCTACAGAACAGCAAAGATTGCTGTCTGTCCTTCTTCTGAAAGCTTTGTCCTAGAGGGGCACCCATTGGGTGCCAGCCAGAGCTCTGCTGTATGAGGTGTCTGTCGACCCCTACTGGGAGTTGTCTCCCTGTCAGGAGGCACGGGGGTCAAGGACCCACTTGAGGAGGCTGTCTGTCCCTTAGCAGAGCTCAAGCACCGTGCTGGGAGATTGCTGCTCTCTGCAGAGCTGGCAGGCAGAAACGTTTATGTCTGCTGAAGCTGCGCCCACACCTGCCACTTCCCCCAGGTGCTCTGTCCCAGGGAGATGGGAGTTTGATCTATAAGCCCCTGACTGGGGCTGCTGCCTTTCTGTCAGAGATGCCCTTCCCAGAGTGGAGGAATCTAGAGAGGCAGTCTGGCTACAGTGGTTTTGAAGCACTGTGTTTGGCTCTGCCAAGTCCAAACATCCTGGTGACTTGGTTTACACTGTGAGGGGAAAACCACCTACTCAAGCCTCAGTAATGGTGGATATCCCTCCTGCCACCAAGCTCGAGCATCCCAGGTTGACTTCAGACTTGTGCGCTGGCAGCAAGAATTTCAAGCCAGTTGATCTTAGCTTGCTTGTCCCCGTGAGGGTGGGATCCGCTGAGCAAGACTACTTGGCTTCCTGGCTTCAGCTTCCTTTCCAGGGGAGTGAATGGTTCTGTCTCACTGGCGTTTCAGGCACCACTGGGGTATGGAAAAAAACAAACAAACAAAAACAAACAAAAAAACTCCTGCAGCTAGCTCAGTGTCTGCCCAAACAGCCGCCCAGTTTTGTGCTTGAAACCCAGGGCCCTTGTTGTGTAGGCATCCGTGGGAATCTTCTAGTCTGTGTGTTGCAAAGACCATAGGAAAAGCATGGTATCTGGGCCAGATAGCACCATCCCTCACAGCAGGGTCCCTCATGGCTTCCCTTAGCTAGGGAAGGGAGTTCCCCAACCCCTTGTGCTTTCGGGGTGAGGCGATGCCCCACTCTGCTTCTGCTCGCCCTCCATGGGCTACACCCACTGTGTAACCAGTCCCAGTGAGATGAACCTAGTACCTCAATTGGAAATGCAGAAATCACCCCGCTTCTGCATTGGTCTTGCTGAGAGCTGCAGACTGGAGCTTTTCCTATTCAGCCACCTTGCCCAGGAATCCCAGGGAAGGCTTTTAGTGCAGGAAAAGAGTTGGCAGAGAAGGGGGACATGGAGATTTCAGTGAGGAGAGATTGCTCAGTGGGGCATTATTCCACAGGGACTGGGAAGGAAGGATAGAAATACCTGCAATCATAAATAAGTTGAGTTATGATAAGTTTTAAAGACAATTGGAAGACATTTATGTCCAGTGATTTGTATTTTTCTAAGAGGCGTAAGGAGAAATGTAAAGGTCTGGATCAGTCTCTGTGGGGAATGAGGGAGAGAAAGGGGCAAGAGTGAACACTCCTCTAGAGCATGTACCAAACCCTGTGTCAGGAGCTTCACATCATTATTTAATTCAGTCCCTAAATCAGCTGAGTGAGGTTGAACAGTTTGCTAGTATCCAATCCAAGATTTAAATCCCTGTCTGTGTCCTGCATTATTTTCATTACTCCATATTGCTTCAGAGATTCATAAGACAATAGCCAGCCATATCACAGGATTAGCATGAGATGGAAATCAGAAGCTTTTAAGAGGAACTAATGGTCATAGTCATGGACTCCAGAAGCCCAAGGGTCTGTACTTGATAACTGCTCACTGTCCCTTCCAAAAAACAACAGGCAAGTTTCCCTATCAGCAACCCCCTAGGATATTATTTATTCTTGATGGCCAGAATGTTACATCCCTGGTAGCGTATCATGAGCTCAGATTTAAGGAAAAAAGCTGAGGAATAAACTTTCTAATATCAGAATTAAACATTTAGCACTGGTGCAGTGGCTCATGCCTGTAATCCCAGCACTTTGGAAGGTCAAGGCAGGAGGATTGCTTGAGGCCGGGAGTTTAAGACCAGCTTGGGCAACATAGTAAGACCCGGTTTCTACAAAAAAATTTAAAAGTATCCAGGTATGGTGGTGTGCACCTGTAGTCCTAGGTACTTGGGAGGCTCAGATGGGAAGAGCCCAGAAGTTTGAGGTTACAGTGAGCCCAGACAACGGAGCAAGACTTTGTCTCAAAATAAAAGAAAGATAGAGAAAGAAAGGAAAATAATTAAACATTTACATGCTTCAGAAACCCTGAAATACACAATTGTTATATGTCTTAAATAGTTCGTCTTGGATTTTTGCATTGAAACATATTTTTACTTCCATTGAGAAATGTGTGAAGTATATTAATACTCATATTGATAAGGCTGAGCACCCTATGGATAGCTTAAGAGGAACAGTTTAACCTAATTTATTTTGACTTGGTTAGTGGCATTTGCATGGGAAAAGGAAATGGAAAAGGAAATGGAAAAAGTGGAAAAGGAAATGGAGGGATTGGCTTGCAGCCAGCTTCCCACTGCCCAGAAGAGCATCCTGACATCTGACCTGGGTCTGCAGGATTTATGGATATATGAGGACATAGAGATAGATTAGGGAGAACGATGCTGGGACACTTTGATACTCTCTCCTTAGAAGATTGCATGCGCACACAGACACATAATCGTTTACATCCTGCTTCAGAGGATACATAGATCTTCTGAAACCTGTCTCAAGCCCAGATTAAAAACTGTCCTTTAAAGCATAAAAGACCCACTCTGATAACAGTCCCCATGCTGTCATATGCCTCATACCTCAGCATCCACTTCATTTTATCCACCTACTCTGGCTCCACACTTTGCTCCTGACCAGGGTGTGGTCAGCCATAACCAGTCCGTAGCTTCATTCCACTGCCCGGGAGGATAATTCAGCCTACCCATGGTCCATCTCCACCCAACACTAGCCCTGCCCATGGTTTTCCAGCTTCAGCCCATAAGTCAGAACTCACAAGGATTCCTGAGTTTGACCTCTGAGATCTGTCCTTGTCCTTGTCCTAAACTCTGAACTCACACTGCCACTGGCCTTACCTGCCCTACCCTATATTCTTTGAGGGTTGCAGAGATGTAAGACATACAGTCTCTGCTGCTTTGCAGACAAGGATGCTGGACTTAAAAGACATGTTGGGGTTCTCCAAGACCACCCTTAGTGATTATTCACTACAAGGACTCATAGGGCTTAGCATATACTTGTAGTCATGGCTAAGACTTATGACAGTGATGTAGTAAGGATACATAGCTGGATCATAACAGAAAGACACAGACTTTGGAGGAATCTACACACAAGCTTCTTTGTGCTCTCTGTCTCACACATGAGGGGTCACACAGAGCACTCTTCCAGCAATGAAAATGTAGCATTATGTGTGTGATATTTCAGCCCTGGGAAGCCCATTAGGGACTCAGCACCCAAGGTTTATTGGGGGCTGTCACATGGGCACCCTCTGTGTAGCACATGCTAAATTCCGAGCTCCCAGGAGGGAAGCAGGTATTTAACATAAGCCGTATTGTTCACACAGACAGTCTAGGCATAGTGAGCCACGCTTAGTTGTTGGGAACACTCTGAAAACCAAATACCAGATGCCAGCTAAGGGCCAGCCTTGCAAGCAGACCCTTCTAAATAGCAGTCTCAGGCCTGCTATGTTAACTCTTTTCTGTGCCCCAAGCTCCTGGTTCATAGAATTTTGGCCCACCATGAGCGTGTAGACCACAAACAACTTCATCTATGCTTTGACTGCTAGGTTTTTAGATGTCAAGTTTCCTCTTGCCATTTCTAAGCCTTGGAGATGAGGAATGCCTGTACCAGAGAGTGCCATTCCTAGATCTGGCCCTCTGGACATCCTTCCTCCAGCCCAAGAACCGCACCTGTGTATCCTCATCTCAGTGCTGCCAGCATTATAATGTTATACTTTGGAAATTGATATAGTTTTCTCTAATATGAGAACGGTGCTGCTATGCACTAGTACAGGGTCCTTTGTCTCAGTGACCCCTCACAGACCCTGCAGGGCTAGGCTGTCCAATACAACTGAATTGTTCTATATATGGGGGGCATTATGGTAGCCACTAGCCACATGTGACTGTTGAGCACTTGAAATGTGGCTAATGTGACTGAGTCTTTAACTTTATTTAATTTTAATATAAATAGCAATTTGTGGCTAGTGGCTACCTGTTGGTTAGCACAGCATAAAACCTGGTGGGCTGAATGATCTGGTAAGCTGATTGTGCAGGGCCATGGCAGAAAGGATAGACTGAGTGCACAGAATATCAAGAAGAAGGAAAGACATGAAGCAAAAGAAGAAAATTAAGAGAGTTCTTTGAAGTCTGGGTATATCCATTTGTGCACATTTATAAATATGTATGATTTAGAGAGATGTAGCTATTTTCAAATGCTTTATTTCTTTTTGATCAATATTAAATCTTATTTTCACCATTCAGATACTATATCTTGAAAGACAGTTGGAATGAGTACAGATTTTGGAAAAGCCAGGCTTAGGCTAAAATCTTGTCTCTGTAGCTTATTAGCTACAATACTATAATATTGTTTTAAAAGTAATGCCATAAGGCTGGATGTGGTGGCTCATGCCTGTAATCCCAGCACTTTGGGAGGCTGCGGTGGGTGGATCACCTGAGGTCAGGAGTTCGAGACCAGCCTGGCCAACATGGTGAAACCCTGTCTCTACTAAAAAAAAAAAAAAAAAAAAAATTAGCCAGATTTGGTGGCGTGTTCCTGTAGTCCCAGCTACTCAGGAGGCTGAAGCAGAAGAATCGCTTGAACCTAGGAGCCGAGATCACGCCACTGCACTCCAGCCTGGGCAACAGACTGAGACTCCATTTCAAATATAAATAAATAAATAGCCATACTTTTTTTATATTAAGAGAGAGTAAAAAGCAATTTAACATAGTTCAGTGGACATTCTTATATTTTCAATGTTTCTAAAACCTAAAAGTTGTTAAGTACTAAAAATTTGAAAGCATTTAGGAACTTTCTTTGCTGTTCTTCCCTGAAGTTGTTCCTGAACTTCCCAGTTGTGTACTTTAAAAGCCTAGAAAATATCTAGTAAAGTATCTGACAAATTTAAATATTAATGTGGCTTTCAGGTTGGCTCAATTTTCTAGCTCCTATTTATAAACAGCCTATATTTTTCTATTTCCTCTGTGTGTGTTTAGTTTCTGTAAGCTCTGCCTTTCTCATCAGGATTCCCTCATTTTGGACTAAGTCTGTGACAAGCTCTGTCTTGTGCTGTGACATGTAATATCATATTAAACAAGCAAGACTTTGCCTCATTGAGGCACAGAAACAGCAGCAGAAATAGTGAAAATAACAAGTTAATAAATATAAATATGTATATTCTGGTATTCTTAGAGGACTTCCATAATCACAATAGGACAAATATAGAGGAGTATGTATGTTACATGGCAAACTATAAAAAAAACTTAAATACTCTTATATCTTGTTTTATGCCAAACAGAGAAAAACTTGTATAGTGAGTAAAGGAATGAAGTTAAAAAGAACAAAAATGTTCACGTTGTGGCAAGGAACTGGAAAGCACAGAACAAGAGTATCAATACCAGTATAGGTAATGAGGGAGAGTAACAAGATCAGGAAGACTGTCAATATTATTATTACTAAGACAGTGTTTTTACATGAGGCTTTAAGAAAGCAAGCACATTTTAGCACTTGTTTAAATCTTTTCAGTTTACATAGTAAATAAATTGGAAAACAATGAATAGGAAAACACTATATCGTGTTATCGGTGATTTGCTCTTAAATGTGTTGTTTTCTTGTGATAGTGCTAGGTTACATATTTATCTAAGTACAGTCAGAGAGACTGAGAGGATAGTCTTTTGTACACTTGATGAAGTAATTCTAAACTAAATTGGTTTCTTCAACCTTCATTCATTTATTTATCTGATCATTATTTCAGCATGCCATTCAAAACTGCTAGGTCTGGGTTACTCTTGGGAAGTCGCAAAGGGCCTATGTAGGAAAGGTGCATTTTTCTACACCAGGCAAAAGAGTTTTTCCTCAGTAAGGAGAAACAGCTGCTGTTCTATTAGTAACATTGCTTTTTTGGCATCGGGGGCCAAGCATGATTACTTCTCTCTGTAAGTACTTCAGACTACTTAACTTTCAGCTGAGGAATATAAAATGTACACTTCTTTAGTCCCCATGGGTGTGATTAGCAAAACACATGGAAGGGAAGGTCAGTCTTCTCGTCCTCCAGCGTCCTCACATGGGCACACACCTTCCTCAGAAGCATTATGACCTGAATGTTGGAGACAGCAAAGATGAACTGACTTAGCATTGTGCTGTCCTGTCATCAGAGCCTTGCCCCCATTTATTCATCTACATGCTTGTTATTGTTAGAATTAGGAGCCTGATCCTGGGATAAGAGCAGAAATTATTAGAGTGAAAACAACTGTTTGTAGCTCACCACATTAAGCTACCATTTAGTTAATTTTCATAAGTACGTGATTTCTTTTTTTAACATTTAAGTTTAGGGGTACATACACAGATTTGTCACATAGGTAAACTCATGTCATGGGGGTTTGCTGTACAGATTATTTCATCACCCAGGTATTAAGCCTAGTATCCATTAGTTATTTTTCCTGATCTCCCTCCTTTCACCTTCCAGTAGGCCCGTGTCTGTTGTTCCCCTCTGTGGTAGGGTTCTTATATATATATATATGAGTTTATTAAGTATTAACTCACACGATCCCACAATAGGCCATGCGCAGGCTGAGGAGCAAGGAGAGCCAGCCCGAGTTCCAAAACTGAATAACTTGGAGTCCCATGTTTGAGGGCAGGAGGCATCCAGCTTGGGAGAAAGATGTAGGCTGGGTGGCTAGGCCAGTCTCTCTTTTCACATTTTCTTGCTTGCTTATATTCTAGATGTGCTGGCAGCTGAATAGATTGTGCCCACCCAGATTAAGGGTAGGTCTGCCTTCCCCAGCCCTCTGACTCAAATGTTAATCTCCTTTGGCAGCACCCTCACAGACATACCACGATCAGTACTTTGTATCCTTCAATCCAATCAAGTTGACACTCAGTATTAACCATCACAAGTCCACCCCTTGTCAACTTGAACCCATACACATCTCCTGAGATCATACATAATCTTTGAATAAAGACAATAATAAGGTCATAATTAAGCCCAACATAATACAACTATCCTTCACATAACCGGAAACGTACCAATCCCCAACCCAAATACTATTACATAAAGTTAACAATACTTAAATGCTGATGTTAAGTCAATAAATCTTATGTCACATGATAAAGGAGAAAGGAAATAAAATGAAGATGTTTTCTTAGTACAAGTGTATACATGCACAAGTGTTTTTAACAAAAGAAGGAGGAAATACTCATGACAATTACAGTCCTCGTTTCTGCAGCTGGTCATGTGGTCATAGCTGGTATTGATGACTACCTTCTTCTACTACCCATTCTGTATTCCCTTTGCCTTCAGCAAGCACCTCAGCAGGTCATGGTTTTTTTCCTGGTGGAGTGACCCAAACCTTCATTCCTGAGGGGTCTGGGCCATTTGTAGTCCTGCCTTCATTGGGCTGTTGTAGTTTCCCATTGACCTTAATCACAGGGCATGGTAATACTAAGAGATGCCCTAATGGGTCTCCTGTATTCCATGCTTACTCTTCCTTACTTCCGTTGTGGAGCAGTAGACTGATTTCATCTTGATAGTCCAGGTCAGTCACCTCAACCAACACTGTAACTCCCTTCTTTGCATGTTGACTTAAAGGTAGGAGGATCCCAAAGTGTCCAGGTGGCAATCTTAACTTCAGTTTAATGGAATCATTGTGTCTTTTGATAGCAGCGTTCCTTCTTCTGGAACTAAGACCTCTAGGCCAGCAGAATATAATGCTGTGGGAACAAGAAGCAAAAATTTTGCTAGTGGGTCACTAGGGGTGATGGTGAGTGGTGCCACTTCCACTTCTGCCCCTTGGTTCCTGGACCTGTGAATCCTGGCTATGAGAGAAACTGTACCATACATTGGATTTTGATTCAGAGCATACATGGCCTTCTAGAGAACTTTGCCCCAGCCCTGCAAAGTATTGTCACATAGTTGGCATTGTAATTGTGACTTCAAAAGACTGTTCCACTGTTCTATTGATCCAGCTGCTTTAGGATGATGGGGAACATGGTAATACCAGTGAATTCCATGAGCATGAGCCCACTGCCACACTTCTTTAGCCGTAAAAGTGAGTGAATTGGTCAGAATACCATGACGGTGGATGAGGCATTCCGTGAGTCCATGGATGGTAGTCTTGGCAGAATCATTGCTTGCAGGATAGGCAAACCCATATCCAGAGTAAGTTCTATTCCAGTGAGGATGAACCTCTGCGCTTTCTGTGATAGAAGAGGTCCAATATAATCAACCTGCCACAGCTGGCTGATCACCTTGAGGAACGGTGCCATATCGAGGGCTCAGTGTTGGTCTCTGCTGCTGGCAAATTGGGCACTCAGCAATGGCCGTAGCCAGGTCAGCCTTGGTGAGTGGAAGTCCATGTTGCTAAGCCCAAGCGTAACCTCCATCCCTGCCACCATGGCCACCTCGTTCATGGGTCCATTGTGTGATGACGGGGATGGCTAGGGAAAGAGGCTGAGTGGTGTCCACAGAATGGGTCATCCTATCTACTTGATTATTAAAATCCTCTACTGAGGTCACCTGTTGGTGAACATTCACATGGGATACAAATATCTTCACAGTTTCTGACTACTCAGAGAGGTCCATCCACATACCTCTTCCCCAGATTTCTTTTTCACCAATTTTCCAATCATGCTTCTTCCAAGTCCCTGACCATCCAGCCAAACCATTGACTACAGCCCATGAATTAGTATATAATTGCACATCTGGCCATTTCTCCTTCCATGCAAAGTGCACAACCAGGTGCACTACTTGCAGTTCTGCCCACTGGGAAAATTTCCCTTCACTGCTGTCCTACAGGGATGTCCTAGAAAGGGGTTGTAGTGCTGCAGCTGTCCACTTTCGGGTGGTGCCTGCATATCGCGCAGAGCCACCTGTGAACCAGGCCCTAGTTTTCTCTTCCTCTGTCAACTGATCCTGGGGCACTCCCCATGAGGCCATCAGTGCAGGCTAGGGGAGAGAAGGCAGGGTGGCAGGAGTGGAGACCATGGGCATTTGAACCATTTCCTCATGTAACTTATTTGTGCCTTCAAGACCTGCTCAAGCCTGATCATGTATATTCCACTTCCATTTGATGATGTAATGCTGCTGTGTATGATCCCCTTTATGGCTAGATGGGTCAGAAAGCACCCAGCTCATGATAGGCCATTGAGGTCGCATGGTGACTTAACCCATAGTCAAACGTTCAGTTTCCACCAAAGCCCAGTAACAGGCCAAGAGCTGCCTCTCAAAAGGACAGTAGTTATCTGCAGAAGATGGCAGTGCCGTGCTCCAGAATCCCAAAGGCCTCCGCTACGATTCACCTAAGGGGGCCTGCCAAAGGCTCCAAACAGCATCCCTATCTGCCATTGACACCTCAAGCACCATTGGATCTGCTGGGTCATATGGCCCAAGTGGCAGAGCAGCTTGCACAGCAACCTGGATCTGTTGCAGAGCCTTCTCCTGTTCTGGACCCCACTCAAAACGGTCAGGTCACTTGATAAATGTGCCGGAGTAACACACCCAAATGAGGAATATGTTGCATCCAAAATCCAAGTAGGCCCACTAGGCATTGTGTCTCTTTCTTAGTTGTAGGAGGGTCCAAATGCAGCAACTTATACTTCACCTTAGAAGGAATATCTCGACAAGCCCCACACCACTGGACTCCTAGAAATTTTACTGAGGTAGAAGTTCCCTGAATTTTGTCAGATTTATTTCCCATCCTCTGGCACACAAATGTCTCACAATAAGTCCAACGTGTTTGCTATTTCTTGCTCACTGGATCTAAGCAGCATAATGGTCATCAATGTAATGGACCAGTGTGATATCTTGCAGAAGTGAAAAGTGATGAAGGTCTCTCCAAATAAGGTTATGACACAAAGCCAGAGAGTTGATATACCCCTGAGGTAGGACAGTAAAGATATATTGTTGGCCTTGCCAGCTGAAAGCAGATTGCTTCTGGTGGGCCTTATGGACTGGAATGGAGGAAAAGGCATTTGCAGAGTCAGTGGCTGCATACCAGGTACCAGGAGATGTGTTAATTTGCTCAAGCAATGAAACCACATCTGGTAAAGCAGCTGTAATTGGAGTCACCACTTGGTTAAGCTTACGATAATGCACTGTCATTCTTCAAGATCCATCTGTCTTCTACACAGGCTAAATGGGAGAGTTGAATGGGGATGTGATGGGAATCACCACCCGTACATCTTTCAAGTCCTTGATGGTGGCACTAATCTCTGCAATCCCTCCAAGGATGCAATATTGGTTTTTTGTATGTATGTTTGTTTGTTTGTTTTGAGACAGAGTCCCTCTCTGTAGCCCAAGCTGGAGTGCAGTGGAGTGATCTCAGTTCACTGCAACCTCTGTCTTCTAAGCTCAAGCAATTCTCATGCCTCAGCCTCCCGAGTAGTTGGGACTACAAGTGCGCGCCACCACACCCAACTAATATTTTGTACTTTAGTAGAGATGGGGTTTCACGGTGTTGCCCAGGCTGGTCTCAAACTTCTGAGCTCAGGCAATTCACCCACCTTGGCCTCTCAAACTGCTGGGATTATAGGCATGAACCACTGCACCCGGGCACAATAGTTTTTTAGTTTACTATTTGTCTAGGTAGAGGCCACGCTAATGGCTTCCATCTGGCCTTTCCCACCGTAATAGCCCTCTCCCTACCAGTCAGGAAGCCAATGTGGGGGTTCTGCCAGCTGCTAAGTATGTCTATGCCAATTACGCATTCAGGCAATGAGGAAATGACCACAGGCTCAGTCAGATGACCCACTGTAAGTCAGACCTGAGCTAAAACTCCATTAATTGCCTGACTTCCATAAGCCCCTGCATTAACTGGAGGGCCACAATGACATTTTGGGTCCCCTGGAATCCACATCAGCTCAGAGCCAGTGTCTAGTAGTACCCAAAATGCCTCATCATTTCTCTTTCCCCAGTGCACAGTTACCCTGGTAAAAGGCCGGAGGTCTCCTTGGGGAAGGATGGGAGAAAGATTCACTGCATAAATTGTTGGTAATGTAGTAGGGTCCTTCTTTGGGGGTACCTGGCCTCCCTCCATTCAAGGGGTTCTAGATCTGTAAACTGGTTCAAGTCTGGAAATTGATTCGGGGCCATGATTCTCTGTTTTTATAATTCAAACAAGTCTTTTATCCGTTCAACCTAGAAATTTTCTGCTTGTATAAATTAAGTAGGAATGCAGTAGGCTTCCTATCAACTTAACCTCTAGGAACACCATGATTACTTAGCCAGTGCCAGAGCTCTACATGAGTCAGACTATTCTGATTGCCACTTTGCCTCCGCTGTCCATTATGGTAGGCCCATTTTGCCTGTGACAGTTGAGTGCTGCCACCTGGCCCCTGCCACCTTGGGATCCAGTTATTTCCATTGTATTTAAATTTTGTAGTTGAGTGACTGTGGTTCCCACTGTTAGATCTGGCATACAGAAAAGAGCAGTTACAGGGCTCTTCAAATTATAGGCCATCTTCAAAATGCAGGTGTTGCCCTCACAAATCTGTTTTGCAAGGCATTGGTCAAGGGTATGTCTTCTGGACCCTCCCAGCTGGGATGAGTAGGTCTAAAGTGACTAATCCATTCCACCATCCCAATCTCCCTAAGCCTTTGGATCCCTTCCTCTACATTAAACCAAGGGAGATCAGGCATTTCCTCTCACAGTGGACCATCTTTTAATCCATATTTCAGCTAACCAAATAAACTATTAGAACCTTTTTTAACTCCCCAAGCTGCAATATTAAATGCAGAGTCCCTACTTAGTGGGCCCAAATCAATAAATTCAGCCTGACCCAACTCTGTGTTTCTTCCACCATTGTCCCAGACCCTTAATATCCATTCCCATCCTGTTCTCCAGATTTCTGTTTATATAAATTAGAAAACTCAAGCAGTTCTTTTCAAGTGTAGCACACCTCCTTATGAGTCACACTCTCAACCTCACCTCTAGGGGCCCGCTGGGACTTTAGCCTAGTTATAGGTCTAGAAGCAAACGGGTGTTGGGGTGGGTTCTGAGGAGAATCAACATTATCTTGCCTGGCAACTGCCTCAGGAGATAAGACTGTCACTCAGGGCAGTCATAGCAGATTTCAAGCTCCATATCTGCTTCTGAAGCTGGGAGATGGAATCCCTAAGTTCATCATTTTCTTTCATCACTTTGTCCACCAAACTTAGGAGCGACCAACCAGCTTCATTATGTTCCTGTAGAGAAAGAGCTGGAATTGTGGAAAAACAGACACAAGTTCTTATCATGCAAGTGGCTGTTCCGCAATGAAATATGCATGCACAGCCTTGCCAGGTGTCTACTGTTAAAGTGAGGGCATTTATTGGAAAATAATGAGACCCTGCAACTTGGAATAGGGACATGGGGGAGGACCCTGATGAAGCTGGGGACACTGAGTTTGTGAACTCTGATGAACCTCTTTTGCCAGAAAGAACACCGTCCCCATCCCCAGTCATGTCAGCATCCCCTCCCCGACCCAAGCTGCCATCAGCCTTTCCACCTTTGTCTGAGGAGATACATGCTGTGCTGCCTGAGACAACACTGATGGCCTCCCCTGAGGCAGTTGCCAGGCAGGATAATGTTGATTTTCCTCAGGACCCACCCCCAACACCCTTGTTTACTTATAGAGCTGTAACTAGACTAAGGTCCTGGCAGGTCCCTAGAGGTGAGGCTGAGAGTGTGACCCATGAGAAGGTGCACTACACTCGAAAAGAACTGCTTGAGTTTTCTTTATTATTATTATACTTTAAGTTCTAGGGTACATGTGCACAACGTGCAGGTTTGTTACATATGTTACATGTGCCATGTTGGTGTGCTGCACCCATCAGCTCATCATTTACATTAGGTATTCCTCCTAATGCTATCCCTCCCCCCTCCCCCCACCCCATGACAGGCCCCATTGTGTGATGTTCCCCACCCTGTGTCCAAGTGTTTTCATTGCTCAATTCCCACCTATGAGCGAGAACATGCAGTGTTTGGTTTTCTTTCCTTGCGATAGTTTGCTCAGAATGATCGTTTCCAGCTTCATCCACGTCCCTACAAAGGACATGAACTCATCCTTTTTTATGGCTGCATAGTGTTCCATGGTGTATATGTGCCACATTTTCTTAATCCAGTCTATCATTGATGGACATTTGGGTTGGTTCCAAGTCTTTGCTATTGTGAATAGTGCCACAATAAACATACATGTGCATGTGTCTTTATAGTAGCATGATTTATAATCCTTTGGGTATATACCCAGTAATGGGATTGCTGTGTCTAATTTATACAAACAGAAATCTAGAGAACAGGCATGGGAATGGATATTAAGGGTGTGGGATAATGGTGGAAGGAACATAGAGTTGGGTCAGGCTGAATTTATTGATTTGGGCCCACTAAGAGGGAAGGGTGCAGGATTGAGAAGGAACTTCAGAGATGATAGAATGTTCTTTCATCACCCAGGTACTAAGCCTAGTACCTAATAGTTATTTTTTCTACTCATCTCCCTCCTCCCACCCTCACCCTCAGTGGGCCCCAGTGTCTGTTGTTCTCCTCTTTGTGTTCAGGTGTTCTCATCATTTAGTTCCCACTTACAAGTGAGAACATGTAGTGTTTGGTTTTCTGTTTCTGCGTTAGTTTGCTAAGAATGATGGCTTCCAGCTCCATCCATGTTCCTGCAAAGGACAGGATCTTGTTCTTTTTTATGGCTGCATAGTAGTCCATGGTGTGTATATACCACATTTTCTTTATCCAGTCTACCATTGATGGGCATTTAGGTTGATTCCCTGTCTTTGCTATTGTGAATAGTGCTGCAATGAACATATGCCTGCATGTGTCTTTATGGTAGAATGATTTATATTCCTTTGGGTATACACCCAGCAATGGATTGCTGGGTGAAATGGTAGTTCTGTTTTCTGAAGACCTGATAGGGGCTGTATAATTACAAAAATGTTTTTATAATTACTTGAGAATATGTAACAGCAGATTTACTCATGTGTCTGTTTTATCTTAGACAAAATGGAAAAAGCCAATTTTCTGGGATTATTTGCCATTCAAGTTTCTGCTTGTTCTTAATCAAGCAAATCATTACCTATGTCTCTTTGGTGGGAATGTCATGAACCTCAAACAAACTGTGTGCCTCCAGAAGAGCTGGAATGGGTACATGGCATAGACTTTCTAGTTGGAAGAGTCAGAGTACATGTAGGTAATAGGAATCCTGGAGATAGATTTCTTTCATGCAGCACCTCTAGGAGCCTATGCCACACAGACACTCTTCATCTCTGAAGCAAGATGTGGCTTGCAGCATTTCCCAGGTATATTTTCCCATGGAACCGAATTTTCCACACCCCAAAACTTTTTTTCAGTACTTATTTCATGAGAGGAAATAACAGATAAAGCATGGGCTTTGAGTTCAAACCTTTCCAGATTTGAATTTCAACTTTACTACTCTCTACTTTTTCATCTCAAGCCAGGAACTTTGCCTCTCCAACTCTCAGTTTCTTCAGAGGTAAAATACCTGTTGTAAAGATCAAGAGCAATTAGGCAAGAAAAGAAATACTTAAAACAATGCCTGGTGCGCAAAAAAACACTCACTCAGTGGCTGCTGTTGCAGCTACTACAGCAAAATAATCAATACCAGAGCTGTATCTCCCTCTCACATATTTTCTCTGACTTTCAGACATGGGTTTTTAGCTGCCTGTTTTCTGTTCACGTATGTGTTCCACAGAGACCTCGAATTCAGTATGTATACCCAAAATTTATATAATCTTCTTTTATATCTTCTCTGGTTGATATAACCACATCCAGTCAACTGCTAAATCTGGTCAGCTGTGTCTCCTAAATATATCTCACATCCATTCACCTCTCCTCAGTTTTAAGACTGTGTCATAGTTTGCCTGGGCTGCTACTGTTGTCTCTCTGGAGTTCTTTCTATGTTACCAACCTGGCTTCTGCATTGCAGCCCAGATGCTCAGTCTAAACACTTAGGGGATCATGCTGCTTCTCAAGTTTGAACTTTCAGAGCCTCTCTAAGGCCCACAATAGGGTTTTTCAAACTTGCTAGCCCTAATACCAGTTGAAGTCCTTAAAATTATAGATTCCTGGACTGTCTCCGGGAATCCTTTCCTCTAGAGATTCTGATCCAGATGATCTTGGGTTTGGCCCAGGATATTTCCATTTTAAGTAAGCTGCCAGGTACTACTAATGGTAGTCAAATTTGGAAATTCTTCACACGTAAATAATCCACACTGTGTTGCATGGCACCTCTGGCCAGCTATCCAGTACTCTTTTTTTTATTTTATTTTTATTTTTATTTTTTTGGAGACAGGGTCTCACTCTGTTGCCTAGGCTGGGAGTGCAAGGCTGCATGCAGCCTTGACGTCAGCAGGCTCAAAACAATCATCCCACTTCAGCCTCCTGAGTCGCCAGGGCTGTAAATGTATACCATCATGTCCAGCTAATATTTAAGTTTTTGTAGAGACAGGATCTCGCCATATTTCCAAAGCTGTTCTTGAACTCCTGGGCTCAAGTGATCCTCCTGCCTTGGTCTCCCAAAGTGCTAGGATTACAGGTGGAGCCATTGCATGCAGCCTCTAGTACCCTCTTAACTCATGCTCTGAGCTTCCCCATACAATAAGCTACATCATCCTTTAGAAAGTCTGCACTTTGCACTCTCTCCTCCTGGAATACCTTTTTCTTCATCTCTAATTACCCCTTACCAAGTGGCAAAAGCCTTGCAGTCTTTCAAGAACCTGTTCCAGTACCTCCTTCAGGCAGCCTACCCTCAATCCAGTAGTTTGTCGGTGCCCCCCGCCACCTTTTTTTTTTTTTAGATGGAGTCTCGCTCGTCACCCAGGCTGGAGTGCAGTGGCACGATCTCGGCTCACTGCAGGCTCTGCCTCCCAGGTCACGCCATTCTCCTGCCTCAGCCTCCTGAGTAGTTGGGACTATAGGCACCCACCACCACACCCGGCTAATTTTTTTTTGTATTTTTTGTATTTTTAGTAGAGACGGGGTTTCACCTTGTTAGCTAGTATGGTCTTGATCTCCTGACCTTGTGATCCACCCGTCTCGGCCTCCCAAAGTGCTGGAATTACAGGCATGAGCCACCGTGCCTGGCCTTGTCAGCCCCTTTCTATGCAATTATAGCATTTTCACATCGTGGTGCAATTTGTGGTTTATGTGTGTCTCTGTTCCACCAGACTTGAGGACAGGAATTATTTCATTTCTATAGCCTCAGCATTTAGCTCGGTTTCTGCAAAATGATAGAAGTTAGTGAATGTTTGTTGAAAAAATAAAAGGGAAAGAGGAAGGCTAGAAAGAACCCTTGCATTATACCAGTAGTTACAAAAATGTTACTTGGAGTCCTGAAGTGTCTCAAGGAGAACTGGTGGTCAGAGTGGAGGCCTAACTATGGAGGATTCCTGCATTATCCCCCTCTCCTGAAACCCTCACCTCTGATTCAACCCAAGAAAATCTGCTTCTTAATTTTTTATATGTTGGTGAACAGAGTAAGGTTCTGTTGAAAAGAAGAGAAAAGCTGACACTATGTATACATATGTAACTAACCTGCACATTGTGCACATGTACCCTAAAACTTAAAGTATAATAATAATAAATTAATTAAAAAAAAAACAGCTTAAAAAAATAAATTTGGAAACCATAGCCCTGGACCATCGTTTGCCTTTATAAAACCCCTTTTTTGTGTGTATTTCTGCTTTCTGTGCTTTAAAATAAAGTGGGAAAACTTAAAGAATTTGAGAAATAAAGCCAAGTGATCTAAATTGGAAAATGAATCTATGAGGGGATATTAGATATTTCCTACTCTGTTGGGTCATACAGTGTAGTATAACCTTGGGGCTACTTGCTTATTTTCAAGCACCTGGCAGGTTATCATGAGAGAGATGCTAAGCAGTTGGCATCCATATTCATGGAGGACCGAATGAGGAACATAAAGATTAAATTGAAAAAGTTGGGAGAATTCCTCTAAATTTATTTGAGAAAACTGCTTCCGTTTCCAAAACAGAGTCTTTAGGATGTACCCTCGTTGAGGATAAGAAACTCGTCTCTGCCTTAGTGCCGGGCATGGGCTGATACCTCATTGGCAGTCACCAAACATTTGTTGAAGGGATGCATGAATTGCCATCAGTGAAGGCATGTACAAAACGCAGTGCCATCCAAGAATTACAAATCTCAAAAAAGGTAGTTATCTTAAAATTAAGACACCATTAGACTTGTCACAGATTGAAATTATGGGATTCATTTGTAAGAACTTGATCAATAATATGAAATTAATGTAACTTCATATGCTATTGTCTATAGTTCATCATCATAAAAACAACTAAAGGTAGAGTAGTTGTCTTGTAATATTGCTTACTGAAGAGTAAGAATTAACCATCTCTTTTTCTCTTGAAAGAGATCAGATAGTAACTTAGAAAGATGGTTTCTCATTCATATTAAAGAATTACTCATATAGAGGTGTGAGTGTTTATGAAATCTCATGAGTAAATTTGACTCTCTTGGCCACAGTTTCTGTTACACCTTTGAAGAATACGAGTACTTGCTCTTGCTCTAGTTGCCAAGTAGATTCAATCAGCATTTATCCAACTATGTTTCTACAGACTCCATTGCCTTACACAAAAGTGGGTTGTGGGGTAAAATGTCACCTGTCCCCTTAATTCTTAAAACATATACCACCATTTTAAGCCTCTGAAAAGTCCTAGAGGGTAGAAACCTGTCTGTGTTCAATACAATATTTCCCAACAATATTTTGCCACTTTTTTTGTAAAACAGCTATTGACAAATCATGGGAACATTGGATAGATTATTTGTCTTCAAATAGTTTGAATATTAATGGAAAGCAGAATTTATTTATCATACCCATTGTAGAAGCTAGCAAAATATATAAATAAACGGGTATATAAACAGGTGTGATAGATAAATGAAATAATTTGTGTATGCCCAAAGGCCTCTGAAGTGAAAAAAACAGTTATTTTGAGTGTTAAAAATTGTCAAAAAGGCCAGGTGAAACTAGAGTATGAAAGTCTTGAGGAAATGTAAAGCTCAGGTTGGCACTGTGAGAACTAAACTTAAGGGCTTCCTTTCATTATTGAGGAGAAAAAGAGAAGTTCCTATGTTCTGATAGAGCCAGCAAGCCTATTTACCTAGATATTTGCTTCATCTACCATTTTATTTTTGGACAAGACCTTGGTGTAAGTCCCTCCAAATAGTACCCTGCTATGGGCAGCTCCAAAAAGCAGCCTGTTGGGGAGGTGTCTGCTTTTGAGAGATTCACAGAGCGTATAATGTGAGGATGAGAGCAATTGTATGTTTTCCTTCCGAAGAATAGTACAGAAGTTATGATAGATTCTCTTGAAAATCCCTTCGAAAGACATAAACTTCCTGAAACCTACTTTTATACTCATGTATCTGTGAAGGCATATTATCACATTATCAGATAATTGGGGATTGTTATATGCATGGTATACATATTAGTTAGATCAACTTCTGTAACAAAAAATATATTATGGTTCAAACACAATAAAAGTGTATTTTCTTGCTTTTATAACAGCCCTAGGTGGGTGAATTTGCAGTTATTAAGGTAGCCTTCATCCACACATTCATTTAGGGACCAAGACTAATGGATAATCTGCCATCATCAGTACATAGCACCAAGGTTGTACTAGGGGTCATCTTCACTCCAGGTCTCTAGAAGGGGAAAAAGCATGAAGGCACATATATAAGAAGTTTTTAGGACTAAGCCTAGAAATTGCACACATCACATTCATTCACATTTTGGTGTCTAGAATTCAGTCACATGGCTCCACTCAACTGCAGTGGGGGGAGGGCTAAGATGTATACTCTAGCTGTGTACCCAAGAAGAAACAGAAAACATGGATTTAGTGAGCATCTGGGGGACTGTGTCTGTCACAACATATTTGATGCTTGTTGGTCCTTTGTCACCAAATTAGAAGGTTGATTTGTGCTATCTCATTTGCTCCCTCCTGGCTCATGGATGTTTCTGCATAGTGTGATGGTGATGTACCCGTCCATTTCATGGTGACCCTCATTAGCAAACTTCCACATACCACACAGAAGTTCTTCAGGAAATGTCCACCTTTTTTCATTCAATATTTATTGAGCACCTATTATAGGGTTGGGCTCTTAGAAGTACTAGAGGTACAGAGGGGAACAAATGTCCTTATCCTTGGGATTTTATTCTCTTGTGTAAGAGAAAGACAATAAACAAAGAAAGAAAATAATTAGTTTGTGCTACATGCTGTAAAAAAGTGAGTAAGTAAAGGGAAGAGGTAAAGGAGTACTGCTCTTGCCAACATATCAAAGTTGGCTTCTCTAGGAAACTGGCATTTAGGCTAAGATCTGAAGGATGGCAGTGAGCCAGCCACTTGGGCTGAAAGAACAGCATTCCAGAGAAAACAACATGCACAAAGGTCCTAAGGCAAGAATGAGCTTGGCATGTTCAAGAAACTTGTATCTAGGACACCAGTGTGTGTGTGGAGAATAAGCAAGAAAGGCTCATGTGAGATGAGATGGGGCTGTAAGATAGGCCGAGTCAATTGTTTCACACAAGGCCATGCAGATCTTGGAGAGTTTACGTGTTATCTGAGAGTAAGAGTAAACCACGAAAAAGTTTGTTGTTTGTTGGTTTTCTGTAACAGCCTTTTGTAACATAATTCACATACTATAGAGTTTACCCATTCAAAGGGTACAGTTCAGTGGCTTTTATTATGTTAGAGTTATGCAACCATTTCCACAGTCCATCTTACAACAGTATCATCAACTCAAAAAGAAATCCCATACCATTTAATAGTCACTCCATTTCCTCCAGACCCCCAGCCCTAGGCAAACACTAATCTATTTTCAGTCTCTGTAGATTTGCCTATTGTAGACGTATCATAAAAATGGAATCATACAGTGTGTGGTCTTATGTGATTGGCTTCCATTACTTAGAATATTGTTTTCAAGGTTCATCAACATTTTAGTATGTGTCAGTACTTCATTACTTTTATGGCTGAATAATATTTTGTTATTTGGCTATATCTACCACATTTTATTTATCCACTTGTCAGTGGATATTTTGGTTGTTTTCACCTTCTGGCTATTATTAATAATGCTATGAACATTCATGTACAAATTTTTGTGTGACCATATGTTTTTATTTCTCTTGGATATATACCTAGGAGTAGAATTTCTGGGTCATATGGTTTCTATGCTAACCTTTTGAGGAATTTCCAGACTGTTTTTCCAAAGTGGCAGTACCATTTTGCATTCCCATCAGCTGTGTATGATGGTTCCAATTTCTCCATTTCCTTGTCAGCACTTATGATTATCTATCATTTTGAATAAAGCCATTCTAGAGGTGTGACGTGGTACCCTCATTGTGCTTTTGATTTGCAATTCCCTGATTACTAATGATGCCGAACATCTTTTCATGTGTTTATTTGCCATTTGTGTATTTTCTTTGGAGAAATATCTATTCAAGTTACCCACTTTTGAATTGTCTTTTTATTATTGAATTTTAAGAGAACTTTATATATTATAGGTACAAGTCCCTTATCTGTATATGATTTATAAATATTTTTGCCCATTCTGTGGCTTGTTTGTTGCTTTGTTGATGGTGTCTTTTGATGCACAATAGTTTTTTACTGTAATGAAGTCCCTTTTTTTGTTGTTGCTTGTGCTGTTGGTGTCCTTCCTACCTAAGAAACCATTACTTAATTCAAGGTCATGAGAATTTATACCTATATTTTCTTTCTTTTTTTTTTTTTTAATAACAAGTGGTGCCAATATTTTAATCCAGTCAGATTAACTTAGTTTAAATTAAAAGTCAGATTTTTGAAACTCACATAATTTCCTGGAGAGTTTTTTTTTTTTTGACAGTTCCTAAGGGGTATAATTTATTGAAGCCCTATTACATAGCAGTTGGCATTTTACATACATGTCACTTAGTAATCATCACAGCAGTTATAATAAAGATGTATACCTATATTTTCTACTAAGAATTTTGTAGTTTTAGCTCTTATATGTAGATCTATGATTCATTTTTACTTAATTTTTACATATGGTGTGAAATAAAGGTCCAGCTTCATTCCTTTGCATGTGAATATCTAGTTGTCCCAACACTGTTTGTTGAAATACTATTCTTTTCTCCACTGAGTTGTCTTAACACCCTTGTAAAAAATCAGTTGACAGCATGAAAAGGTTTTAAGCTGGGAAAAGATATGATCTGATTCGTATTTTAAAAGGATCAGTCTCTCCAAGAATGGCTTTTAGAGAGGCAAAAACGGAAGTAGAGCTGGGAAGCTGTTAGAATAATCCAAGTTAGTCAAGTAATGGCCAAGACTAGTGGCAGCAAAGGAGATGGCAAGCTTTATAAAGATTGAAGATACTTTGGGAAGACAATTGTCTTGACTCTATGTTTTTGCCACTTTTTCACTTGTCTGTGTCACAGCTGTCTTTTCTACCTTTCCCCATTACATTTTCTCTTAAATGGTCTTGAGAATTTTTTTCTGTTATTTTTGGAAGTGGTTTTTTTTTTTTTTACTTTACTGTTTTTTATTTCCTGTCTGTGATAAAACTCACAACTTATTTGTATCTACACTGTTACTAAAACCACAGCTTATTTGTATCTACACCTATTGTTTCCTTCTTCACTCTTTCCTGGATTCTATCCCTCTTCACCTACTCAGTGATTTTCCTTTGCCAGTTATATCCTGTGTCTTCAGTAGTTCTCCTTCTATAAGCCTTGTCCCATTAGATATAAATTTTCTTAGGTGTATCCCATCTTTTTTTGAGTCAGGTTTTTTAAATGTAATTTATACACAGTAAAATTCACCCTTTTTAATGCATAGTTCAGTGAGTCCTGACAAATGTATATAGTTGTGAAACCATCACCACAGTCAAGAAATAGAACATTTCATCACTCTCAAAAAGTTCCCTCATGTACCTTTGCAGTCAGTCCCTACCCTTCTTCCCCAGCCCTAGCAACTGATTTGATTTCTGTTCCTATAGTTTTGTCTTTTCCAGAATGCAACATAAATGGAGACATAGAGCCTATGGCCTTTTTTCATTGAGTTTTTTCATTTAGTATAATGCTTTTGAGATTCATCCATATTATTATACATCCCAGTAGTTTGTTTTTTAAAATTGTGAAATGATACTCTACTATGTAGATTATTCATTTATCCCCCTGATGGATATTTGGGTTCTTACATGTTTTGGCCATTGTGGATAATGCTGCTATAAATATTTATATATAGATCTTTGGGTAAATTTTTTCATTTCTCCTGAGTAAACACATAGGAGGAGAATTACTGGGTCATTTAGTATGTATATAAGAAACTGTCAAGCTGTTTTCCAAAGTGGATGTACCATTTTGCATTCTTACCAACAGTTTATGAGAGATTTAGTTCTAGTTACTTGACATTCTTACCAACCTTTGGTATATTCATTCTTCTTTTTTTTTTGAGACGGAGTTTCTCTCTTGTTGCCCGGGCTGGAGTGCAATGGTACAATCTCGGCTCACTGCAACCTCTGCCTCCCGGGTTCAAGTGATTCTCCTGCCTCAGCCTCCCGAGCAGCTAGGATTACAGGCACAGGCCACCATGCCCAGCTAATTTTTGTGTTTTTAGTAGAGACGAGGTTTCACCATGTTGGCCAGGCTGGTCTCGAACTCCTGACCTCATGTGATCTGCCTGCCTCGGCCTCTCAAAGTGCTGGGATTACAGGCGTGAGCCACCGTGCCCGGCTGGTATATTCATTCTTTAGTTATAGCTATTCTAGTAGGTGTGTGGTGGTATCTCACTGTGGTTTTTGTTTTCTGTTTTTTTTTTTTATGTGTGTGTGTGTGTGTGATGGAGTTTTGCTCTTTTGCCCAGGCTGGAGTGCAGTGGGGCGATCTAGGCCCACTGTAGCCTCCGCCCCCTGGGTTCAAGCGATTCTTCTGTCTCAGCCTCCTGAGTAGCTGGGATTACAGGCACCCGCCACTATGCCTGGCTAATTTTTGTATTTTTAGTAGAGACAGGGTTTCACTATGTTGGCCAGACTGGTCTCAAACTCCTGACCTCAGGAGATCTACCTGCCTCATCCTCCCAAAGTGCTGGGATTACAAGTGTGAGCCACCACACCCAGCCCTCACTGTGTTTTTAATTTGCATTTCTCTAATGGTTAATGATATTTTCTTGTGCTTATTTGCCATCTCTGCACATCCTTTGGTGAAGGGTCTGTTCAAATCTTGTGTCCATTTTTTATTTGAATGTTTATTCTTATTGGACATTTTGTATGTTCTCAATCCAATTTTTTCTTAGGTGAATGTTTTGTGATTATTTTCTCTCAGTCTGTAGCTTGTCCTTTCATTTTCTCACCAGTATCTTTTAAAAAGAAAGCTTTTAATTTATGTAAAGTCTAATTTATCATTTTGTTGTGATTTGTGATATTTGCTTAATAATCTGGGGCGACAGAAAGTTTTCTACTATGTGCTAAATGTGGAAACAAATGTGAACAAGATATACAAGATACTTGTCTTCATTTTTCACTGAGTTGTCTTCTTTCACAGTTTTAGCTCTTGTATTCGAGCCTGTGATACATTCAAGTTAATTTTTATAAGCAAGGGTCAAGGCTTAGTTTTTTTCATATGGATTGTTCAGCACCATTTGCTGAACGTACTATACACCCCCCCTTGATACCTTTATTTGAAATTAATTGACTATGTGTATGTGGGTTATCCCATATTTTAACAAAGACTCCCTCAACCCCACATGCCCATTTAACTAAAAATGCATCACTTCCACCTCTTCACAACCATTCTTTAAAGTGTGGTCTAGACTGTGCTTCATCATTTCTTTCCTACTCCTCACACTGGCATCTTTCTCTACCATTTCATTAAAACAGTTCTTGCCAGAATCACCAGTGATCTGTGTTCGAGAGTTTTGTCCTTGTTACATGTGACTCTCAATGGTCTTGGACCTTGTTGACCCCTCCCTCCTCTTTCAGACACTTTCTTCACTTGACCAGTGCAACATCTCACCATCCTTCATATTTTTCTTCTGTTTTTCCATTTGCCCCATGCATCTACTTTGATAGTTTTTCTTTTACCCGTTTCTTAGATGTCATTGTCCCTCAGCAATCTGACCAAAGCCCCTTTTCTCTTTGTTCTTTGCATGTTCCCTGCTTATTCCCATTTGTTCCCCTGGCTGAAGAATCTCAAATTTATATCTGACCCAAATCTTTCTGAGATTCATTTCTGCATGTCTAACTGCCTACCAGGACCATAGCTGTATGAGGAAAAAGTACCTTGTATATGTCTTGTTCACATTTATATTCACATGCCAAGCACACAGAACTTAATAACAATTTGTAGACGGACCAAATGAATACACGAACAAACTAAACTGATACTACATATATTCCATGAGTACATGACCAGAGGCACAAAATAAGTAAGTTACTTTTGGAATCACATGCTTTGTCTTCACCATGGCACAGTTTTCCTTTACAGTTGGTAGTAAATCTTCGGATAAAGAGGTGGGAATGAGATTCTGCGCAGGGGCAGGAAGGAGATGCGAGAGTAAAGAGACATTTCTCCAAATGTTGCAAACACTGTTTCTAAGGTTTTCTAGTCCAATAATTGTAATTTCCTCCTGAAATTACGTATATTATTTGGAGAATAAAGTATTTAATGGCTCTATTAAATTCTGATTGTAGCTTTAGCTATAACACATCATTTCTTTTTGAATTTCCACCAAAATTTTTATAAGTTGCTGTAACATTTTTTTTCTGTCTGGATCTCTTTTTATTATTATTATTATTATACTTTAACTTTTAGGGTACATGTGCACAATGTGCAGGTTTGTTACATATGTATACATGTGCCATGTTGGTGTGCTGCACCCATTAACTCGTTATTTAGCATTAGGTATATCTCCTAATGCTATCCCTCCCCACTCCGCCTACCCCACACCAGTCCCTGGAGTGTGATGTTCCCCTTCCTGTGTCCATGTGTTCTCATTGTTCTATTCCCACCTATGAGCTGTAACATTTTTTAAGACCTAAAGCAAGCTTGTCCAACCTGTGGTCCACAGGCTGCATGCAGCCCACGATGGCTTTGAATGCAGCCCAACACAAATTCGTAAACTTTCTTAAAACATCGTGAGATTTTTTTTATTTTTATTTTTATTTTTTAGCTCATCAGCTACCATTAGTGTTAGTGTATTTTATGTGTGGCCCAAGACAGTTCTTCTTCTTCCAATGCGACCCAGGGTAGCCAAAAGATTGGACACTGCTGCCCTAAAGTGATTCTCAAGAGTTATATAAAACAGCACTCCCCAATGTTTTTGGCACCAGTGACCAATTTCATGGAAGCCAATTTTTCCATAGACTGATGGGTGGAGGTGGTGGTGTGGGATGGTTTTGGGATGAAGCTGTTCTACCTTAGATCATCAGGCATTAGTTAAATTCTCATAAGGAGCATACAACCTATATCCCTCCACAATATTGTGAAGTTCACAATAGGGTTTGTGCGCCTGTGAAAATCTAATGCCGCTGCTGATCTGACAGGAGGCAGAGCTCAGGTGGTAATGCTTGTCCACCTGCTGCTCACCTGCTGTGCGGCCCAGTTCCTCACAGGCCACAGGCCCGTAGCAGTCTGCAGCCCAGGGTTGGGGACTTCTGATATAGAAGATGTAAATTTGGTAATGTAGATTCTTTCAGCTCTAATATGATGAAGGTTTTATGATGATCTGAGTGCTCACATCAAAGAATGTATATGCTTGTTATGGATTTCGCATCATGCTGTTGTTTTGGGAATATCTGGGAGAAATATAAGATACAGTACTCCTTGCTGCCCTCAGGGAGCACACACCTTCAAACAGATAAAACACACAGCTACAATCAGCAAATAAACAGAAGCACCTATCAGGCAGTTTGTAGTTTCCTTTGTATGTTACTTGGCAGGAAAAAAGAGGGTGTCCTGCCACTAGACGTGTGTTTTTGGCCTTGCTTGTCACTGCAAGCTGTTATGTAAATATGTTTAGTGTTTTTCCGTATCTGCCCTTTTTCTTTGTTCTGGAGTGTGTTACTCACATTTCTCTATATCTTTCTTTCCTACATTTCAGTGAGCGGTTTCTGGTAAGACTGAACAAGAATGGTGGGCCGAGGAACCCAGAGAAGATAGAACGAATGTGTGCCCTTTTTACAGTATGTACGAATTCTCTTTTTCTTCTTTGCTGTTGACTCTAACCAGTGGCCTGCTATGTGGATACTGTCACCCTGGAAACAAGCATTTAGTCTTATTTCCATATACACTGGGGAGAATAGGACTTGATTTATGTTTCTATTAGGTTTTAATGAAATATTTATAGAAAACTGAAATTATATACAGTTTTAAACTTAATTTTTATTAATGAAATATAATCAAGTACCTTTCACTGATACAGATTTTATAAGCTATTTCATATAATAGACACTTAAAATCTGACAGAACCAGCCTGGACAACATGCCAAAACCCAATCTGTAGAAACAATTCAAAAATTAGCTGGGCATGTGGCGTGTGTCTGTAGTCACAGCTACTTGGGGATGTGAGGCAAGAGGACCGCCTGAGCCCAGGAGGTTGAAGCTGCAGTGAGCCAAGGTTGCACCACTGTACTCCAGCCTAGGTGAAAAAGTGAGACCAGACCCTGTCTCAAAAAAAAAACAAAAAAAAATATGACATAGGTCTTTCTTACTGTTCTTATCCAAGGCCACTGGGAATTTCTCTGAGCTGTATAATTTCTGATGCATAATTTATTTTAAAGGTATCCACCAAGTTTACAGCTTTGTAGTTTGTTAGTGAGTTCATATACAGCAAGACAAACTAAATAGTCCTCTTCCAAATACTAATTGGGGGATTTTTTCCTACTGTGATCTGTACTTTTCTTTATATATATACTTTAAGTTCTAGGGTACATGTACACAACATGCAGGTTTGTTACATAGGTATACATGTGCCATGTTGGTTTGCTGTACCCATTAACTCGTGATTTACATTAAGTATTTCTCCTAATGCTATCCCTCCCCCTGACCCCACACCACAACAGGCCCCCATGTGTGATGTTCCCTGCCCTATGTCCAAGAGTTCTCAATGTTCAAGTCCCACCTATCAGTGAGAACATGCAGTGTTTGGTTTTCTGTCCTTGTGATAGTTTGCTTAGAGTGATGGTTTCCAGCTTCATCCATGTGCCTGCAAAGGACATGAAATCATCCTTTTTTATGGCTGAATAGTATTCCATGGTGTATATGTGCCACATTTTCTTAATCCAGTCTGTAATTGGTGGACATTTGGGTTGGTTCTAAGTCTTTGCTATTGTGAATAGCGCCTCAATAAACATACATCTCCATGTGTCTTAATAGTAGCATGATTTATAATCCTTTGGGTATATACCCAGTAATGGGATCACAGGGTCAAATGGTATTTCTAGTTCTAGATCCTTGAGGAATCGCCACACTATCTTCCACAATGGTTGAACTAGTTTACACTCCCATCAACAGTGTAAAAGCGTTCCTATTTCTCCACATCCTCTCCAGCACCTGTTGCTTCCTGACTTTTTAATGATTGCCATTCTAACTGGCGTGAGATGGTATCTCATTGTGATTTTGATTTGCATTTCTCTGATGACCAGTGATGATGAGCATTTTTTCATGTGTCTCTTAGCTGCATAAATGTCTTCTTTTGAGAAGTGTCTGCTCATATCCTTTGCCAACTTTTTGATGGGATTCTTTGTTTTTACTCTTGTAAATTTGTTTAATTTCTTTGTAGATTCTGGATATTAGCCCTTTGTCAGATGGGTAAATTGCAAAAATGTTCTCCCATTCTGTAGGTTGCCTGTTCACTCTGATGGCAGTTTCTTTTGCTGTGCAGAAGCTCTTTAGTTTAATTAGATCCCATTTGTCAATTTTGGCTTTTGTTGCCATTGCTTTTGGTGTTTTAGTCATGAAGTCCTTGCCAATGCCTATGTCCTGAATGGTACTGCCTGGGTTTTCTTCTAGGATTTTTATGGTTTTAGGTCCAACATTTAAGTCCTTAATCCATCTTGAATTAATTTTTGTATAAGGTGTAAGGAAGGGATCCAGTTTCAGTTTTCTACATATGGCTAGCCAGTTTTCCCAGCACCATTTATTACATAGGGAATCCTTTCCCCATTTCTTGTTTTTGTCAGGTTTGTCAAAGATCAGATGGTTCTAGATGTGTGGTGTTATTTCTGAGACCTCTGTTCTGTTCCATTGGTCTATACCTCTGTTTTGGTACCAGTACCATGCTGTTTTGGTTACTGTAGCCTTGTAGTATAGTTTGAAGTCAGGTAATGTGATGCCTCCAGCTTTGTTCTTTTGGCTTAGGATTGTCTTGGCAATGTGGGCTCTTTTTTGGTTCCATATGAACTTTAAAGTAGTTTTTTCCAATTCTGTGAAGAAAGTCATTGGTAGCTTGATGGGGATGGCATTGAATCTATAAATTACCTTGGGCAATACGGCCATTTTCACGATACTGATTCTTCCTATCCATGAGCATGGAATATTCTTCCATTTGTTTGTGTCCTCTTTTATTTCGTTGAGCAGTGGTTTGTAATTCTCCTTGAAGAGGTCCTTCACATCCCTTGTAAGTTGGATTCCTAGGTATTTTATTCTCTTTGTAGCAATTGTGAATGGGAGTTCACTCATGATTTGGCTCTCTGTCTGTTATTGGTGTAGAGGAATGCTTGTGATTTTTGCACATTGATTTTGTGTCCTGAAACTTTGCTGAAGTTGCTTATCAGCTTAAGGAGATTTTGGGCTGAGATAATGGGGTTTTCTAAATATACAATCATGTCATCTGCAAACAGGGACAATTTGACTTCCTCTTTTCCTAATTCAGTACCCTTTATTTCTTTCTCTTGCCTGATTGCCCTGACCAGAACTTCCAACACTATGTTGAATAGGAGTGGTGAGAGAGGGCATCCCTGTCTTGTGCCAGTTTTCAATGGGAATGCTTCCAATTTTTGCCCATTCAGTACGATATTGGCTGTGGGTTTGTCCTAAATAGCTCCTATTATTTTGAGATACGTTCCATCAATACCTAGTTTATTGAGAATTTTTAGCATGAAGGGCTATTGAATTTCGTCAAAGGCCTTTTCTGCATCTATTGAGATAATCATGTGGTTTTTGTCATTGGTTCTGTTTATATGCTGGATTACATTTATTGATTTGTGTATGTTGAACCAGCCTTGCATCCCAGGGATGAAGCCAACTTGATCGTGGTGGATAGGCTTTTTCATGTGCTGCTGGATTCGGTTTGCCAGTATTTTATTGAGGATTTTTGCATCGACGTTCATCAGGGATATTGGTCTAAAAATCTTTTTTGTTGTTGTGTCTCTGCCAGGCTTTGGTATCAGGATGATGCTGGCCTCATAAAATGAGTTAGGGAGGATTCCCTCTTTTTCTGTTAATTGGAATAGTTTCAGAAGGAATGGTACCAGCTCCTCTTTGTACCTCTGGTAGAATTCAGCTGTGAACCCGTCAGTCCTGGACTTTTTTTGGTTGGGAGGCAATTAATTATTGCCTCAATTTTAGAACCTGTTATTGGTCTATTCAGGGATTCAACTTCTTCCTGGTTTAGTCTTGGGAGGGTGTATGTGTCCAGGAATTTATCCATTTCTTCTAGATTTTCTAGTTTATTTGTGTAGAGGTGTTTATAGTATTCTCTGATGGTAGTTTGTATTTCTGTAGGATCGGTGACGATATCCCCTTTTTCATTTTTTATTATGTCTATTTGTTTCTTCTCTCTTTTCTTTATTAGTCTTGCTAGCGGTTTATCAATTTTGTTGATCTTTTCAAAAAAACAGCTCCTGGATTCATTGATTTTTTGAAGGGTTTTTTGTGTCTCTGTCTCTTTCAGTTCTGCTCTGATCTCAGTTATTTCTTGCCTTCTGCTAGCTTTTAAATGTGTTTGCTCTTGCTTCTCTAGTTCTTTTAATTGTGATGTTAGGGTGTCAATTTTAGATCTTTCCTGCTTTCTCTTGTGGGCATTTAGTGCTATACATTTCCCTCTACACACTGCTTTGAATGTGTCCCAGAGATTCTGGTACGTTGTGTCTTCATTCTCATTGGTTTCAAAGAATATCTTTATTTCTGCCTTCATTTAGTTATTAACCCAGTAGTCATTCAGGAGCAGATTGTTCAGTTTCCATGTAGTTGAGCAGTTTTGAGTGAGCTTCTTAATCCTGAGTTCTAATTTGATTGCACTGTGGTCTGAGAGACAGTTTATTGTGATTTCTGTTCTTTTACATTTGCTGAGGAGTGCTTTACTTCCAACTATGTGTTCAATTTTGGAATAAGTGTGATGTGGTGCTGAGAAGAATGTATATTCTGTTGATTTGGGGTGGAGAGTTCTGTAGATGTCTATTTGGTCCACTTGGTGCAGAGCTGAGTTCAATTCCTGGATGTCCTTGTTAGCCTTCTGTCTCGTTGATCTGTCTAATGTTGACAGTGGGGTGTTAAAGTCTCCCATTATTATTGTGTGGGAGTCTAAGTCTCTTTGTAGGTCTCTAAGGACTTGCTTTATGAATCTTGGTGCTCCTTAGCTCTTCTTGTTGAATTGATTCATTTACCATTATGTAATGCCCTTCTTTGTCTCTTTTGATCTTTATTGGCTTAAAGTCTGCCTTATCAGAGACTAGGATCGCAACCCCTGCTTTTTTTTTTTGCTTTCCATTTGCTTGGTAGATCTTCCTCCATCCCTTTATTTTGAGCCTATGTATGTCTCTGCACATAAGATGGGTCTCCTGAATACACCACAATGATGGGTCTTGACTCTTTATCCAGTTTGCCAGTCTGTGTCTTTTAATTGGGGCATTTAGCCCATTTACATTTAAGGTCAATATTGTTATGTGTGACCTGAGGGACCTGACTGTTAAAAGGAAAACTAACAAACAGAAAGGAAGAGCATCAACATCAACCAAAAGGACATCCACACCAAAACCCTATCTGTAGGTCACCAGCATCAAAGACCAAAGGTAGATAAAAACACCCCACTGTCAATATTAGACAGATCAATGAGACAGAAGGTTATAGGTAGATATTTGATCTTGTCATTTTGATGTTAGCTGGTTATGTTGCCCATTAGTTGATGCAGTTTCTTGCTAGCATCGATTGTCTTTACAATTTGGCATGTTTTTGCAGTGGCTGGTACCAGTTGTTCCTTTCCATGTTTAGTGCTTCCTTCAGGAGCTCTTGTAAGGCAGGCCTGGTGGTGACAAAGTCTCTCAGCATTTGCTTGTCTGTAAAGGATTTTATTTCTCCTTCACTTATGTAGCTTAGTTTGGCTGCATATGAAATTCTGGGTTGAAAATTCGTTTCTTTAAGAATGTTCAGTAGTGGCCCCCACTGTCTTCTGCTTATAGAGTTTCTGCCAATAGATCCACTGTTAGTCTGATGGGCTTCCCTTTGTGGGTAACCTGACTTTTCTCTCTCGCTGCCCTTAACATTTTTTCCTTCATTTCAACTTTGGTGAATCTGACAATTATGTGTCTTGGAGTTGCTCTTCTCAAGGAGTATCTTTGTGGCATTCTCTGTATTTCCTGAATTTGAATGTTGGCCTGCCTTGCTAGGTTGGGGAAGTTCTCCTGGATAATATCCTGCAGAGTGTTTTCCAGCTTGGTTCCATTCTCCCCGTCACTTTCAGGTACACCAATCAGACGTAGATTTGGTCTTTTCACATAGTCCCATATTTCTTGGAGGCTTTGTTTATTTTTACTTTTTTTTTCTCTAAACTTCTCTTCTCACTTTATTTCATTAATTTTATCTTCAATCACTGATACCTTTTCTTCCACTTGATCAAATTGGCTATTGAAGCTTGTGCATGTGTCATGTAGCTCTCGAGCCATGGTTTTCAGCTCCATCAGGTCATTTAAGGTCTTCTCTACACTGTGTATTCTAGTTAGCCATTCATCAAATCTTTTTTCAAAGTTTTTAGCTTCTTTGAGATGGGTTTGAAGATCCTCCTTTAGCTCGGAGAAGTTTGTTATTACTGACCTTCTGAAGCCTACTTCTGTCAACTCATCAAAGTCATTCTCCGTCCTGCTTTGTTCCATTGCTGGTGAGGACCTGCAGTCCTTTGGAGGAGAAGA
This sequence comes from Homo sapiens, assembly GCF_000001405.40. Taxonomy (NCBI): domain Eukaryota; kingdom Metazoa; phylum Chordata; class Mammalia; order Primates; family Hominidae; genus Homo; species Homo sapiens. The sequence continues at coordinate 51,152,571 of NC_000003.12, forward strand.
GGTGCTCTGGTTTTTAGAATTTTCAGCTTTTCTGCTCTGGCTTCTCCCCATCTTTGTGGTTTTATCTAACTTTGGTATTTTATGCTGGTGATCTACAGATGGGGTTTTGGTGTTGATGTCCTTTTTGTTGATGTTGATGCTATTCCCTTCTGTTTGTTAGTTTTCCTTCTAACAGTCAAGTCCCTCTGCTGCAGGTCTGTTGGAGTTTGCTGGAGGTCCATTCCAGACCCTGTTTGCCTGAGTATCACCAGCGGAGGCTGCAAAACAGCAAATATTGCTGCCTGATCCTTCCTCTGGAGGCTTCATCTCAGAGGGGCACCCACCTGTATGAGGTGGTAGTCAGCCCCTACTGGGAGGTGTCTCCCAGTTAGGCTACACGAGGGTCAGGGACCCACTTGAGGAGGCAGTCTGTCCATTCTCAGAGCTCAAACACTGTGCAGGGAGAACCACTGCTCTCTTCAGTGCTGTCAGACAGGGACGTTTAAGTCTGCAGAAGTTTCTGCTGCCTTTTGTTCAGCTATGCCCTGCCCGCCTAGGTGGGGTCTACAGAGGCAGCAGGCCTTGCAGAGCTGTGGTGGGCTCTGCCCGTTGGAGCTTCCCCAGCCGCTTTGTTTACCTACTCAAGCCTCAGCAATGGCAGGTGCCCCTTGCCCGCTACGCTGCTGCCTCGCAGGTCGATCTTAGACTGCTGCACTAGCACTGAGCAAGGCTCTGTGGGCATGGGACCCGTCCAGGATATCCCAGGCACAGGATGTAATCTCCTGGTGTGCCATTTGCTAAGACCGTTGTAAAAGTGCAGTATTTGGGCGAGAGTGTCCCGATTTTCCAGGTACAGTCTGTCATGGCTTCCCTTGGCTAAGAAAGGGAAATCCCCCGACCCATTGCACTTCCCAGGTGAAGCGATGCCCCACACTGCTTCGGCTTGCCCTCCTTGGGCTGCACCCACTGTCCAACCAGTCCCAATGAGATGAACCAGGTACCTTAGTTGGAAATGCAGAAATCACCATCTTCTGCGTCGATCATGCTGGGAGCTGCAGACCGGAGCTGTTCCTATTCGGCTATCTTGGAACAGAATCCCCTTGTTTCTGTACTTCAGTTTTTTCTGAAAAGCCATACTGTTGTTCATGGTCTGTACAACCATGGACCAATCAACTTAGAAAAGGTTTGGAAATCTGCTGATTGGAAAATACCAAACCTCACAATCCCACCTTGCCATGTGTGTTCTTCAAGTTTATTCTGATTTACTAATTTGTTTTTACCTTGTTAAAAACTATCCAGTGGTATTTATTTGAGTTAATTTATTTGCTGTAGAAGAAAACAAGACTGTGTCACAATTTTCAACCAGTTTTGATTATTGTGGATTCTTTGATCTGTTTCAGTGATCCTGAGATACATCAAAACCTATTGGATAGTTTCACAGTGTCACTGACCTTGCTTATGGTGTGTGATTGATGGGACAGATATCGCAAAGATTACATTGGGCCTCTTAAATGCAAATGGGATTTATCTGGAGATCTGATACATGACTTTCTATAAAAGCTGCAGTTATATTTGTTCACCTCACTTTTTAGTTCATTACTGCAACTTTATCTTTCAGAACATCAAATGATGTTACTGCAGAATCAGAAACCACTTTCACAGGGATAGCTTTTATTGATAATGCTCCAGATGTATGGAAAGATTTATAAATCTAGCTAAGCTTAAATAATATGTTGTCCATCTTTGAGCTTAGCAGTAAAGGCTTAGGAGATAATGCAAGGAGAAAGAACAGGAAGAGCAGACCCATGATGGCGGTTAAGGGAGTTAAGATGGCTTAGTCTGGGAAGATCAGCACTCTGTCTTCAATTGGAAAAGAATGAAAGAAAGAATCTAAATTGTAGTAAATGGGATTTAGGTTAGTCTATTGGCTGAGAGCTTCTGAAGTGAGAGTTCCTGAACACTGAGGTGGTTTTGTAGGACCTCCTTTCTGAAACAGAATTAGTAAGAGACACCCACCTTCTAGAATGTCTCAGTAACCTTAGGAGGTTTTTCTAAATTCTGATTCTCTGATATTTCCTGGTAAAGCATCAGGAGAAATTGTTGATTCCTTGTTTCTTGGATTTGTGGGAACAGAGCTGCGTGCATGTACTGTCTTTGAATTCTTGAATATGATGAGTACAGTCTTTGACTTTTTAAAAATGAACTTAATTAGGGTGGCATTTGAATGTAATTACAGTAAATTAAAATTTTCATTTAGCATTTTAATTATCCATATGAGCCCAGAGGCCAAAGCTATAGCTCCAACTTTATTGCACATAACATGCATGATGTGCTCTTGTTCTGCCACAATGGGAAGGCACAGGGTGCTAAATATGCTATTAATACTTCCATAATTCTGTTTGTAGTGCAGCCCTGAATTTATTTATTTTTTATTTTTTATTTTTGCAGTCAGGGTCTCACTCTGTGGCCCAGGCTTCAGTGCAGTGGCCTGATCATAGCTCACATAAAAACCTTGAACCTTTGGGCTCTAAGCAATCCTCCTGCCTCGGTCTCCTGAGTAGTGGGGCTATAGGCGCACACCATGCTTGGCTAATTTTTTTTTTTTAAGAGATGGCGTCTTGCTATTTTGCCCAGGCTGGTCTTGAACTGCTGGCCTCAAACAACCCTCCCACCTTGGCCTCCCAAAGTGCTGGGATTACAGGTATGAGTCACTGTACCCAGCCCAGCCCTGCCCTGGATTTTTTAAAAAGGTCCGAAACATGATTTGAGGATTTTTTACAAAGCACACAAGATTTCTGAACAAGATTATCTTAGCCAGGATTTTTATGTTTTACTTTAAGCTCTATGAAATTATATAGGTGGGACCTGTTTTCTCATTATCTGAGACTTGAGTTCTTCCTATGAGCTAAAGGAGTTTCCTAGATTGATGTGTGTGCTGCAAAGTCTCAGAGTAAATGCAAGAAAATGTAGCCACAACTATGGTTGATGCTGACCTTTTAGCTTACCTTAGAATAGGGAAAAGGGAATCATACAAACTGAGCAGATTACGAGGTTACTCAGCACACTTCAGAGCCACATTAAAGTCACATTATTTGGCATGGCCTTTATTCTCTTTGAGGCCTTAGTTTTTCTGACTTGGTTAGATTTTAGGGTTTCCTACCAAGGAAGAATTTTATCCAAGGAGAATATGTTTTATACTTACGTGGACGGCCAATACAATGAGGATTTTGCTGACTTTCATGCTAAACAATGGCTCTATATACAAATGTGTGAAAGTATATCTATTCGTATTTACTCATTTTTAGATATTCAGGACCTCATACACACTGCCGGCAAGGTGTCAGTAATGATTTGTTACATAAACAAATGAATAAATGTTTATTTGCTGTCATATTTAAGTGACCAACTCAGAGAATGAATTTGTACAGTTTTCCAAGTATTAGTTGTCATTTTATTTTATATATTTATTTATACTCTTCTACATTCCAAGATAGAATTTTAAGTAGTGATTTTTTAGAGTTCAGAATTGAACTTGATTATTACTATAATAACATTATGTATTAAAATACTACCTTATTTTCTGCAACTTACGTATGAATAAGCTGGTTTTATTTTGTATTTGAAAATCCCATTATCTCCCAAAAAAAAGGAGTGTCCCAGGCACAGGGAAGTTAATTAACTTTTTCGTGTTTCAGATGAGTGAGTCTAAGATGCTCGACCCTAAGTCATTGTCCTCAATTGTCTCTTCTACACACTGTTTAGTTGGGAGCAGCTTCCTAGTTAAGTAGGATTAGAGAGTTTGGTCCAGTGAACAAATCTAATTCCTGCCATGTAATCAGGACTGAAATCCTGCTCACCAGATGAATGGTAGATACATCACCCTTCTTATCTTTCTTTTACAGGTCATGTGAGTAATATAATGTAGATAACCACCCTTGGTGCTTAGTCTTGAAGAATATATGTTTAACAAACCTTATGGTAACTGTGTTTAGTCATACACCTATATTTAATAAGATAGCTTTTATATTGAAATTCTGTGGAACTCACAAATAATAATTTTGCTTAAAATATTTTCTTGCACTAATTATTGTCTTATTTCTATTGATGTCAAATAAATTCCACTGAAAGTTCTGGATGCTGTGTACATGATTGTCAGAAAGAGCCCCTACTCAGCCACTTGAAAAATACCATAAATTATACTTAAGGCTTCTTTTATTCACTCAGCAGAGTCAAGGGAAACATTTAGCTTGAATTCCATAGGTACATTGGAGTCAGTGATTATACGAGTCATTTGATAGTTTGGATGTACACAATCCAGGCTGTGTAGGAGGAACCATTTCACTTTGAAATGTGTTGAACATTTCTATATCCTTCAGTAATCAACATCTTTCAATTCAAAAAAGTATATAAAAATGGTAACCTGGTTTTCAATTTTCACTTGGATAGTACCATCTTAATAAGTATCAAAATATAGCACTATTTTAATAATATTATTTTTAATTCCATGTTTAAAAGAATTAGTGAAATGGGGCCTGAAACATCCTTTTTCAATATCAAACACAACTTTCATGTAAAAATATATCTTTGTGATTCCAGATATCAATTTATGTTTATTTTGTAACCTGTTTCATTATAAACATACTTTATTATTTTAAGAACTTGACAAAATATTATAACCATCTAAAAGCTTCAGTTTCACCACTACATATTACTTTTTTTTTTGAGACGGAGTCTCTCTGTCACTGGAGTACAGTGGCACAATCTGGGCTCACTGCAGCCTCCACCTCCCAGGTTCAAGCCATTCTCCTGCTTCAGCCTCCCGAGTAGCTGGGATTACAAGTGCGTGCCGCCACACCCTGCTAATTTTTGTATTTTTAGTAGAGATGGGGTTTCACCATGTTGGCCAGGCTGGTCTCGAACTCCTGACCTCAAGCGATCCTCCCACCTCGGCCTCCCAGAGTGCTGGGATTACAGACATATGCCGCCATGCCTGGCCCACATATTACTTCTTAGTGTCTCCTTTTCTTTCATATGTTTAAGGCCATTTAATAGGGCGAGGCTGGGACTAGGCTAAGGCAAACAAAGCACAGGATCTTGAGGAGCGAGTGCCTTCTTAAATTTTGTACCTTAGGTGCCTTGCTTGCCTCACACTAGTGCTAACCCTGCAACAGGGTTTACAAATTAAGAAACATGGAGACTCTGAATCTCTAAGCTCATTCCAAATCATGACTGCCATTTGATTGTACCTTTTTTTTTTTTTTTTTTTTTGAGACGGAGTCTCGCTCTTTTGCCCAGGCCGGACTGCAGTAGCGCTGTCTCTTTCTCGGCTCACTGCAAGCTCTGCCTCCCGGGTTCATGCCATTCTCCTGCCTCAGCCTCCCGAGTAGCTGGGACTACATTTTTTTTTTTAATTGAAGAGAGACAGGCATCTGGGGTCAATCAAAAGATGAAAGAGGAAAAGGAAATGGAACTAAGGGAGCCTTTCCTAGAAGCGAAAGGGAGATCACAGAAACCTGTCACATTAAGGACAAAGGTTATTCCATCAAGTATCATTAACTCGCAATAATGGCTGAGAGAGCAGCAAGAAAAATCTGAAACAGAATATATATTAAAGAATTTTTGTTATTTCAAGTACAATACATTTAAAAAGCATAATGCGTACTCATCAACAAACATTTCAACATATGTTCTAAACACAAATAGAATGATTATCAGATTGGGCATGGTAACTAACACCTGTAATCTCAACACTTTGGGAGGCTGAGGCAGGAAGATTGCTTGAGCCTAGAAGTTTGAGACCAGCTCTGGCAACATAGCAAGACCCCATCTCTACAAATAATTTTAAAAATAGCTGGGCATGATGGTGCACACCTGTAGTACCAGTTACTTGGGAGGCTGAGGTGGGAGAATCGCTTGACCCAGAGGACAAGGCTGCAGTGAGCCGTGATCGCACCACTGCACTCCATCCTGGTGACAGAGCAAGATCTTGTTTTTTAAAGAAAAGGAAGAAAGAAAGAAAGAAAAAGGAATGATTTTCATAACTCTTTGGTTTGGAAATTTTCTGATTCTGGATCATATGTGTTTACTTAAAGGAAACCCTTAATTTTTTTCAATAAGATTATTTTCAACTATAATTTAGTACAAATGATAAATATCAGAATTTAGAAATAGAAATCAAATTATTGAGGTTTCACTGATATCAAATTAATCTCTTTTAAGTGGAACAACTTCGTGTGTAATAATCATTTGTGGACAGAGGAATCAATGTAAAATTAGTGGAGAACAAACTTATAGAATTTTAGTTATTGATGAGCTTTTTGGTGTTTTCCCAATTTTTTCTTTACTGAACATTTATTCCTTCTGTTACAGAATGTTTTTATATGATGTTAGAGTAAACATGGAATAAGGCGATATCATGAAGATTTCTAATGTGAGAACTTTTATAGACTTTTTATTTGTTAAGTGGTCTAAATGAGAGCTGGAAAAATGTTGTCAATAGAATAAACTTCCAAAGCCATATAAGATATCCAGACTTTCACTGCAGACATCTTATAAACCATTAAAGTGCTATATGCTGTAATCTCCCTTCCCCTGCCTATAACATACAGTAAAAGCAAATGACTAGAGATTCAAAATGAATTTTTAATTATTTTCTGTGTATTCCTTGCCTGAATTTACTTATTTTTTCTCTTAGGATCTGAGCAGCAAAGATATGAAGAGAGATTTGTATATCGTTGCCCATGTGATCCGAATAGGTACTGTTCACCTTACCCATTCACATGACTAAGAATGGCCCAACTTGGGATAAGTATGTCTTGTGCATGAGCTTTGTTTTCTCCCTAGATCTTACCTGTAATTTCAGGTCTCAGGATTAGAGTCCAGCTTGTATTGAAGCTATACCTAAGCTCAACTGCTATGGTAGCTTGGTTTGATATAAATGGATTCGGGGGGGTGGGTTTTGTTTGTGTTTTTTAATCACTTAAAACCTTCTGCTCCCTGTTTTTAGACCCAAACTTTTTATTTAAAATGGTCTACTTCTAGACATTATTTCTAACACAGTGCCCTACCCTTTCCCTCAGAGATCTTATAGCAGGTTTCCAGAGGTGCCAACTTCACAGCAAAGGCCATTCACCACCTATTGTTTGTGTTTGAAATTATGTATCTGTGGCTCTCTCCACAAAATTAGAGTTATTGTCATCACTCCAGAAGATGGATGACATTTCACTTCTACCCCACCCAAGATGAAAAAGTGATTTTTACTACTGTTCTGTGGTTGGTTTGCTCAGACTTATTTCAAGTTTATGATACAACTTTTGGGGCTATGGTGAACCAAGTCCTCCTTCATAGGTTTGAGTTTTGGCCTATCATGTACATTTTTATCAAAGAATATTTTTTAATCCCTTGCCAACAAAACAGCTATTTGCTGTACTAAATAAAGTGTTTGTTAAGGTTCCAGCATTTGCAAGTCTTCTTGCCACTGTAGGCACAGCTTTGGTAAGCAGGAAAAGTAAACACTCATCCACTTTCTAAGACTACTCTCAGTCCCACAATTGTTCAAGATGATGTTTGACAGCAGAATTTGGTTGAAAGAACACAGTATCCTCCTTGTCTGTGCATATGCAGTTTATACCTGGCAGCTAAAATACTAAACTTTGTATCTAAAACATACCTGAGAAGTTTAAATTTATTATTAGCACACTGGTTTTTCTAAGAAATTCATAAAATCACTTTTATTCTCATGTGATTAATAAATGGAGTGTTGATATTGGTTTAGAGTTAGATAAGAATGATTGATTGAATGTAGTACAGGGAAGAGCTTTGGCCAGAGGCCTGTTTGGTGTTCTTCCACATAAATATCCTTGGATGACTCCCTTCAGCCCTGTAGTCTTCACCTTAGAGGATTTCCTAGGTGCCTGTAGCTCAGGCATCCTTGGATGACAATTAGGTGATACTGGAGAGGAGCATGCTTTTCTCAGTCTGACTGGTGTTTTCTGCTGTGCCCAAGGCCGGATGCTCCTGAACGACTCAAAGAAAGGTCCTCCTCACCTGCACTACAGGCGACCATATGGCTGTGCGGTCCTAAGCATCTTGGATGTCCTACAGTCACTCACAGAAGTAAAGGAAGAAAAGGATTTTGTTCTTAAGGTTTACACGTGAGTAATGGACATCAGGAATATTAATGATTTGTAGCATAAGACATCCCAGCACTGCCCTTGAGAGTAGTAGTGCTCAAACCTTGTGGACACAGGCCACGCAGTGGCTCACGCCTGTATTCCCAACACTTTGGGAGGCCAAGGTGGGCAAATCACAAGGTCAGGAAATCGAGACCATTCTGGCTAACACGGTGAAACCTCGTCTCTACTGAAAATACAAAAAATTAGCCAGGCGTGGTGGCACGTGCCTGTAATCCCAGCTACTCAGGAGGCTGAGGCAGGAGAATTGCTTGAACCTGGGAGGCAGAGGTTGCAGTGAGCTGAGATTGCATCACTGCACTCTAGCCTGGGCAACAGAGCGACACTCCGTTTCAAAGAAAAAAAAAAAAAACAAAAACACCTTGTGGACACAGAATCACCAGGATGTAGGAAAAGGAGCTTTTTGAAAATGCAGAAGATTGGCCGGGCACGGTGGCTCACGCCTGTAATCCCAGCACTTTGGGAGGCCAAGGCAGGCGGATCACGAGGTCAGGAGATCGAGACCATCTTGGCTAACACAGTGAAACCCTGTCTCTACTAAAAATACAAAAAATTAGCTGGGTGTGGTGGCGGACGCCTATAGTCCCAGCTACTCGGGAGGCTGAGGCAGGAGAATGGCGTGAACCTGGGAGGCGGAGCTTGCAGTGAGCTGAGATCATGCCACTGCACTCCAGCCTGGGCAACAGAGTGAGACTCCGTCTCAAAAAAAAAAAAGAAAGAAAAAAAGAACAAAAAAATAAAATGCGGAAGATTGATCTAAGATTTGGGGTGGGGCCCAGGCAGCATTATTTTTAATAAGCTTCCCAGGTAATTCTGAAACAGCTTCATTTGGGACCTTCTATCCCAAAGTGAAAATCTGGTAGTACACATTTTCTTTTTTCTCCAGAATTAACCAATCTTATATATTTGCAGAAAAGCTAACAATATGCTTCTCATGTGTCTTGGCTATGAGAGTCTTGCATGTCTAATGCTTGCCCACCAGTTATTATAACTGAGCTGGCTAATGATCAAGATTGTTTAAAAGAATGATCATGAGTCGAATTTCTCTATCTTTGAAAGATAGCCCATTTTTCTGAGGAGCTAAGATATTATTCTTCACTTGTGCCACTGGAGATCGATAAGTCACATCCAACCAGGCATGGCATTATTTTTAGTGTTCTTCAACCAAAGGATATTGTCTTAGATAAGCAGTCCATCTCCTTCTAACTTGTTAAACAATAGGAAAAACACAATAATGAAAATAAATGCAGAATTCAGTCATATACTCTATCTTTGCTCATATAGTTAGACACAAATTGTAGTGCTAAAAAAATGATCAGTGGTGAGTTTAGTAAGTTTTTAAAGCAAGTATATTTAAAACTGTGAGAATTTTTAAAAACTCATCTTTCAGTTTAAAAACCCAATATTGTTTATCCAAATTAAATAAAATACTTCCAATCACCATGTTAATGTATCTTCACCATAATATCGTATAGATATTTTTCTGTATTATCTGTTGCTCTGTCTGACTTGGGCATGAAATAAGCTTAATTCACAATTTCTGTTAAGCCACATTTGATTAATTTCAAAATAAAAACCCAATCTCCTCATTACCTATTTTCCCTTAAGCTTTGTTCCTTTCAGAGTTGTATACTTTATGGGATGAGGATCTTCCTTTGGAATCATAACTTACAAAGAAAATTTTGGCTGGTTTTCTCCTCCTTCCATGCATCAGTCACAGGCTTTCTCCATTTACCAAATCCCCAAATTGATGGGTGGTGGAACCTGCTTGTTTATATGCCTTCCTCCCTTTGAAAAGGACTAAAGAGAAATCCAAAATCATCATCATTATCATCTTACTCCACTGTATTCCTTCCAAGGGCAAGGGATTTATAGATAGCACTCCAGAATTGTTATCTCTTTGCATGTATTATGCCTTCCTTGTTTTGGTGCAAATTTTCATTACAGATAGGAGCTTGCACAGCATTCCTCCTGAAATCATGCTGTCAGGCTTAATTGGCCTAATTGCTTCTAAAGCAACAGCTTTCTGCAAGAAACAGGATTCATGTATGTATTTTTCTTAGTTCCTTCTTATGGATGGTCTGTGTCTAATAAAGTAGTTCTAAAAAGATGAAAAAAATATGTTTATAGAGAAGATTTTTTTTCAAATTTTCTTTTGAAGGATTAATAGAGTTAAAATGTACAATAATTTTTCCACTTGAAAATGTTAACAGACTTTCAAGCAGACTATCAAATGCATGTTTGTGAAATTGATTTTGTGTGCAATATAGAATTATTCTAGGATTAGTCATTTTAATCCACATCAGCACAGTGAATCTAGCCCTCAGGAGAAGCAATATTTTCCAGTAAGTTTCAGGCAACATTTTTGTTGGTTAGATTGAATTGGAAGCTTAAAGAGTTTACTAATTGCTATTGATAGTTCTTTAGCCTTTGCTAGGATGGGATTTTACAAAGATGAAAACCTCTTACACAGTTTTAATGAATGAGTTGGCAAATATCCGATTAGTTGTTCACATTCTTATCATTTCTTTCATTGTTCATAGTCAGCCTTAGCCAGAGAAGGTAGAAACTCCTGTCTGTCTCTGCCAAGGCCACTATTCTGCTGTATAATGTTTTCACTTGTGTATGGGAAGGCACCACACATCCTTTTAAGAAAATAGCAAAAAAAAAAAAAATTGCAATAAGAAGCTGAGGCATGAAAACTAAGTCACTTCCTAATGAGTCAAAAGCCTTAAAACTCACAAATAAATAACCATATGTACATTTCAGTCTGATATAGATACCATATTTTTCTTGACCCGAAGGACAAGGGGTCACAAGCAGGCACAGGGCATGCTGTACTTAGAACCCAAAAGGAGAGGAGTGCCAGGAGCTAAAGCCAACATTGGAGGGGGTGGGTGTCCATAAATAATGCACGTAACCAAATACAAGATGGCTTTGAATATGTGATGATCACTGTCCAGTTTTACAATGAAAAATGTCCAAATATATTTAGGCCAACCTTAATGAAACAGATAAATACATATTTTGAATATTAAATTTTTAATTTGGATTACAGTATATTTTATATTATAAAATATGTATTACAAATTATGTACTCAATCACATATTATGTAAAATTGAGATATATTGCTCATTCTTGGCTCTCAAATTTTATGAAAAAATTTATTTAAATTATTCATATGCAGCCATGTCATCGGGTCTTTGTCTTCACTTAAGCCACTTTCTGAATTATCTGATACAGTTTTCCAAGGCACATTATTTTTACTCCCACCAGATTGGCTTTAATGCATCATTCTTTGACACTTTCATGATGCTTTCACACTGGAAATTCATCTTGAGGCACAAGATGATACCGCCACTTACTATGCTACTTTTATGGTGATTTTTACAATAGCATTTAACACGTCAATTTGGTGATCATACCCCAACCATAATTACTAAATCTGTGTAGCTTTGCTCTTTTTTAAAAAAATGTCTTTTAACCAATTCTGCCAGATAACCTTCATAAGCATCTAAAAACTCCCATTGATTGAGGTAATTTCAGATTAACATAACTTACCCGAACAGTGCTGTGATGTTCAAAATAAAGAGATTCAGGCCGGGCGCGGTGGCTCACGCCTGTAATCCCAGCACTTTGGGAGGCTGAGGCAGGCGGATCATGAGGTCAGGAGATTGAGACCATCCTGGCTAACACGGTGAAACCCCGTCTCTAGTAAAAATACAAAAAAATTAGCCAGCCATGATGGTGGGCACCTGTAGTCCCAGCTACTTGGGAAGGCCGAGGCAGGAGAATGGCGTGAACCCGGGAGGCAGAACTTGTAGTGAGCTGAGATGGCGCCACTGCACTCCAGCCTAGGTGACAGAGCGAGACTCCGTCTCAAAAAAAAAAAAAAAAAAGGAGGAGAGTCAGAGAATGCCCCATATCATGAAAGGCTTTTTGAGGCCAGAAATATCAAGTGGCATACACCTACTATGTACCCACAAAAATTAAAAATGTAAAGAAATAAACTTCTTTTAATTAAAGCAATATTAGGTGGCAACCTCTTCTGTGAGTGATGACTGGAAGGGAACTGCTCCTCATATTTGGGATAGACACTAGGCCTATTCAGGCATTTTTTGAGAATACTGTCTTTGGGTTCTTTGCTTCATAACCATCCTATCCACGAAACTGTCTTAAGAGTACTTGTTTAGGAGCCTTTTTTTTTTTTTTTTTTTGAGACGGAGTCTCACTCTGCCAAGGCTGGAGTGCAGTGGCGCAATCTCACCTCACTGCAGCCTCCGCCTCCCAGATTCAAGCCATTCTCCTCTCTCAGCCTCCCGAGTAGCTGGGACTACAGGCACTCGCTGCCACGCCCGGCTAATTTTTGTATTTTTGGTAGAGATGGGGTTTCACCATGTTGGCTAGGATGGTCTTGATCTCCTAACCTCGTACTCAGCCTCCCAAAGTGATGGGGTTACAGGCGTGAGCCACCACGCCTGGCCAGGAGTCATTCTTAAATGGAAGCACATTCTGAAATGGGTGAAGGCCCATTGGGCCATCCTCTTTTTATCCCCTAGCCTTATTGAGTTATAATTGACAAATAAAAAATTGTGCACATTTAAATTGTACAACATGATGATTTGATATACATAAACATTGTCGGATGATTACCACATTCAAGCTAAGGAACATATTCATCACTTGACATATTTACTTTTCTTGTGGTAAGAACACCTAATGTTTACCATTTTAGCAAATATACAATATAGCGTTATTAACTATAGCTACCATGCTGTACATAAATCTCCAGAAGTTATTTATCTTACAACTGAAAGTTTGTGTCCTGAGATGAACATTTCTCCATTACCTCCTCTTTTCCACTATCCTCTAGCCCCTGGCAACCACCGTTCTACTCTCTGCTTCTATGAATGACTTTTTTAGATTCCTCATATTAGTGAGAGATTATGTAGTATTTGTCTTCCATATCTGACTTATTTTGCTTAGCACAGTGCCCCCTAGGCTTGTCCATGTTGTCACAAAAGCAGGATTCCCTTTTTTATTATGGATGAATAATCTGTTATATGTATAATTGATACATAATTTTTAATTCTATACCATTATTTATTATATTTCAAAAGATAAAATAGATGTATTTATCTCAGTGGCCATCTCAAGTAAATATAATTACATTGGGAATTGACAGATGAATAATAAAGAAAATATATAATTCCTCATTCATCCGTCACTTCCCATTGTAATTATATATTCTTTATTATGTATAATTATATATATTATTTTTATTCAAAGAACTATATGTATATATATTCTTTTTTTTTTTTTTTTGAGACAGAGTCTCACACTTGTCACCCAGGCTGGAATGCAATGGCGCAATCTCAGCTCACTGCAACCTCCACTTCCCGGGTTCAAGCAATTCTCCTGCCTCAGCCTCCCGAGTAGCTGGTATTACAGGTGCCCACCACCATGCCCAGCTAATATTTGTATTTTTGGTAGAGATGAGGTTTCACCATGTTGGCCAGGCTGGTCTCGAACTCCTGACCTCAGATGATCCGCCTGCCTCAGCCTCCCAAAGTGCTGGGATTATAGGCATGAGTCACCATGCCTGGCCTATGTATATTCTTTATTATTCATCTGTTGATGGCTGCTTGTTTCCATATCATGGCTAGTGTATATAATACTGCAATAAACCTGGGAGTGCAGATATCTCTTCAAGATAGTGATTTCTTTTTCTTTGGGATATACCAGAAGTGCGATTGCTGGATCAAATAGTTGTTCTATTTTTAATTTTTTGAGGAACTGCCATACCATAATGGCTGCACCAATTTACATTTCCATCAACAGTGTTCAACAGTTCCCTTGTCTTCACACTCTTGTCATCACTTGTTATCTCTTGTTTTGTGATTACAGCCATCCTAAGAGATGTGAGGTGATATCTCATTTTCTTTTTGATTTGTATTTTCCTGATGGTTGGTGATATTGAGTACCTTTTCATATACCTGTTGGCCATTTGTGTGTCTTCTTTGGGAAAACGTCTTTCAGGCCTTTTTGCCTGTTTTGTAATTGAGTTATTTGTTTTTATGCAATTCAGTTATATGAGTTCTTTATATAGTTTTAGATATTAATCCCCTATCAGATATATGGTTTACAAATATTTCTTCTCATTCCATAGATTGCCTTTTTGTTTTGTTGATTGTTTCCTTTGCTGTGAAGAAGGTTTTTAGTTTGATATAGTTCCATTTATTTATTTTGGCTTGCCTGTGTATCTGTTGTCATATCTCAAAAAATCACTGCTAAGACCCAATGTCAAGGAGCTTTTATTTCTGTTTTCTCCTAGTTTTACAGTTTTAGGTCTTATATTTAAGCATTTAATCTCTTTCGAGTTAGTTTTTGTGTTTTATGTCAGATAAGGTCCTATTTCATCCTTTTATATGTGGATGTACAGTTTTCCCAGCATCACTTATTGAAAACTGTCCTTTCCCCATTGTGTATTCTTGGTACCCTTGTCAAAGACTAGTTCACTGAGTTTATTTCTGGGATCTGTATTCTGTTCCATTGGTCTATGTGTCTGTTTTTATGGCATTACCATATTATTTTGATTACTGTAACTTTACAACATTATTTGAAATCAGGAAGTGTGATGCCCCTAGCTTTGTCCTTATTTCACAAGATTGCTTTGGGTATTCAGAGACTTTTGTGGTTCCATACAAATTTCAGGATTGTTCCTTTCTATTCCTGTGAAAAATGTCATTTGGAATATTGATACAGGCTGCCTTGAATCTGTAGATCACTTTTGGTATTATATGGATATTTTGAAAATATTAATTCTTCCAATTTATGAACACTGGATTTTTTTTCATTTATTTGTGTCTTTTTCAATTTCTTTCATCAGTGTTTTATAATTTTCAGTAAATAGATCATTCACTTTCTTGGTTAAATTATTCCTAAATATTATATATTTTTGATGCTATCATAAATGACATTGTTTTCTTAACTTTTTTGGAGAGCTTGTCATTAGTATATAGAAATATTGCTGATTTTTTATGTTGATTTTGTCTCCTGCTACTTTACCGAATTTTATTCTAACAGTTTTTTGATTGAATCTTTAGGCTTTTTATATGTATATAAGGTCATGTCATCTGCAAACAGAGACAGTTGAACTCCTTCACTTCCAGTCTGGATGTGTCTAATTTTTGTTTGCCTGATTGCTCTGGCTAGAACTTCTAGTACTGTGTTGAACAAAAGTGATGAGAGTGGACATCTTTGTCATGTTTCTGATCCTAGAAAAAAGGCTTTTAGCTTTTCACTATTGAATATGATATTAGCTGTGGGCTCATGGTAAATGGCCTTTATTTCTTATATATCTAATTTATTGAGAGTTTTCATCATGAAAGGATGTTAAATTTTGTCAAACACTTTTTCTACATCTGTTGAAATGGTCACTCAGTGCTATGCACTATCAAACTACTAGTGACATTCTTCACAGAACTAGAAAAAACTATTTTAAAACTCACATGGAACCAAAAAAGAGCCCGAATGGCTAAGGCAATCCTAAGCAAAAAGAGCAAAGCTGGAGGCATCATGCTACCTGACTTCAAGCTATACTACAGGACTGCAGTAACCAAAACAGCATGGTACTGGTACAAAAACAGACACATAGACAAATAGAACAGAATACAGAGCCCAGAAATAAGGCAGCATGCCTACAACAATCTGATCTTCAACAAAGCTGACGAAAGCAAGCAATGGGGAAAGGACTCCCTATTCAATAAATGACACTGGGATAACTTTCTAGCAATAAGTATAAGATTGAAATTGGACCCCTTCCTTACACCATATACAAAAATCAACTCAAGATGGATTAAAGACTTAAGCATGAAACCCGAAACTATAAAAACTCTGGTAGACAACCTAGGCAATACCATTCTAGACATAGGAATGGGCAAAGATTTCATGATGAAAATGACAAAAGCCATCGCAACAAATGCGAAAATTGACAAATGGGATCTAATTAAACTAGAGAGTCTGCATGGAAAAAGACACTATCAACAGAGTAAACAGAGAACCTATAGAAATAGGAGAAAATATTTGCAAACTATGCATCTGACAAAGGTCCAATATCTAGCATTGATAAGGAACTTAAACAAATTTACAAGAAAAAGGAATGCCATTAAAAACTGGGCAAAGGACATGTATAGACACCTTCAAAAGAAGACATACATGTGGCCAACAAGCATATGAAAAAAAGCTAAACATCACTGATCATTAGAGAAATGCCAACCAAAATCACAATGAGATACCATCTCACACCAGTCAGAGTGGCTATCATTAAAAAGTAAAAAAATAACAGATGCTGGTGAAGTTGCAGAGAAGAGGGAACACTTATACACTGTTGGTGTGAGTATAAATTAGTTCAACCATTGTGGAAAGCAGTATGTTGATTCCTCAAAAACCTAAAAGCAGAACTACCATTTGACCCAGCAATTCCATTACTGGATATATACCCAAAGAAATATGAATTTTTCTATCATAAAGACACATGCACATGTATGTTCATTGTAGCACTATTCACAATAGCAAAGACATGTAATCATCCTAAATGCCCATCAATGGTAGACTGCATAAAGAAAATGTGGCACATATACACCATGGAATACTATGCAATCATAAAAAAGAAAAAGATCCTGTCCTTTGCAGGAACGTGGGTGGAGGTGGAGGCCATCAATCTTAGCAAACTAACTCAGAGACAGAAAACCAAATACCACATGTTCTCACTTATATGTGGGAGCTAAGTGGTGAGAACACATGGACACAAAGAGGGGAACAGCAGACACCGGGGCCCACCTGAGGATGAGGGTGGGACGAGGGAGATGAGTAGAAAAAATAACTATTGGGTACTAGGCCTAGTACCTGGGTAATGAAATAATCTGTACAGCCAACCCTTATGATACGAGTTTACCTATATAGCAAATCTGCACATTTACCCCTGAACCTAAAATAAAAGTTAAAAAAAAAAAAAGAAATGGTCATATTATTTGTATCCTTCATTTTCTTAATGTGGTACGTCACATTTATTGATTCATGTATGTTTAACCATCGTGCTATCCCAGGGATGAATCTCACTTGATTGTGGTATATGATCCTTTCAGTGTGTTATTGGATGTGGTTTGCTAGTATTTTGTTGAGAAGTTCTGCATCTGTGTTCATCAGAAATTTTGCATCTGTGTTCATCAGACTTGTAATTTTCTTTTTTTTATGGGTTTAATATCTAAAATCTGAAATGCTCCAAAATCTGAAATTTTTTAGTGCTGATATGATTCTCAAAAGAAAATGTTCATTGGACATATTGGGTTTCAGATTTTCAGATTAGGAATGTTCAACCAGTAAGTATAATGCAAATATTCCAACATCTGAAAAAATTAAAAATCTGAAACAATTCTAGTCCCAAGCATTTTAGATAAGGGTTACTCAACCTATAGTCTTTTTATCTGACTTTACTATCAGGATAATGTTGGCATTGTAAAATGGGTTTGAAAATGATCCCTTCACTTCATTTTTTTTTGCGGGGGAGTTTGAGAAGGATTGACATTAATTATTTTTCAAATGTTTAGTAGACTTCACCCATGAAGCCTTTTGGTCCTGGGCATTTCTTTGTTGGGAGATTTTTGATTACTGCTTCTGTATTCTTATTATTGATTTTTTTTTATTCTTTATGATTCAATCTTGGTAAGTTGTATGTTTCTAGGAATTTATCCATTTTCTTAGGTTATCTAATTTCTTAACATATAATTGTACATAGAAGTTTGTTATGATAACTTTGTGTTTCTGTAGTATCAGTTGTAATGTTTCCTCTTTCATTTATAATTTTATTTATTTGAGTCTTCTCTCTTTGTGTTCTTGGTTAATTCAACTAAAGATTTGTCAGCCGGGCGCGGTGGCTCACGCCTGTAATCCCAGCGCTTTGGGAGGCGAAGGCGGGCGGATCATGAGATCAGGAGATCAGGACCATCCTGGCCAACATGGTGAAACCCCATCTCTACTAAAAATACAAAAATTAGCTGGGTATGGTAGCACACACCTGTAATCCCAGCTACTCGGGAGGCTGAGGCAGGAGAATGGCTTGAACCCAGGAGGCAGAGATTGCAGTGAGCCAAGATTGTGCCACTGCACTCCAGCCTGGCCACAGAGCAAGACTCCATCTCAAAAAAAAAAAAAAAAAAAAGATTTGTCAATTTAATTTAGCTTTCCAAGAAACCAACTGTTAACGATGTTTATCTTTTCTGTTGTCTTTCTCGTCTCTATTTCATTTATTTTTGCCCTAACTTTCATTATTTTCTTCCTTTTGTTAACTTTGAGCTTAGTTTGCTATTTTTTAGTTCCTTGAGATATAACATTACATTATTTGAGATCTTTTTTCTGCAGGTAGGCATTTATTACTGTAAATGTTTCTCTGAGAACTGCTTTTTCTGCATGCCTTAAGTCTTGATAGGTTTTGTTTTCATTTTCATTTATCTCAAGGTATATTATGAATTTCCTTCTTTGACCCATTAGTTGTTCAAGAGAGTGTTGTTTAATTTCCACATATTTGTGAAATTTTCAGTTTTCCTCGTTACTGATGTCTGGTTTCATACCATTGTGGTCAGAAAAAATAGTTGAGATTTCATTCTTCTTAAATTTGTTAAGATTTGTTTTGTGGGCCAGGTGCGGTGGCTCACACCTGTAATCTCAGCACTTTGGGAGGCCAAGGCGGGCAGATCACGAGGTCATGAGATCACGACCATCCTGGCTAACACGGTGAAATCCCGTCTCTACTAAAAATACAGAAAAATTAGCGGAGTGTGGTGGTGGGCACCTGTAGTCCCAGCTACTCAGGGGGCTGAGGCAGGAGATGGCATGAACCCGGGAGGCAGAGCTTGCAGTGAGCCGAGATCTTGCCACTGCACTCCAGCCTGGGCGACAGAGCGAGACTCCATCTCAAAAAAAAAAAAAAAAAGACTTGTTTTGTGGCCTAATAAATGCTGTATTGCTGTATCCCGGAAAATGTTGCATGTGTGCTTGAGAGGAATGTGTACTCTGTTGCTCTGTATATGTCTGTTAGATCCACTTGGTTTACACTGTTACTCAAGTCTGCTATTTCATTATTGATTTTCTGTTTGGATGATCTCTTAGCTTTTCAAAGTGAAGTATTGAAGTTCCCTACTGTTATTGTATTGTACTATATCTCTTCCTGTAGAACTATTAATATTTGCTTTATATATTTAGATGCTCTAATTTTGGGTGCAAATATATTTACAACTGTTATATACTTGGATGAATTCACTCTTTATCATTACAGAGAGTCCATATTTGTCTTGTGACAGATTTTGAATATCTATTTTGTCTAATTTAAGTATTGCCACTCCTACTCTCTTTTGGTTATATTTGAATGGAATATCGTTTCTTTTTTTTTTTTTTGAGACATAGTCTTGCTCTCTCACCCAAGCTGGAGTGCAGTGGCACAATCTCGACTCACTGCAACCTCCGCCTCCCGGGTTCCAGCAATTATCCTGCCTCAGCCTCCCGAGTTGCTGGGACTACAGGCATGGGCCACCATGCCTGGCTAATTTTTTGTATTTTTAGTGAGAGATGGGGTTTCACCATGTTAGCCAGGATGGTCTCCATCTCCTGACCTCGTCATCTGCCCGCCTTGGCCTCCCAAAGTGCTGGGATTACAGGCATGAGCTACCACGCCCAGCTGGAATATCTTTTTTCATCACTTCACTTTTGAAGCTAAGGTGAGTCTCTTATAGGCAGCATATTGATGGATCTTGCATTTTTATGCATTCAGTTACTCTGTCTTTAGAATGGAGAATTTGGTCCAATTCCACATGAAGTAATTGATAGGTAAGAAGTTACTTTTGCCATTTTGTTCACTGTTCTATGATTTTTTTGGTAGTTTTATGATTTTTTGGTAGTTTGGTAGTTTTGTCTTGTTTTTTCCTTCCTCTCTTGCTTGTCTTTCTTTGGAATTTGTTTAATTTTTATACTGGTATACTTTCATTTTCATTTTTTGTCTTCACCTTCTGTGTAACTACTGGGGGTTTTTCTCTGTGCCTACTATGAGGTTACATAAAACATTTTATAATTTTTTGTTATGACAATTTAAGTTGATACAATAGCAATTGTGTGTGAAAACTCTACACTTTTAGTTACCCCACCCAGTTTATATTTTTATGTCACTGTTTACATATTTACATGTTGTAACCATTAACAAATTATTGTAGCAATAACTATTCTTAATATTTTTGTCTCTTAAACTATATATTAGTGATATAAGTGATTTATATCATCACAGTATTCTGATTTTGACTGTATACTTACCTTTACCAGTGAGTTTATACTTTCTTTCTTTTTTCTTTTTAGACATAGTCTTACCCTGTCACCCAGGCTGGAGCACAGTGGTACAATCGTGGCTCACTGAAGCCTTGACCTCCTGGGTTCAAGTGATCCACCCATCTCAGCCTACTGAATAACTGGGACTACAGGCACATACCACCACACCCAACTAATTGTTGTATTTTTTGTAGAGACTGGGTCATATACCATGTTGCCCAGACTGATCTCAAACTCCTGGGCTCAAGTGATCTGCCTGCCTCAGCCTCCCAAAGTGCTAGGATTACAGGCATAAGCCACCGTGCCCAGCTGAGTTACATACTCTCACATACTTTCATGTTACTAATTAGTGTTCTTGTATTTCAGCTTGAAGAACTCCCTTTAGTATTTCTGAAAAGGCAGGTCTAGTGTTGATGAGCCTCCTCAGCTTTTGTTCATCAAGATTATCTTTATATTTTCTTACTTTCTGAAGTGCAGCTTTGCTGGGAAAAGTATTCTTGGGATTTTTTTTAAGCACTGAATATATCATACCACTTTCTTGTTTGCAAGGTTTCTGCTGAGAAATCTTCTGATATTCTAATAGAGATTCCCTTGTATGGGACAAGTTGCTTATATCTTACTGCTTTCAAAATTATCTTTGTCTTTTACTCTTGACACTTTGACAAGATCATATTCTTTGGGTTGATCTTGCTTGTGATCCTTTGAGCTTCATGAATCTGGATGTCCTTATCTCTCCTATGATTTAGAACATTTTCAGCCAATATTTCTTTAAATTTTTCCCCCTTTTCTTTCCTCCTTCTGGGACAAATATAATGCTTATATTTGTTATCTTCATAGTGCCCCGTAAGTCTCATATGCTTTATTCACTCTTTTCTCTTTTTGTGTCTCTAACTGGCTAATTTCAAATGACCTGTCTTTGAGTTCACTAATTCTTTATTCTGCATGATTGAGTCTGCTGTCGAAGCTTTCTGTTGAATTTTTCAATTCTATCATTGTATTTGTCAGTTCCAGTATATCTTTTTAGTTCCTTTGATGGTTTCTATTTCATTGTTAAACTTCTTGGCTGGGCATGGTGGCTCACCCCTGTAATCCCAGCACTTTGGGAGGCTGAGGTTAGGCGGATCACATGAGGTCAGGAGTTCAAGACCATCCTGGCCAACATGGCAAAACTCTGTCTCTACTAAAAAAAAATTTAAAAAATACAAAAATTAGCCAGGTGTGGTGGTTTGTGCCTATAATCCCAGCTACTTGGCAGGCTGAGGCATGAGAATCACTTGAACGCAGGAGGCGAAGGTTGCAGTGAGCTGAGATCATGCCACTCACATCCAGCCTGGGCCACAGAGCAAGACTCTTGTCTCAAAAATAAATAAATAAATAAATAAATAAATAACTTCTCATTTTGTTCATGCATTATTTCCTGATTTCTTTTAGTTATCTATCTGTTCTCTTGCATCTCATTAAGCTTCTTTAAGATGATTATTTTGAACTCTTCATTAAGAAATTCATAGATCTCCACTTCTTTAGGGTCATTTATTGGAGCTTCATCGGTTGCTTTTGGTGGTGTCATGTTTGCATGATTCTTCATGATCCAGGTCGCTTTGTGTTAATGTCAGTGCCTGTGAAAAAGCAAGACTGGTTTTGGCAGGTAAGGAGTTTCTCTTATGTCCCCAGACTAATGGGAATACTTCTCATATCACATTTGGGCAAGGTTGAAATCAGGTCATATGACTTCTGTTGGTTTCACAATGGAGTCTGAAGTTGGTGGGCCTCTTTCCAGGAGTTCAGGTGAGTGTGGATCCTGTCAGGTCCCTGAGTAGCCTGGACTGCCTTCAGGACCTTGGTCAATAGAGCTGAGGCAAGGTGCCCCAGTTGGTTGCTCAAGTGGCAGGCCAGTTACAGATGTACAGACTGTTGTGGCTCCCACTGATTCCCTGAGAATGCTCCTGCCAGGTCACTGGGTGGGTTCCTGGGCAGGCAGGACTAGCCCCAGACCTCAGCTGAGTCATGCTTGAAATGAGACACAGGGCTGCTTCAGGGACCAAGGTCTTCAGGCTTGCCTCCAGTGGCACAGATAGGTGTTTCTCCCTTGGGTCCCTGGGTGGGCGGGACTGCTCCTAGACCATGGCTGAGAGGGGCTAGAGGCAGGTTATCAGGCCACTTTAAGATCCAAAGTCAGACTAAGTTTAGTGGTCCTGCCTCTAGACAGGTGTGTCTCTCTTGAGTTACTGGGAATGCAAGACCACTCAGACTGTGGCTAGGAGGGACTGGATCTGGGTTACAGGGCCATTTCAAGATCCACAGTCAGACAAAGGTCTGCAGGTCTGCCTCCAGAGACACAGATGGTCATGTTTCTCAGTGGATCCTGAGTGGGCAGAACTATGCCTGGACTGTGGCTGGGAAAAGCTGGAGCCAGGTTACAAGGCCCCTTTAAAATCTTCAGTCAGACTGAGGTCTGCAGGTCTGCCTCCAGAGGTATAGACAGATGTATCTCCCAGCAGGTCCCTGGATGGGTAGGACTTCTCCTGCACTGCAGTTGGGAGGGGCTAGAATTGGATTTGCAGGCTACTTTAAGATTTGCAGTGAGATCAAGATCTATAGGTATGCTTCCAGGGGTATAGATGGGAGTGGGGGCCATCCTCCTTTTGGTACAGAGAAAAGAAGGTTCTGGTCTTTGTATATAATAACTTTAAATGAAAGTACTGCTTCCTACTTATAAGTCAGGTAAGGAAGTGCTCAAATTTCTCTCTCCTTGTCTAGACCTTCCCATTTTCCATGGATCTTCATCTATCCAGGACCATTATCTGCCATGTCCATTATCAAACAGTGTTCAGACATGCATTGTTTGAACATGTGCAACAAATGTCTGCTAAGTCATACGAGGAAGACTCAAATAAGTCTGTGACCATAGAACTGCTCTATTTTGACTTTCAGTTGCCACTATCTGTAGCCTCAGTACACAATTGGATTTGTTTGTATATTATTTCTGCTGCAAAACATAATTCATTAAATAATGAGCCAGAGTGAAGAAAGTGAGTTCAGGGTGACTCTTGTTTATGCAGGAGTGAGAAATTAACAACAGGAGTCTTTAACACAGATTCCAGTGTTGGTACCTTAGGTCCCAAGTATTTTCTGCCGTAGGATTGGAAAACAAATCTGTATTCTCTTCCTTTCTTTTTTTCTTCTGCTCCTCCTCCAAAAAGAATGGCATGAAAGAATGGTTGCTGGCCAGGCGTGGTGGCTCACGCCTGTAATCCTAGCACTTTGGGAGGCCGAAGGCAGGCAGACCACGAGGTCAGGAGATCAAGACTGTTCTGGCTAACATGGTGAAACCCCGTCTCTACTAAAAAATAAAAAAAAAAAAAAAATTAGCCAAGCGTGGTGGCGGGTGCCTGTAGTCCCAGCTACTGGGGAGGCTGAGGCAGGAGAATGGCATGAACTCAGGAGGCGGAGCTTGCAGTGAGCTGAGATCGCTCCACTGCACTCCAGCCTGGGCAACAGAGCGAGACTCCGTCTCAAAAAAAAAAAGTGGTTGCTGAAAGAGTAGGCAAACATAGAGTCTTAATAAGGTCTGCTACCTTCAACTTTGTTACCTTTTGTTAAGTCAGCTTTGTTAGCTGACTTAATAAGGCAATCTAAGACAGAAAAAGAGAACCCCTATGAACTAGTGAATCAAATAAGAAAGAGATGAAAAAAATAAATTATACAACTGGTGGTTCGGAAAATGAGGTGTACTCAAATAATGGGCATGCTGCATGCCATCTAAAATGGTTTGTCTTTTTTTCCTAGTGATTCTTGGTCATTGGTAAGTTCCACTTTTACATTTAAACTACAAATCCTACCTAATTCCATCAATAATATCTTAATTACTACCTGTTTTAATAATAATGCCAGTATACATTTGTTTAGTACTCTGTCTACTTTCAGGGCCCTTCTGGATATATAATCAGTTTGAAACCTCATACTAACCCTTTGTAATCAGTCAGGCTTTATCATTTTACAGAGGAGGATATGGTCACACCCTGGTTAAGCAGGTGACTCAGCAAGTTGATAACATTTCTTGGAAGAGTAAGATAATGCTAGTAATCATAGTTTGATTTCAAAATTAATTTTTTGTTTAATCTGTGATGATTCAAAACAAAGAAACAATAACCAAAAATGCTAGAGATAGATACCATATCACAGGCTCTACAGAACATGTTACTTTTAAAATGTTATTCTTTATGATCAGCATTTAGTTTTTATTGCTGTTGGGCTATCATACTTCTTGTTAACCAATAATATAGGCATAAATTAGATCAAAAATAGCATTAGTATTTCTATTAGTTAAAATTTAGGCGTTCTTTTTGTTTTAAAGGCAAACTATAGGAAAAATTTGGACATTTCTAATCTAAAGGTAACCCCTCATAGAAATAAATGCAGGATGTATAATTATTCCCCACAAAGGTACAGGTAAGAACAAACCATATAGTTCAAAAGCTGCTGTAAAATAGCATTTAAAAATCAGAAGCCAAGAGCAAAGCATAGGAGAAAGCCTATCCATATCAGTTACAACAGTAAACATAAATAGGATGAAAAAATATGTAAGATATAAATTCTTGGCCAGGCGCAGTGGCTCACATCTGTAATCCCAGAACTTTGGGAGGCCGAGACAGGCAGATGATCTGAGGTCAGGAGTTCCAGACCAGCCTGGCCAACATGGTGAAACCCCCTCTCTACTAAAAATACAAAAATTAGTTCAGCATAGTGGCGCATGCCTGTAGTCTCAAATACTCAGGAGGCTGAAGCAAGATAATCACTTGAACCTGGGAGGCAGAGATTGCAGTAGCCGAGATCATGCCACTGCACTCCAACCTGAATGACAGAGAGAGACTCCATCTCAAAAAAACAAAAAACAAACAAAAAAAAACTCAAAATAGTAAAAAAAAAAAAAGTCTCAAAATAGTCAACAAACAAAATCCATCTATATGATATTAATAAGAGATTCACAAAGACTAAAAGTAAACAGGCTAAGTATAATCAAATACAAACAATGAAAACAAATGTCACAATATTAATGATAAAAATAAAGTATAAGGTGAAAGATATGAAATGGGTGTGTCATGTCAGGAGTATCAGGGTTTGATGGAAAGAGAACATACACCTATTGTAAGGTTAAATTCAGTTTCTTATTTTATCATCCAAGAACACATGATCTCATGGCAAGCAAAGTGGCCTTTCAGGGTTGGCACAAACATGGCATGTGACATCACCACTCCTTCAGCCTCAGAATCCCTAACAGGACCAGCCCCTGATTTCCTGATCTCTGCAAAGTAGAGGGTTGCTCTTTGCTACCCCATTAAATTCAGCGTTCACACCCCCATTCTGGAGGAATGCTGTTCATGCACTTCTGTTTAAAGGAACGCTGACCAAATTCAGCTTTAACATACCCACCTTCTTAGCTGGGAAGAGAAAGCAGAGCCAGAGCTGGGGGACCTTGGAAGAGTCTCTGCCTCCAGCTCTTTACTGTTCCAGAAAGCCCATTTTTTTTCTTCACAGGGATAGAAGAGTCATTTCTTGCCAGTCCATGGTGGAATTTATAGTGAAGATCTAATTGTCATGACCTTAACGTATGTGATAATGTTGACTCAAAGTTATAGTCAACTTACTAGAAATAAAAAGCAAAGACAAAAGTATAGTAAAAAGATATTTTCACTTGCTTCTTGACAGATATGAACACAGAAATAAGTACAGAGAGAATTTGGATAAAGTTGATGTAACAGATAATAAAGGACTCATTGAGCACTCACCATGGGCTGTTATTTTCTCTCTTTTACAGATGAGGAAACAAGGCACAGAGTGGGGAGGAACGTGCCTAAGCAGCCTGGTTAATAGACCATGCTTTTAACCACTTGCTCTCTTGCCTTTAAATAGGATGAGCATAACCAGAACGCTGTGATAGTCAAAGAGAGTAGTATTGATGTCAGGACAACAGGTGTAGAGTATTCCATCTCACCAGGCCATATTGTCCTCCCAGCTGTAAACACATTTTTTTGTCCAACAAACAGAACACATCTTTTCCATTGCTTGTGAAACATTTACAAAAATTGTTCATAGGAAAAACTTCTATAATTTTCATAAGGCAGAAATTGCATAGCCCTTACTCTCTGATCCCAGTGCAGTTATTATACAATGCATCATACCAGTCATCCAAAGGTGGAATACCATAGTCATCCTAATATCAAAAAAGTATTTGACAAAGGTCAACCTTCATTCTCAATTATTTAACAATTTCAAGTTAGTAAACTAAGAATGTTATTCATTGCCATTTGCCCTCATTCTCAATTATTTAACAATTTCGAGTAAACTAAGAATGTTATTCATTGCCATTAGGAGGCCTAATGGATATCATAGATCTCCCTAGCTGAGATCAAAACAAATAAAAATGTAGATGTAAAGCAGGTATAGATAAAAATAGACATACAATGTAGAATAGCATAAATATAAATATCTAATGTGCGTATACATGTAAGTAGTGTGGATAAAAGTGCCACCTTTGCCTGTAATACCAGCACTTTGGGAAGCCAAGGGGGCAGGAGGATTACTTGAGTCCAGGAATTCAGGACCAGCCTGGGCAACATAGTGAGGATCCCCATCTCTACAAAAAATAAAAAATTAGCCGGGCTTGGTGGTGCATGCCTGTAGTCCTAGCTCTTTTGGAGGCTGAGGTCAGATGATTGCTTGAGCCTGGAAGTTCAAGGCTGCAGTGAGCCATGATTATGGCACTGCACTCAGCTTGGGCAACAGAACGAGACCTTGTCTCAAAAAAAACAAGGGCCGGCGGACGCGGTGTCTCATGCCTGTAATCCCAGCACTTTGGGAGGCCGAGGTGGGTGGATCATTTGAGGTCAGGAGTTCAAGACCAGCCTGGCCAACATGGCAAAACCCCATCTCTACCAAAAATACAAACATTAGCCAGGCGTGGTGGCCGGCACCTGTTATCCCAGCTACTCACAAGGCTGAGGCAGGAGAATCGCTTGAACTCAGGAAGCAGAGGTTGCAGTGAGCCGAGATCACGCCACTGTGCTCCAGCCTGGGTGACAGCTCGAGACCCTGTCTCAAAAAAAAAAAAAAAAAAACACACACACACACACAAGTGCCACCTTTTTAGCAACCAAACTTGAATTTGAGATCATGGTTTAGATTTATGAGCCATGTGGACTTGTGTGTTAGTTTTCTGTGGCTTCTGTAGCATATCACAAATTTGGTGGCTTAAAACAACAGAAATTCATTCTCACAGTTTTGGAAGCCAGAAGTCTGAAATCAAGATGTCAGCACAACTGCACTCGCTCTGGAGGTTGTAGGGAAGAATGTATTGTTTGCCTCTTCCAACTTCTGGCTGCCAACATGCCTGGATGGGACCACATCACTCCTGTCTGCTTCTTTTTCACGTTATTGTCTTCTCTTCTGTTTGTCTTAAATCTCCCTCTGCCTTTGTCCTATAAGGATATTTGTCATTGGATTTAGGGCCCACCCAGATAATCCAGGATAATCTCCTTATCTCAAAATCCTTAATTTAATTACATCTGCAAAGACCCTTTTTCCAAATAAGGTAACATTCACAGGTTCTGGGGATTAAAATAAGGACATATCTTTGTGGGGGCTACCATTCAACCCATTACAACTTGTGATTAACATGAACCCTTAATTAGAAAGACCTTTAAAATCAGTGTCAATGTGGAGCCTTGTGGTGGAGAGATTGTGTGCTCTCTGCAAGGAGGTTAGTCCAAAGGAGGGAAGAGGCAGAACTGAGATGTTCATGCATAGGTCGTTCTAGATGCACTGACCAGAGAAGTTACTACTTCTCCCAGTAAGGTGAGTGAATGGACAGAAAGGCCCTCAGTGTTACAGAAACCTGGAAGGAGGAGAAAAAATAAATGTTTCTGCTAAATTGCTATAATTACATGTATATACACGTACAGGCTATTTGTCTTTATTTTAATTGACTATTAAAGTAAACATGTACAAGTTGTAAAAGAAGAAATAGCTTTAATTTTTTTTAAATTATACTTTAAGTTCTAGGGTACATGGGCACAACGTGCAGGTTTGTTACATATGTATACATGTGCCATGTTGGTGTGCTGTACCTGTTAACTCGTCATTTATATTAGGTATATCTCCTAATGCTTTCCCTCCCCCCTCCCCCCACCCCACAACAGGCCCTGGTGTATGATGTTCCCCTTCCTGTGTCCAAGTGTTCTCATTGTTCAATTCCCAGCTATGAGTGAGAACATGCGGTGTTTGGTTTTTTGTTCTTGCGATAGTTTGCTGAGAATGATGGTTTCCAGCTTCATCCATGTCCCTACAAAGGACATGAACTCATCCTTTTTTATGGCTGCATGGTATTCCATGGTGTATATGAGAAATAGTTGAAATTTTTATAAATAAAAAGGTAATTTTTAATGTATTTCCTTTTAACTGCTGTAAGGACCTTATTCAGAAAGGCATAATAGCCTATTTAATAACATATAAACAGTATATTTATTGTGGATTCAAAACATGAGAAAGTTATGGAGGAAAACAAGTGATAACCACAAAATTCAGGATAGTGATTACCTCTGAGGAGTTCCTGAGAGAGAAGGATGCGGGATTGAAGAGGAACTTCAGAGGTGATAGAATGTTTTTTTTCTAACAGGAGCAGTGAGTACACAGGTGTTCATGATACCAGTATTTTATCAGTAGAGGGCTTGTTAAAACAGTGCTGGATGGCACCCCGTGGGGTGTCTAATGTAGTAGATTGGGATGGGGCCCAACAATTTCCATTTCTAACAAGTTCACTGTTGATGCCAGTTCTGCTGGTGTGAGGACAGGACTTCTTATGCATTTTATAAATTATCTTTTATATCCATTCACTGTTGTTAAAAAAATTTTTTGTAGAAAGAGTATAAAAAGCAAAGTCTGTTTTTTTAACTCCCTGCTCTGGGATAAGGGTGGATTTGCTTTTACTTAGTAGTCACAGAGAGGTAGGTGCCTTCCCAGTAGAGCTAGCATAGTTAAAGGTACAGATTCCAGAGTTAAACTGCCTATGTTTGAATCTTGGCCCCACCATATTATAGGTTGTATGACCTCGGGCAAGGGTTTTAGTCTCTCTATCCCTCAGTTTTCTCATCGTTAACAATATCTATCTTGTTGGGTTGCAGTGAAGATCAAATGAGTCAATATAGGTAAAGCCCTTGGTATGGTACCTGGCCGATTAGGAAGGGCCAGTTGCTGCTATTAGGTTGGTGCAAAAGTAATTGTGGTTTTTGCCATAATACTCTAAGGTATCAGACTTATTCCCTGGGGGTTTCCATCCTGGAGGTGCTATTGAGTGTATTTATTCCTTGCTCTCCAGAGAGGACCTCCTGCCATAATCAGGTTCCCCATAAGAAGCCACTGGTCTTTCTTTGCCTCTAGCTGCTGCTTTTCTTGCTAATAGAGAAATAGGTACTTGGAGGAAGTAGTATTCTTTGAAACCTTCATATTTCACCTTGAAGTTTTTCTTATTGATTATTATAATGTATTAGGCTTTTAAACCAACTGAGAAGTGGAGACTCCTCCAAATGGTGTAATGAGAGGTTTTGATCTTTATTGCCCTGGATGTTAAGCTATAGTGAAGATTGTGATAATGTTTCTCCTGCCAACAGATGCTCTCTAAAATTCTCAAGGAGTTACTTACTTGATTTTTCAGTCAGTTCCAAAAAAGCTTTTATAGACAGAAGCAGAATTGTTTCTCCAGCTCTGTAACTCATGCTTTTAATTTCTGCGGAATTGGTGGTGTACCTTCAGTGAGAACTTGATCAGCAAACAGCCCATTCCTATTTCCTCTCTGAGTACAGTTTTTATACTAATCCTGGCTCACAGACAAATGTATGCATCTGGTTTCCTCATTGACATCTGGCTAACTTAAGTCTGCCAGGTTCATAAGGCATGAACCCTAATTCCCAGACTTTCTCCATCTGCCACTTCCTGTGTGGCCCTTTGTATACTTGAAATAAAATGAATTAAAGTAGTTCATTTCTACCTTTGAGTATTGATTAGACATTGATTAAGCATTGTCCTCTGATATGAAATTAAATACTTGAGGAAATCAAATCTGCTTTGTGAAAGTATAAACATTTTCATTTACTTATTCATGGTTGATTGCATGTGCCTAACATTGTAAAAATTAAGTGTATACTAACCCATTCTTTGGTTTCTGGGTGTATTAAAGTGTGAAGGAATGGTGAGATACCAGTGGCATTTTTACTCATTCTCATCAAGAGTGAGAAGAAGAGCTATCTTGAAATGGTTGGGGGTGGGGGGAAGAGTGAGAGGAAGAGGAATAGTAAGAGGGACTTTGGGCTGTACATCAGGGAGCTGAGACTCAGATCCCTATAGGGTCTAAATGGTATGTATTGTTTTCTCCTCTAGATTTCTAAAATTCCTTTTACCTTTAATATTCTGCAATTAAAGACATCATCCAAACCTTCAAGGAGTTAATGGTCTGATTGGGAAAACCAAACATAAATTAATTATAATACAAGATAAATAAATGATAAAATAGAAGTAAAAATAAAGTTTCACAAGAATTAAACACGAAGGAGCAGTTTATACCAGGCTCCTACTCATTCTTAGAATAGGAGGTTATACATAAGCAAGGGTTATAGATTGGAATGCCTCACACAGCAGTGGGGTAGGGTTGGAGACATTGTATAAACTCATGCCTAGCTTAATATAGGCACATACAGTTACATATTAAAAGATTTTAAATATGTTCACATACATACATTAGTATACATACAAATATTTCCTCACTTTGTCAGCTGAGAGGGCCTACAGGAAGCACTCCAATTGCAATGACCATACCTAGAGCCTAGATCTTGGTTTCTAATATCATTTTCAAACAAACAAAAAAATACAGGCCGGGGTGGTGTCTCATGCCTGTAATTCCAGCACTTTGGGAGGCCAAGGTGGGCAGATTACCTGAGGTCAGGAGTTCGAGAGCAGCCTGGCCAACATGGCAAAACCCCGTCTCCACTAAAAATAACAAAAATTAGCCGGCCAAGGTGGCAGGTGCCTGTAATCCCAGCTACTCAGGAGGCTGAGGCAGGAGAATCGCTTGTACCTGGGAGGCAGAAATTGCAGTGAGCCAAGATCGTGCCATTGCACTCCAGCCTGGGCAACAAGAGCAAAAGTCTGCTTTGAAACAAAAAAAAAAAAAAGAAAGAAAAAAA
Source organism: Homo sapiens (assembly GCF_000001405.40). Taxonomy (NCBI): domain Eukaryota; kingdom Metazoa; phylum Chordata; class Mammalia; order Primates; family Hominidae; genus Homo; species Homo sapiens. The sequence continues at coordinate 51,184,343 of NC_000003.12, forward strand.
ACCAGGGCTCTTTAGATAAATGGCTGAGTCTAGGACTAGAGTAGGTAATATACAAAATGATCCTGAAGCAGAAAGTGCCAGAAAGCAAAGACATGCTCAAAATTTTTTTAAAATTTTAGAAGATCCACAGTGGTGGGAGTATATCAAAGGAACATTGAAGCTAACTGAAAGAACTTCCAATGGCCAAAATTGGAACAATTTTAGCCAAAAAAAAAAAAGTTACTGAATTTTAACCCAAAGTATAAGATAAATATCCGTGAGTTGATACTTGAATAAATATGATGGAATAAATAACTGAGGGAGAAGAAACAAATCTCTTATGTAGAAGAATTTCAAGTAACGTATGCATATAGATACTCAGCCATCAAGGAGGTGGAGCATAATTCCCCACTCCTTAAGTGTGAGATGTGCGTACTGAACTCTTTCTAAAAATAACAATGTGGAAAGGGGGCTGAGGGAAACTACAGTGAAGAAACCTGACAAGCACTACTTCAACCAGATAATCAGGGATAACATCAGCAGGCAAAAGTCATGCTGATAGTATGTACCCTTGATATGATATGATGAGACTGAGACTTCATCTCTGTGATCTTCCTCCTCAAAACACATTACTTCTAATCATGGAAAAAATATGGGAACAATCCCACCTGAAAACTCTACAAAATACCTGATTATTACTTCTCAAAACTGTCAATTTTACCTAAAATGAGAAAAGTTTGAGAAACTGTCACAGTCAAGAGAAACCTAACGAGACATGATACCTCAATGTAATATGGTACCTGGATGAGATCTTGGAGCAGAAAAAAGATACTAGGTTAAAACTAAGAAAATCTGAAAAATTTGAATAAAGTATGGACTTAACTAATAGTAAATTATCAGTATTGGTTCATTAATTATGACAAATGTACAATAAAATAAAGTGTTAATAATAGGAGAAATTGGGTGCAGGATATGTGGGACCTCTCTATAATATCTTTGCAATTTTTCTGTGACTCTAAAATTCTTATAAAGAGTGCAAATAAATAGGAAAAGAATGTCCAACATTCTTTCTGTACTAAGGAGCAGAGGTCCCTTTCTTAAATATAATGGTCAAGTAGGCATTTAATAAGTAGCCTGCAAGCACCAAGTAATGAACTCTGTAAAGATCAAACAAAATGTACGTTCAGAGTTTCCATTGTATATTTTGAGGCTTTGCTTTCTTGTTCTAAGATAGTAAAGCTTCTAAGTGTCAGCTAACTGCATGTTCTCTCTCTCAGGGTAACTGATATGGCTTGGCTCTGTGTCCCCACCCAAATCTCATCTTGTAGCTCCCATAATTCCCATGTGTTGTGGGAGGGACCTGGTGGGAGATAATTGAATCATGGGGGCGGGTCTTTCCCATGCTGTTCTCATGATAGTGAATGGGTCTCATGAGATCTGATGGTTTTAAAAAAAGGGAACTTCTCTGCACAAGCCCTTTTTTTTGCTTGCTGCATACATGCATACATGTAAGATGTGATTTGCTCCTCCTTGCCTTCCACCATGATTGTGAGGCCTCCCCAGCCATGTGTAACTGTGAGTCCAGTTAAACCTCTTTGTTTTGTATATTGCCTAGTTTTGGGTATGTCTTTGTCAGCAGTGTGAAAATGGAGTAATACAATAAATTGGTACCAGTAGAGTCGGGCACTGCTGAAAAGATACCTAAAAATGTGGAAGCAACTTTGAAACTGGGTAACAGGCAGAGGAACAGTTTGGAGGGCTCAGAAGAAGACAGGAAAATGCGGGAAAGTTTGAAACTTCCTGTAGACTTGTTGAATGGCTGTGCTCAAAATGCTGATAGTGATATGGACAATAAGGTCCAGGCTGAGTTGGTATCAGATGGAAATGAGGACCTTGTTGGTAACTGGAGCAAAGATGACTTTTGTTATGTTTTAGCAAAGAGACCAGCAGCCTTTTGCCCCTGTCATAGAGATTTGTGGAACATTGAACTTGAGAGAGATAATTTAGGGTATCTGGTGGAGGAAATTTCTAAGCAGCAAAGCATTCAAGATGTGACTTGGGTGCTGTTAAAGGCATTCAGTTTTATAAGGGAAGCAGAGCACAAAAGCTTGGAAAATTCGCAGCCTAACAATGCAATAGAAAAGAAAATTACATTCTCTGAGGAGAAATTCAAGCTGGCTGCATAAATTTGCATAAGTAATGAGGAGCTGAATGTTAATCCCCAAGACAATGGGGAAAATGTCTCCAGGGCATGTCAGAGATCTTCATGGCAGCCCCTCCCATCACAGGCCTAGAGGCCTAGGAGGAAAAAGTGGTTTCGTGGGCCAGGTCCAGGGTTCCCCACACTGTGTGCAGCCTAGGGCACCTAGCCTTGGTGCCCTGCATCTCAGCTGCTCCAGCTGTGGCTGAAAGGGGCCAATGTAAACCTTGGGCCGTGGCTTCAAAGGATGCAAGCCTCAAGCCTTGGCAGCTTCCACATGGTGTTGAGCCTGCCAGCGCACAGAAGTCAAGAATTGGGGTTTGGGAACCTCCACCTGGATTTCAGAGGATGTATGGAAATGCCTGGATGCCCAGGCAGAAGTTTGCTTCAGGGGCAGGGCTCTCATGGAGAACCTCTGCTAGGGCAGTGCAGAAGGGAAATGTAGGTTCAGAGCCCCCACACAGAGTCCCTACTGAGGCACTGCCTAGTGGAGCTGTGAGAAGAGGGCCACCATCCTCCAGACCCCAGAATGGTAGATCCACAGACAGCTTGCACCCTGCTCCTGGAAAAGCCACAGATGCTCAACACCAGCCTGTGAAAGCAGCCAGGAGAGGGGCTATACCCTGCAAAGCCACAGTGGGTGGAGCTGCCCAAGACTATGGGAACCTACCTCTTGCATCAGCGTGACCTGGATGTGAGACATGAAGTCAAAGGAGATCATTTTGGAGCTGTAAGATTTGACTGCCTCACTGGATTTCAGACTTGCATGGGGCCTGTAGCCCCTTTGTTTTGGCCAAAGTCTACCATTTGGAATGGCTGTATTTACCCAAAGCCTGTACCCCCATTATATCTAGGAAGTGACTAACTTGCTTGTGATTTTACAGACTCATAGGTGGAAGGGACTTGCTTTGGCAGAGATGAGACCTTGGGCTGTGGACTTTTGAGTTAATGCTAAAATGAGTTGAGACTTTGGGGGACTGTTGGGATGGCATGGGTGGTTTTGAAATGTGAAGATATGAGATTTTGGAGGAGCCAAGGGTAGAATGATATGGTTTGGCTCTGTGTCCCCACCCAAATCTCATCTTGTAGCTCTCATAATTCCCACATATTGTGGGAGGGACCCGGTGGGAGATGATTGAATCATGGGGGCAGGTCTTTCTTGTGCTGTTCTCATGAATGGGTCTCTTGAGATCTGATGGTTTTAAAAAACGGGAGTTTCTCTGCACAAGCTTTTTTTTTTTTTTTTTTTGCCTGCTGCCATACTTGTAAGATATGACTTGCTCCTTCTTGCCTTCCACCGTGATTGTGAGGCCTCCCCAGCCACATGAAACTGTGAGTCCAATTAACCTCTTTCTTTTGTAAATTGCCCAGTTTGGGGTATGTCTTTATCAGCAGTGTGAAAACAGACTAATACAGTGACTATGGTACAGAATGATTTCTCAAGATGTGCCTTCATGTAATATGATTGTGGTAGATAACGTGGGCAGAGTGGGCATTAGTGACTTATAAGCTATTAGAGGAAAGAGCTAGACTCAGGATGAACAACGGAGCCTTCCTTTCTTTATCTGTTCCCTAGAGAAATGCTCAACATAGTCTTTTGTGCTCCTTTTTTCTCATTTGTATTTTAAACTATTTTCACTTTTTAAAATTTCTTCATGAGATGCCCTCATATCTTGGAGGCACATTAGTACGAAGTGGAAAGCAGAGAATTAATGTTATTCTAAGAGTAAATGAAGTTTATTAAATATGCTAAACATTGTAAGGCTAAAACAATATTACTTATTTAAGTAGGTTTCACTGAAGACAGCATAGGTTAAACATAGTAATTGTTTTTTAAGATGATGTAGGTTTTATTTTATTTCTACAAATGTATGAGGTACATGAGGGATTTCGTTACATGTATATAATGCATAGTGGTCAAGTCAGGGTATTTAGGGTGTCCACCACGCAAGTACAATACATTTTTGTTAAATATAGTGAATCTACTCAACTCTCAAACATTGAATTTTATCCTCCTTACTGTGTGTTTGTATCCTTTAATCCAGTTGTCTTCATCAGCTTCCTCCCTGCTACTCACTCTTCCCAGCTTCTGTTATTTATCTTTCCATTCACTACATGCATGTGATCAAATGTTTTAGTTCCCACATGTAAGTGAGAATGTCTTTTCATGCCTCATTTCATTTAAAACAATGACCTCTGGTTCCATCCATGTTACTAAAGGTAACATGGTTTTATTCTTTTCAATGGCTGAATAGTATTTTGTGTCGGGGGATGTGGGGGTGTGGGTGTGTGTATCACATTTTCTTTTCTTATCTGTTCATTCATTGAACACTTAGATTGATTCCATATCTTTGCTATTGTGAATAGTGCTGCAATAAACATGTGAGTTCAGATATCCCTTTGACATATTGATTTCTTTTTCTCTGGGTAGACAGTCAGTAGTGGGATTGCTGGATCAAATGGTAATTCTGTTTTTAGTTTTTTGAGAAATCTCCATACTGTTTTCCATAGTGGCTGTACTAGTTTACATTCCCACCAGTAGTGTATAAGAGTTCCCTTTTCTCTGCATCCATGCAAACATCTGTTATTTTTTTCTTTTTCTGACTGGGATAAGATGATAGCTCATTGTGGTTTTGATTTACATTTGCCTGATGATTAGTGATGTTGAACATTTTTGCATTTATCTGTTGACCATTTGTATGTCTTCTTTTGAGAAATTCTGTTCAGATTCTTTGCCCACTATTTTTTTTTTATTTCAATAGCTTTTGGGGTACAGGTGGTTTTGGGTTACATGGATGAATTGTATAGTGGTGAAGTCAGATTTTTGTGCACCCATCACCCGAGTAGTGTACATTGTATCCAATGTGTAGATTTTTTATTCCTCATCTCTCTCCCACCCTCCCCTTTCTGAGTCTCTAAAGTTCATTATATCACTCCTTATGCCTTTGCTTACCAAAGCTTAGGTCCCACTTATAAGTAAGAACATACAGTATTTGGTTTCTCATTCCTGAGTTACTTCACTTACAATAAGGGCTTTAGCTCTATCCAAGTTTCTGCAAAAGACATTATTTCATTTCTTTTTTAGCCAAGTAGTATTCCATGGTGTATATATACTACATTTTCTTTACCCACTCATTGGTTTATGGGCACTTAGGTTGGTTCCATATCTTTGCAGTTGTTAATTGTACTGCAATAAACTTACATATGCAAGTGTCTTTTTGGTATATTGACTTCTTTTCCTCTGGGTAAATACCCAGTTGTGGAATTTTTTGATGAAATGGTAGATCTACTTTTAGTTCTTTAAGAAATCCCCATACTGTTTTCCATAGAAGTTGTACTAATCCCACCAGCAGTGTATAAGCATTCCCTTTTCACCACATTCCAGAAAGGCTTTCAATAGGTCCACTCACACCGAGCTCACATGGGAGAAGCCTCAAATGTGTCTGTAGTGGTGATGAGGGGGAAAAGATATATCCTTCTCAGGACGCTTCACAAGCGCAAAGGCTTTCTGACTGTTGGGGTACAGCCACAGACTTTCCCCACTAAGCCCAGCACTTCAACTATGCCTCTGCTGAAGGAAACTTCCCACCATTGGAAAGATCTGAGACTCAAGGCCTGCCATCTGGATTCTTTTGTCCCACAGGGTATTCCCTTGATGTGATGTACTCCCCCTTTCCATAAGAGTAAGAGTCCCTTAGAGCTAGATTGCTGTGAATGCTACTGCTCTCTGGGTCTAGCTGCCCAGTGGGACTGCCATACTGCAGGCTGGTGCTGGTGAACCTATGCAAGAGATCCAGTGATATGACCTGTCCTCAAGTCTCCCACCAGCAGCTATCAGCACCAGCTCTGATAGGGGTGGCAGAGGAGTGATGTAAACTCTGTGAGATTCCTTGGTTATAAATAGCCTTAGTGTGTTGACTTTCTCAGATGCCAGTTATAGTAGTAATGAACTGGTCACTGGGACAGACTCAGGACCTCCTGGTTAGCCGGGGTGGTGCAGGCAATGGTAATACCTGAGGTAACATACAAGTTTTCTCCTTTCTGGACACAGTGTTATTCTATCTGCAGATTCTGCAATGAACTGTGTCATTTGGCCTCCCAGCTAGGAGATGGCACTAGGAAAAGAGCACCACCTGCTGTAGTAGCAGTGGGATTTGTGCTTGCCTTATGTTACCCAGGAGAGGTATTCTGGTTTCTCAGGTGAGGGGTGAGGCTAGAGAGCTCCCAAAAGTTTCTGTTCTTTGTGTTATGCTACCAGGGTGGGTGGAGGGACAAAGCCAGGTGGGAGCTGGGTCAGGTAGGTCCACACCCTGGCTCTCCACTTGCAGGGCAAGCACTGGCCTCTATGGAGATCACAGAGATCTCTGTGGAGATCACCACCTCTGCAGGTGGTTTACTGGCCACTGAGGTAATGTTCCATGGAGGAAGGTCACTGCCTCTGCTGCACAGAAGAGATTTCGGAAGGAATGGAAAGTAGTAGGTGAGAGTAAGCCCCACCCAGCTCTTACATAGTTGGCAAGGCAGGTCTCATACCTGCAGTGATCCATTAGTAGCAGCTAGCTAAGTTCCAGGCTGTCTACACTCAGAACTCGAAACTGTCCCAGGCTATAAATCTTCCCTGTGGAGACAGCAATCAGGGCTTTCACGCTACACCCCTCCCAGTCCACTCCCACAAAGCTGGGGCACCTGGCTCCTGCACTCCTAGCTACAGCACACTTCCCGCCTGTCCCCTGGTTCTGGGCAAGGGAGTTTATCTCCACTCAAGATTATATCACAAATTTCAGTTGGGAGCTTCTGTTAACCTGAGACTACTGCCTGAGTTAGCTAGCAGACTTCCGTGAGGTCCCCTGTGACGTAGAATGAGGAATGGCTTCCCTTGGTCCAAGCTGAAGACTGGGAATGCTCACAAGGCTCTTTCCCTGCTGCTCCTACTTTTATATTCGTCACCACTCCGTAAATCAGTTCCAGCACTGGGTAGGATTAAGGCCTTCCCCTGTGGGCTGAATTGCCAGGTTCCCAGTGGTGGTGTATATCCTAGAGGCAGTGTCTCCCCTTCTCACACTCTGAGGATTTGGTGTCAATTATACCTGCCTCATGATATAATTTGCAGCTTGCCACTTCTTTTAAAGGGTCTGTGGTTTCTTTAAGCTTTCCTGTTCAGTTCTTGTGTTGCTTCTTGAAAAAAAGTTCAGTGTGAATCTCTATGCACTATTGTCTTTCCAAGTGGAAGAGACGTGCTGACACTACCTCCAATCTGCCATCTTGGGAGGAAAAAACACACAAAAACTCTTTGCCCACTTTTATGGGATTATTAGCTTGTTTTTCCTGCTGAGTTGTTTGAGTTCCTTGTCTACTCTGAATATTAGTCCCTTGTTGTATAAGTAGTTTGGAAATATTAGTCCCTTGTTGTACAAGTAGTTTGGAAATATTTTTCCCATTCAACAGGTTGTCTGTTTACTCAGGTTTGCTTCTGGTTTGCTAGAGTAAACAGACAACCTCTTGAAAGGGAAAAATATTTCCAAACTACTTACACAACATCCCCTTTTGCTGTGCAGAAGCTTTTTAGTTTAATATACTACCAGTTATCTATTTTTGTTTTTGTTGCCTTTTGAGATCTTAAACTTTTTGCCTAGACCAATTTCCAGCAGCATTTTCCCTAGGTTTTCAAACTTCTATTATGTTTATAGTTTCAGGTCTTATGTTTAAGTCTTTAATCCATTATGTGTTGATTTTTTTGGTATATGGTGAGAAATAGGTGTCCTGTTGCATTCTTCTGCTTGTTCCAAAAAAAATTGAAGAGGACGGAACTCTCTCTAATTCATCCTACAAGATCATCACCACCCTGATAGCAATACCAGGCAATAACTCCACAAGAAAAAAAGAAAACTAACAGGTCAATATCCCTGATAAACACAGATGCCAATGCCTCACAATTCAGCCCACAGAGGAAGGCCTTAACCCCACCCAGCACTGGAACTATTTAGGGAGTGGTGAAGAATAAAAAAGTAGGAGCAGCAGAGAAAGAACTTTGTGAGCATTCCCAGTCTTCAGCTTGAATCAAGGGAAACCATTCCTCATTCTACATCACAGGAGACCTCACGGAAGTCTGCTAGCTAACTCAGGCAGCAGTCACAGGTTGAGAGAAGCTCCCATCTGAAATTTGTGATATAATCTTGAGTGGGGATGAATTCTCTTGGCCAGAACCAGGGGCAAATGGGAAGTGTGCAGTAGCTACAAGTGCAGGAGTCAGGTGCCCAGCCTTGTGGTCATTCCCAGTCTCCAGCTTGAACCAAGGGAAGCCATTCCTGATTCTCCATCACAGGGGACTTCACAGAAGTCTACTAGCTAACTCGGGCTAACTCATCCAACTTGGATGCCGGTTAGTTTTTTTCTCTTGCCTGATTTCTCTGGCTAGGACTTTCAGTACAATATTGAATAGGAATGGTGAAGGTGGATAACTTTGTCTTGTTCCAGTTCTTAGAGGATAGGCTTTCAGATATTTCCCTATTCAGTGTGATGGTAGTTATGGGTTTGTTGTATGTGGCCTTTATTATTTTCAGATATGCTCTTTCTATGCCTAGTTTTGTGAGAGTTTTTATCATGAAGGGATGTTGAATTTTATCAAATTTTCTTCTACATTTGTCTAGATAATAATATGATTTTTGTCCTTTATTCTGTTGATTTGATGTATCATGTTTATTGATTTACTTATGTTGAACCATTTTTGAATCCCTGGTATAAATGCAACTTGATCATAATGTATTAACTTTTTGATTGGCTCTTAGATTGTGTTTGCTAGTATTTTGTTTAGGATGTTAGCATCTGTGTTTACCAGGGATATTGACATATAGTTTTCGTTGTTGTTGTTGTGTTCTTGCCTGGTTTTGGTATCAGAGTAGTGATGATCTTGTAGGATGAATTAGAGAGAATTCTGTCCTTTTCAATTTTTGAAGTAGTTTCAAGACAATTGGTATTAGTTCTTTTTACGTTTGGTAGAATTTGGCTGTGTATCCATCTGGTCCTGGGCTTTTCTTTCTCAGGAGGCTTTTTAATTACTGATATAATCTTGCTATGCATTATTGGTCTATTCAGGGTTTTTCTTTCTTTCCAATTCAATCTTGATAGGTTGTATGTTTTTAGGAATTTATTTATTTTCTCTAGGTGTTTCAGTTTGTCAGCATGTAGTTGTTTATAATAGTCTCTAATGATTCTTTGCATTTCTGTAGTATCAGTTGTAATGTCTTCTTTGTTTTTTCTGATTTTATTTGGGGGCTTCTCTCTTTTTTTTTTTTTTTTCTTGGTTAGTCTAGCTAGCAGTTTATCAGTTTTGTTTATCTTTTTGAAGAACCAGCTTTTCTTTTTGTTGATCCTTTGTTTTGTTTTTCTTCAGTCTCTATTTCATTTTGCTCTTTTCTTCTGCTAGTTTTGGGTTTCATTTGTTCTTGCTTTTTTAGTTCCTTGAGATACATTGTTAGATTGTTAATTTGTAATCTTTCAACTATTTTATGTAGGCATTTATTACTATAAAATTCCCTCTTAGCACTGCTTTTACTATGTCCTACAGGTTTGGTATGTTGTGTTCCTGTTTTCGTTTATTTTGAGATTTTTTTTTATTTCCATCTTAATGTCCTTGGTGACCCAATGGTCATTTAGGAGTATGTTGTTTAATTTCTATGTATTTATGTAGTTTCCAAAGTTCCTCTTGGCTTTGATTTCTAGTTTTATTCCATTGTGGTTTGAGAAGATACTTGATATGATTTTGATTTTTTTAAGTGAGTTGAGGCTTGTTTTGTGGCCTAACATTTGGTCTATACTGGAGAATGTTCTTTGTGCTGATGAAAAGAATGTATATTCTGCAGTCGTTGGGTAGAATGTTCTGAAATGTCAGTTAGCTCCATTGGGTCTAAAGTGCAACTTAAAGCCAATGTTTCTTTGTTGATTTTTTTGTCTAGATTATCTGTGTAATGCTGAGAGTGGAATGTTGAAGTCCCCAACTATTATTGTTTTGCAGTTTATCTCTCTCTTTAGCTTTAATGATATTTTCTTTATGAATCCAGGTGTTCCAATGTTGGTTACATATATATTTAGAATTTTTTATCATCTTGCTGGATTGATCCCTTTATCATTATATAATGACCTTCTTTGTTTCTTTTTACTGTTCTTGACTTAAAGTCTGTTTTCTCTAGTATAAGTATAGTTATCCCTACTCGCTTTTGGTTTCTATTTGCAGAGAATATCTTGTTTTCATTTCTTTATTTTCATTTTCAGTCTGTATGTGTCTTTACTGCTAAGGTGAATATCTTTTTTTTTTTTTTTTTTTTTGAGACAGAGTCTCGCTCTGTCACCAGGCTGCAGTGCAGTGATGCGATATCGGTTCACTGCAACCTCTGCCTCCCGAGTTCAAGTGATTCTCTTGCCTCAGCCTCCCAAGTAGCTGGGACTACAGGCATGTGCCACCACACCCAGCTAATTTTTTTGTATTTTTAGTAGAGACGGGGTTTCACCATGTTGGCCAGGATGGTCTCGATCTCTTGACCTCATGATCCGCCCACCTTGAACTCCCAAAATGCTGGGATTACAGGCATGAGCCACTGCGCCTGGCCCGAGTTTTTTGTAAACAGCAAATAGTCGGATTGTGGGTTTTTAAAAATCTATTCAGCCATTCTGTATCTGCAAAGTGGAAAATTTAATCTATTTTTGATCAGTGTCATTATTGATATGTGGTGCTTTGTTTCTGTCATTTATTAATTGTTTTCTGACTTTTTTATATAATTTGGTTCCTTTTTCTTTTACTGGTTGTTGTGGTTTGCTGGACGTCTGCAGTGGTACCATTTGAGTTCTTTCTCTGTGTGATTACTTTGCCAAAGAGATTTATATTTTTGTATGTTTTCTTTTCTTTTTTTGTTTTTTTGAGACAGAGTCTTGCTCTGTCACCCAGGCTGGAGTGCAGTGGTGAGATCTCGGCTCACTGCAGCCTCCACTTCCTGGGTTCAACTGATTCTCCTGCCACAGCCTCCCAAGTAGCTGAGATTACAGATGCGTGCCATCACGCTCAGCTAATTTTTTTTGTATTTTTAATAGAGACGGGATGTCACCATGTTGGCCAGGCTAGTCTCAAACTCCTGACCTCAGGTGATCTGCCCGCCTCGGCCTCCCAAAGTTCTGGGATTACAGGCCTGAGCCACTGCGCCTGGCCATTTTGTGTATTTTCATCTTGGTAAATGTCATCCTTTCACTTCCAGGTTTAGGACTCTCATGAGAATTTTTTTGTAGGGCCAGTCCAGGGGCAATGAATCCCCTTAGTATTTGCTTGTCTGGAAAAGATTTTATTTCTCTTTCACTTATGAAGGATAATTTTGCATGTATAGCATTCTTAGCTGTCAGATTTTTTTTCTTTTATTCTTCCTTTTTTTGTTGTTTTTTGTTTTTTTTGAAACAAGGTCTCACTCTGTCACCCAGGTGGGAGTGCAGTGGTGTAAATACAGCTCACTGCAGCCTCAACTTCCCAGGCTCAAGCAATCTTCCTGCCTCAGCCTCCCATGTTGCTAAGACTTCAGGCACACTTCACCACGCCCAGCTAATTTTTTTTTTTTTTTCAAAGATTGGTTCTTGTCATGCTGCGTAGGCTGTTCTCAAACTCCTGGACTCAAGTAGGCCTCCTGCCTCAGCCTCCCAAAGTGCTGTGATTACAGGCATGAGCCACTGCATTTGGCCAGACTTTTTTCTTTTAGTTATTTAAATATATTATCCCATTCTCTTCTGGCCTGTGAATATGTGAATAGATGATTATCTCTTGCTGTTTTTGGGATTTGCTCTTCATCTTTGATTTTAGGCAGTCTAACTATAATGTGCTGTGGAGACGACCTTTTTGCATTGTATTTTCCCAGGGATTGCTGAGTCTCTTGTATCTGAAATGTCTAAATCTCTTGCTAGACTTGAGGTGTTTTCATTTTTGTTTGGTTAAATACATTTTCCAATCCTGTCTTTGTCTCTTTGAACTTGTGGATATTGATAATTTTAATATTTAATTGTCACAAAGGCTTTGCTCAGTCTTTTTTATTCCTTTTTCTTTATTTTTGTCTGACAGGATTATTTCAAAAGATTTGTATTCATGTTCTGAGATTCTTCTGCCTATTCTAGTCTATTACAGAAGCTTTCAAATGTAATTTGTAGTTCCTATAGTAAATTCTTCAATTGCAGAATTTCTATCTGGTGCTTTAAAAAACTATGTCTTTGGTAAATTTCTCATTCATATCCTGAATTGTTTTTCTGGATTCGCTTGTATCTCACTGAGCTTCTGTAAAATCAAAATTTTGAATTCTTTATCTGGGATTTCAAAAATTTCTTGGATTAAGATCTATTTTTGGATACTTATTATGTTCCTTTGGAAGTGTCATATTTCCTTGCTTTTTCATGTTTCCTGTGTCATTACATTGAAATCTGTGTATCTGGAGTAACAGTCACTTCTTCCTGTTTTTGAATTTACTTTAGTAGGGAAAGACCTTTTCCTAAAGATGTGTCTATGGTGTTGGTTGGGTAGGGTACTTTGGCTTTGACTCTGGTGTGTGCAGTAGTGTCATCTCTGTATGATTTCTTTGGCTGTAAACAGCATTAGTGGCATCTGTGATTTCCTGGATAGGTTACGGTACAGTTGTTAGTTAAGGCTGTGGGGAAGTTGTGCTGGGGACTAGGATGCCAGGTGGGCCAGTGATAGTGTCACTGGGCAGTGTACACTGGCAGCCATGTTGGCAATTATTGGTGGGTCAGTTGGTGGGCCTCCACATGGCTTGCTTAGATGCTGGTAGTGGCAGTGGTGGATTGCACAAGTGGGCAGAGTCTCAGGTTCCTGAGCAGCTACATGGCATGAGTGATAGCAGTAGCGGTAGTGGGACAACTCTCTGGGTCCTGAGTGATGTGCGTTGATGTTGGTGGTGGCTCTGATGGGCTGGGTAGCCCAATCTCCAGGAACTCGGGTGGCACATGCAGGCAGATGCCAGATGAAGTGATAGCAGCCAGGAGTTTAGGAGAAGTACTCAGGTGCCCAAAGTGGTTGTGTTGGGTATTTGCCAGGACCCTGGTCTGTGTTCTCTGTCACAGAGCAGAGAGTGAAGCTGGACTAGGTAGGCTCATGCTCAGACCTTCAAATGGTGAGAACAGCACCAGCCATCATGGACAGGGCACTCCGCAGGCCCCAGGTGGAGTGCTCAGGTGAGGGGTGTTAGCAGCTATGCTAACACCCTGTCACAATAGAGGGTGGGGTCATTCTTGGTGACCAGAGCCTGGGCCAGCGGGTGGGAATGCACATTCCTCACACCTTAGTCCCAATGGGGCTTGCTCCCTGGCCCTGGCAGGGGTAGCCCACCTCAGCTGCAGGAGCCCCACCCAACTGGTGATCAAGTCCCAGTGGCAAATTTTACCCCACTTGCATCCCAGTCTCCATCCTGGTGGCACTCACTTCTCAGCACCAACAGCTTCACCCCATGCCTTACTTGCTTCTTAGCTCTGGCTGTAGGTATGCTTCCAGCATACTCCCCAGTCCCATTAGCGACAGCTCGAGTTTCTGTCATGCCTCAGTCCTGGCACTACTGGGCTGCAGGACAGCAAGCAGTCTGCCAAAGGCTGCGTTTGAAAATGATGCCTTGCTCCTCAGACACTTCAGGGATGAGATGTCAGGGGAAGTTGGAGAAGCAAATAGACCCAGGAAAGTTATCCACCTCTTGGTGAACCTGCTTCTGCACCTTGCACACCTGCAGAACTGCTTAACCACGGGTGCTTTTCACTCTGTTCTCTTTACCTCCTTGTTCTGGGATTCAGGGACAATTCTTTGAACATGGTTTGTGAAGTGACAAAACCCAGCAGGGAAGAGCAGACAGGTCTGGCCTCATTTTCCCGCTTCCAGGATGTCCCAACATCTTCCTAGGGATCTCCCACTAACTTCAAGTCAAAGAGTGACAGAGACTGCAACAGAGCCACTTGGGCCTCTTAGAGCAGAGGATACAGAGCAGTGGGGTTTCTTTTGAATGTGATATTATTATTTATCATTCACTGACAGGTCACCAAAAAAAAAAAAAAAAACAGGGAAAGGGAGGGATGGAGCTAGTGAGACTATGACTAATACAATCTGTGTGCATTTCTGTGGGTTTGAAAACCCGCTTGCTCTTTATACGAATTCAAACTAAGGAATTGTGAGTAAGAATAGCTTTAGAAGGTGCACATCTAGGCTGTGTGTAGTGAGCCACTGCTCATGCCTGTAATCCTAGCACTTTGGGAGGCTGAGTCAGGCGGATCACTTGGGTCAGGGGTTCAAGACCAGCCTGGACAACATGGTGAAAGCCTGTCTGTACTAAAAATACAAAAATTAGCCAAGTGTGGCAGTGGGTGCCTGTAATCCCAGCTACTCAGGAGGCTGAGGCATGAGAATCGCTTGAAACCAGGGAGGTGGAGGTTGCAGTGACCCGAAGACGTGCCATTGCACTCCAGCCTGGGCAACAGAGGGAGACTCCGACTCAATAAAAGAAAAAAAAAGAGGGGAGGAGCCGAGATGGCCGAGTAGGAACACCTCCGGTCTACAGCTCCCAGCGTCAGCGACACAGAAGACGGGTGATTTCTGCATTTCCATCTGAGGTACCGGGTTCATCTCACTAGGGAGTGCCAGACAATGGGCGCAGGTCAGTGGGTGCAGCACACCGTGCGTGAGCCAAAGCAGGGCGAGGCATTGCATTACTCGGGAAGCGCAAGGGGTCAGGGAGTTCCGTTTCCTAGTCAAAGAAAGGGGTGACAGACGGCACCTGGAAAATCGGGTCACTCCCACCCAAATACTGCGCTTTTCCGATGGGCTTAAAAAACGACACATCAGGAGATTATATCCTGCACCTGGCTCGGAGGGTCCTACACCCACGGAGTCTCGCTGATTGCTAGCACAGCAGTCTGAGATCAAACTGCAAGGCGGCAGCGAGGCTGGGGGAGGGGCGCCCGCCATTGCCCAGGCTTGTGTAAGTAAACAAAGCAGCCAGGAAGCTCCAACTGGGTGGAGCCCACCACAGCTCAAGGAGGCCTGCCTGCGTCTGTAGGCTCCACCTCTGGGGGCAGGGCACAGACAAACAAAAAGACAGCAGTAACCTCTGCAGACTTAAATGTCCCTGTCTGACAGCTTTGAAGAGAGCAGTGGTTCTCCCAGCACGCAGCTGGAGATCTGAGAATGGGCAGACTGCCTCCTCAAGTGGGTCCCTGACCCCTGAGCAGCCTAACTGGGAGGCACCCCCCAGTAGGGGCAGACTGACACCTCACACGGCCAGGTACTCCTCTGAGACAAAACTTCCAGAAGAACGATCAGACAGCAGCATTCGCGGTTCACGAAAAACCACTGTTCTGCAGACACCGCTGCTGATACCCAGGCAAACAGGGTCTGGAGTGGACCTCTAGCAAACTCCAACAGACCTGCAGCTGAGGGTCCCGTCTGTTAGAAGGAAAACTAACAAACAGAAAGGACATCCACACCAAAAACCCATCTGTACATCACCATCATCAAAGACCAAAAGTAGATAAAACCACAAAGATGGGGAAAAAACAGAGCAGAAAAACTGGAAACTCTAAAAAAGCAGAGCACCTCTCCTCCTTCAAAGGATCGCAGTTCCTCACCAACAATGGAACAAAGCTGGTTGGAGAATGACTTTGACGAGTTGAGAGAAGAAGGCTTCAGACAATCAAACTACGAGCTACAGGAGGAAATTCAAACCAAAGGCAAAGAAGTTAAAAACTTTGAAAAAAATTTAGACGAATGTATAACTACAATAACCAATACAGAGAAGTGCTTAAGGAGCTGATGGAGCTGAAAGCCAAGGCTCGAGAACAACGTGAAGAATGCAGAAGCCTCAGGAGCCGATGCGATCAACTGGAAGAAAGGGTATCAGTGATGGAAGATGAAATGAAGCGAGAAGGGAAGTTTAGAGAAAAAAGAATAAAAAGAAACAAACAAAGCCTCCAAGAAATATGGGACTATGTGAAAAGACCAAATCTACGTCTGATTGGTGTACCTGAAAGTGACGGGGAGAATGGAACCAAGCGGGAAAACACTCTGCAGAATATTATCCAGGAGAACTTCCCCAATCTAGCAAGGCAGGCCAACATTCAGGTTCAGGAAATAGACAGAGAACGCCACAAAGATTCTCCTCGAGAAGAGCAACTCCAAGACACATAATTGTCAGATTCACCAAAGTTGAAATGAAGGAAAAAATGTTAAGGGCAGCCAGAGAGAAAGGTCGGGTTACCCACAAAGGGAAGCCCATCAGACTAACAGCGGATCTCTTGGCAGAAACTCTACAAGCCAGAAGAGAGTGGGGGCCAATATTCAACATTCTTACCGAAAAGAATTTTCAACCACAAATTTCATATGCAGCCAAACTAAGCTTCATAAGTGAAGGAGAAATAAAATCCTTTACAGACAAGCAAATGCTGAGAGATTTTGTCACCACCAGGCCTGCCCTAAAAGAGCTCCTGAGGGAAGCACTAAACATGGAAAGGAACAACCGGTACCAGCCGCTGCAAAATCATGCCAAAATGTAAAGACCATCGAGACTAGGAAGAAACTGCATCAACTAATGAGCAAAATAACCAGCTAACATCATAATGACAGGATCAAATTCACACATAACAATATTAACTTTAAATGTAAATGGACTAAATGCTCCAATTAAAAGACACAGACTGGCAAATTGGATAAAGAGTCAAGACCCATCAGTGTGCTGTATTCAGGAAACCCATCTCACGTGCAGAGACACACATAGGCTCAAAATAAAAGGATGGAGGAAGATCTACCAAGCAAATGGAAAACAAAAAAAGGAAGGGGTTGCAATCCTAGTCTCTGATAAAACAGACTTTAAACCAACAAAGATCAAAAGAGACAAGGCCATTACAATAATGGTAAAGGGATCAATTCAACAAGAAGAGCTAACTATCCTAAATATATATGCACCCAATACAGGAGCACCCAGACACATAAAGCAAGTCCTGAGTGACCTACAAAGAGACTTAGACTCCCACACATTAATAATGGGAGACTTTAACAGCCCACTGTCAACATTAGACAGATCAACAAGACAGAAAGTCAACAAGGATACCCAGGAATTGAACTCAGCTCCGCACCAAGCAGACCTAATAGACATCTACAGAACTCTCCACCCCAAATCAACAGAATATACATTTTTTTCAGCACCACACCACACCTATTCCAAAATTGACCACATAGTTGGAAGAAAAGCACTCCTCAGCAAATGTAAAAGAACAGAAATTATAACAAACTGTCTCTCAGACCACAGTGCAATCAAACTAGAACTCAGGATTAAGAAACTCACTCAAAACTGCTCAACTACATGGAGACTGAACAACCTGCTCCTGAATGACTACTGGGTACATAAAGAAATGAAGGCAGAAATAAAGATGTTCTTTGAAACCAATGAGAACAAAGACACAACATACCAGAATCTCTGGGACACATTTAAAGCAGTGTGTAGAGGGAAATTTATAGCATTCAATGCCCACAAAAGAAAGCAGGAAAGATCCAAAATTGACACCCTAACATCACAATTAAAAGAACTAGAGAAGCAAGAGCAAACACATTCAAAAGCTAGCAGAAGGCAAGAAATAACTAAGAGCAGAACTGAAGGAAATAGAGACACAAAAAACCCTTCAAAAAATTAATGAATCCAGGAGCTGGTTTTTTGAAAGAATCAACAAAATTGATAGACTGCTAGCAAGACTAATAAAGAAAAAAAGAGAGAAGAATCAAATAGATGCAATAAAAAATGATAAAGGGGATATCACCACCGATCCCACAGAAATACAAACTACCATCAGAGAATACTACAAACACCTCTACGCAAATAAACTAGAAAATCTAGAAGAAATGGATAAATTCCTCAACATATACACCCTCCCAAGACTAAACCAGGAAGAAGTTGAATCTCTGAATAGACCAATAACAGGAGCTGAAATTGTGGCAATAATCAATAGCTTGCCAACCAAAAAGAGTCCAGGACCAGATGGATTCACAGCCGAATTCTACCAGAGGTACAAGGAGGAACTGGTACCATTCCTTCTGAAACTATTCCAAACAATAGAAAAAGAGGGAATCCTCCCTAACTCATTTTATGAGGCCAGCATCATCCGGATACCAAAGCCTGGCAGAGACACAACCAAAAAAGAGAATTTTAGACCAATATCCTTGATGAACATTGATGCAAAAATCCTCAATAAAATACTGGCAAACCGAATCCAGCAGCACATCAAAAAGCTTATCCACCATGATCAAGTGGGCTTCATGCTGGGATGCAAGGCTGGTTCAATATACACAAATCAATAAATGTAATCCAGCATATAAACAGAACCAAAGACAAAAACCACATGATTATCTCAATAGATGCAGAAAAGTCCTTTGACAAAATTCAACAGCCCTTCATGCTAAAGACTCTCAATAAATTAGGTATTGATGGGACCTATCTCAAAATAATAAGAGCTATCTATCACAAACCCACAGCCAATATCATATTGAACGGGCAAAAACTGGAAGCATTCCCTTTGAAAACTGGCACAAGACAGGGATGCCCTCTCTCACCACTCCTATTCAACATAGTGTTGGAAGTTCTGGCCAGGGCAATTAGGCAGGAGAAGGAAATAAAGGGTATTCAATTAGGAAAAGAGGAAGTCAAATTGTCCCTGTTTGCAGATGACATGATTGTATATCTAGAAAACCCCATTGTCTCAGCCCAAAATCTCCTTAAGCTGATAAGCAAATTCAGCAAGGTCTCAGGATACAAAATCAATGTACAGAAATCACAAGCATTCTTATACACCAATAACAGACAGAGAGCCAAATCATGAGTAAACTCCCATTCACAATTGCTTCAAAGAGAATAAAATACCTAGGAATCCACCTTACAAGGGACGTGAAGGACCTCTTCAAGGAGAACTACAAACCACTGCTCAGTGAAATTAAAGAGGATACAAACAAATGGAAGAACATTCCATGCTCATGGATAGGAAGAATCAATACTGTGAAAATGGCCATACTGCCCAAGGTAATTTATAGATTCAATGCCATCCCCATCAAGCTACCAATGACTTTCTTCACAGAATTGGAAAAAACTACTTTAAAGTTCATATAGAACCAAAAAAGAGCCTGCATTGCCAAGTCAATCCTAAGCCAAAAGAACAAAGCTGGAGGCATCACGCTACCTGACTTCAAATTATACTACAAGGCTACAGTAACCAAAACAGCATGGTACTGGTACCAAAACAGAGATATAGATCAATGGAACAGAACAGAGCCCTCAGAAATAACTCCGCGTATCTACAACTATCTGATCTTTGACAAACCTGACAAAAACAAGCAATGGGGAAAGGATTCCCTATTTAATAAATGGTGCTGGGAAAATTGGCTAGCAATATGTAGAAAGCTGAAACTGGATCCCTTCCTTACACCTTATACAAAAATCAATTCAAGATGGATTAAAGACTTAAACGTTAGACCTAAAACCATAAAAACCCTAGAAGAAAACCTAGGCATTACCATTCAGGACATAGGCATGGGCAAGGACTTCATGTCTAAAACACCAAAAGCAATGGCAACAAAAGCCAAAATTGACAAATGGGATCTAATTAAACTAAAGAGCTTCTGCACAGCAAAAGAAACTACCATCAGAGTGAACAGGCAACCCACAAAATGGGAGAAAATTTTCACAACCTACTCATCTGACAAAGGGCTAATATCCAGAATCTACAATGAACTCAAACAAATTTACAAGAAAAAAACAAACAACCCCATCAAAAAGTGGGCGAAGGATATGAACAGACACTTCTCAAAAGAAGACATTTATGCAGCCAAAAAACACATGAAAAAATGCTCACCATCACTGGCCATCAGAGAAATGCAAATCAAAACCACAATGAGATATCATCTCACACCAGTTAGAATGGCAATCATTAAAAAGTCAGGAAACAACAGGTGCTGGAGAGGATGTGGAGAAATAGGAATACTTTTACACTGTTGGTGGGACTGTAAACTAGTTCAACCATTGTGGAAGTCAGTGTGGCGATTCCTCAGGGATCTAGAACTAGAAATACCATTTGACCCAGCCATCCCATTACTGGGTATATACCCAAAGGACTATAAATCATGCTGCTATAAAGACACATGCACATGTATGTTTATTGCGGCACTATTCACAATAGCAAAGACTTGGAACCAACCCAAATGTACAACAATGATAGACTGGATTAAGAAAATGTGGCACATATACACCATGGAATACTATGCAGCCATAAAAAAGGATGAGTTCATGTCCTTTGTAGGGACATGGATGAAATTGGAAATCATCATTCTCAGTAAACTATCGCAAGAACAAAAAACCAAACACCGCATGTTCTCACTCATAGGTGGGAATTGAACAATGGGAACACATGGACACAGGACGGGGAACATCACACTCTGGGGACTGTTGTGGGGTGGGGGTAGGGGGGAGGGATAGCATTGGGAGATATACCTAATGCTGGATGACGAGTTAGTGGGTGCAGCGCACCAGCATGTCACATGTATACATATGTAACTTACCTGCACATTGTGCACATGTACGCTAAAACTTAAAGTATAATAATAAAAATAAATAAATAAATAAATACAGTGAAAAAAAAAGAAAAAGAAGGTCCACATCTATCACCACAGTATGAGGTTTAAGGATTTAGAAAGCACTTTTACCTAAATATGCCTTTAATAACTACATCAGGTATAACACGAGGATGCTGCTAAAAGAATGGAAGAGTAAGATAGAGAGGCATGAAATGATGAAGACTTTGATGGGGTTAGGACTAAAGAGAATAATTTTAAAAACTGAACAATTGGCCCAGGTGTGGTGGCTCATGACTGTGATCTTAGCACTTTGAGGGCTAAGGCGGGAGGATCGCTTGAGTTCAGGAGTTCGAGACCAGCCTGGGCAACATGGTGAAACCTTATCTCTACAAAAAAAAAAAAAAGACAAAAATTAGCTCGGCATGGTGGTGTGTGCCTGTGGTCCCAGGTGCTCTGGAGACTGAGGTAGGGGGATCACCTGAGCCTGGGGAGGTGAAGGCTGCAGTGACCAGTGATTGTACCGCTACACTCCAGCCTGGGCGACAGTGAGACCCTGTATAGATCAGTTAATAGATAGATAGAAAGAAAGAATTCATTGTTAACAGCATATAGTATTTGAAAGCAAGTGCTGTATTAAGAGAATAAAAGGAAGCATTGGTAATTGAAGGTAAATTGATGCCTTTGTAACAATAACTTGGCAGTTCTGCAAAGCTAAATGTTTTTTATAGCCAGTCATGAGTAGACTGCAAAATTTCGAGAGTTCAGTCTTGGCAATCTGCAAATGAATCTGCATGACATTTGATTTCAAACAATCTTTCCTTTGAAGCTACCAGGAGTTTCTTTCAAGCATACTTCCAGCCATTGGTGCTCCCATCCTCCTTGACTCAAATAGGCACAAATATGACCATTCATTTTTCCTTTACTTTCCCCAGAAATGTGATTGTTTTCACTGCTCTTTTACTGTTTTCCTCTTAAGATAAATCTAGTAATGATTTCATAAGATGACCATAATGCAGAATGTTTTCCTCAATATCTGCCTTAGTGTAATGTAATTCTGATGCAGAATGATGGCAAAGTTTTAATTAGCAACATTTAAGCTATAAGAAATAACCAATTGACCTTGGCAATTATTCCATTTATTTGTTCAACAAATATTATATTAAGCACTTATTATGTGCTACAAGTTTTGCTACATGGTGGAGATGATTAGCAAGACACAGTCCTTATCATCTAAGGACTTGCAGTCGAGTGAAGTGACAAATAGGTGCCCTAAAATATAATAGGTATTCTTCTAGAAATCAGAATTCAGTGAAGACCCAAAAGAAGTAGTGGTCAGGTCTAAGGTAGGGATGTTGAGAATGGAGAATAATAGAGCAAGCTGGAAAGGATTCATAGAAAAGGCAATATTGAACTGAATCCTTTAAAAAAAAAAGAGAGAGACGGGGAAAGAAAGGCAAGAAATACCATTAATAAAGTAGAGTCTTTGTAGGCTTTTTCAATGTAAAAGAGATCTGAAGAGGTCAGAGAGGACCCTGATGAGACTGCCTTAAATGACTTGCTGAAAAGTTCGACCTCTAACCTGTGATGGGCATTAAGAAGGGTGGCCATATGACCAAATTGACATTCTGGAAAGCAAGATGTGTAAAAGGCCCATTAGAAGATTATTATACCGGTCCAGAAGAGAGATGATAATGACCAAACCAAGACAATGAAGAGGAGAAGTCAAATGTGAGATTTTATGATTGCAAAATCTGTAGGATATGGTGAATGCTGGAAGGGTATAGTGAACTACTGAGTTCCTCTCAGTGAGAGGGCATCTCTGGGTACAGCCAGGTTGGGGAGAAATGAATTTTCTTGGCCTTGTAGATCAGGAGCTTAGGATGAGTCTGGGCTAGAGACAATGCTTTGGAGCTTGGCAGCCTCTGGTAGTGGTTGAAGCTATGGGAATGGGTGAGATTGCCCAGGAAGGCTTGTAGGGTAAGAAGGAAATGGGCTGAAGGCAGAGCTGTGAAGGTCACAAATACGTAAGGGGTATGCAAGGGGAGAGGAATGGCAGGAACAGGCTGTCAGTTGTCTAGCAAATGAATTGTATGTGTTGGGTGGAGGGGTAGATGTGAGTGAAATAATGCAGATTGCCACTGTTGATAGGACTAACAAAGCTCCAGTTCCACCATACCACCAAGGTACCAGTGAGTATTTTATGGGAGAAAAACTGAAATTACCCCATTCAGTAGGGGAGGTAATTTTCAAGGCTTTTAATTTCCTGCTAAGTTGCTAAATCACAAGAGATTGTTTTAAAGGATACTCTTCCCTCTTTCCTTATTTGGAAGAAATTCTGTAGGCAGAAAGTTATTCTCAGAGCCCTGGGCTGTGAGAACCTCCTTTAACCATTCATCACAACAGCTCTGAGTAAATGAGATATATTTTTATGGCCAAGGAGTCCAAAGAGCCACTGACTGGGTAACAATTAATTAAGCTAGTAACTGACCTCCTTTATCTCTGAGTGGCCTCTATTCCAACCCTTTTTATTTAGAGACCTGAAATGCTTCATACTATTGGATGGCACATTCTATAACTCTTACTGGGGTCTCCTCCTGGAAGTGGCCATGCTGAACTGGACACATCTGAGTAATCCATGGAAAGTTCCATGGGTTCTCCTTTTTGCATGGGTCCTATTTTCTGGGATAGGTATATCCATACCTTCCTAACCAACAGGGGACGGGGTAGAACCAGGGCTGTGGGAACTCCCTAAGTGTCAAATGGAATTTTCAAGAGATGACCCTAATCTTTTTCCAATTGTTTTATCAAGGTGTCTGTACTAGGATAAGGAATTCCTAGTCTCTGTTCCTAAACTTTGTTCCAAATGGTTACGTGGTTGCAGTTCTCCGGGAATTGACCTTTAGAAGGAAGACACTAAAACATCAGAATGTGAGAGAAATGCACTGTTACTCCTCCATTATTTTGTCTCAATCCCATAGTTCCAAGGAAGGAGCTTTATTCCTAGGAAGAAACTTTATTCTTACACATTTAGGCATCCAGCTTTGTCTGCTAAGTCCTCCTTCCCCCTGACCACAGAAGACTTCATGGTAAATCAAGCCCACTGCTCTCACAAGCTTTTCTTAACTTGGTCTGGTTAAAACATAGCTTCATGCAAATAGTATCAACATTGCTTTTAGCTTAGCAGGGCTTTCCATTGGGGCCAGTCATAATGACAGTTGTATGACAGTAAAAAACCAATGCCATAGCAGTTTCTAAACAGTAGTACTTGTTGAGAGGAGATGTTTTTCCTCTATCAAGAACTTTCCTCTGGGGCCTGTTTATATGTCTGTGCACATGCATGCAACGGGTGATAGAAAAGAAACAACTTTTCATGTGGGATAGTGTTACTTCTGAGAGGAGGAATTTTGCCAATTAAATGTTTGTAGGGATTCATTTTAGAGTTTCTATCCTTTGCCCAAGTATGTGTTTTCTGCTTAATAGGAAATGAGCCTTGTTTAATTTAGTAAAACAGAACATCATTTCTTTAGGAAAGTGAGGGATCCTTTTCCCTTTGAACTTAAGTGTTACACATTGGAACATCAGACCAGTTGTTTAAAATACTTGAGTACCATAACACCTGTCCTTCTGTTACAGGTGCAACAACGAGAGTGAGTGGTCCCAGATCCACGAGAACATCATCCGAAAGTCCAGTGCCAAGTACTCTGCCCCCAGCGCCAGCCATGGTGAGATACTTCTCTGACTAGAACATTTTGTGTTACATTTGTAGTTGCTACTCATACAGCACTTAGATTGGTTGGTGCAGATTGGCTGCTGTATTCCCTACAGATATTTATTCTCCTGCCGAGGCATTTCCTACTCATTCTTTTTGTAATAATTTGAGGCCTTCCCTAATATCTGCTGACCAAAATACATTTTGTGTTTTTTCTATGATGAGTTCCATATGTGTTGATAGGTAACTCGAGTTCCAATTCAAATCCAGAGTGAGCAAAAATGTTGCAGGGTTTGTTACATTGTGAAGTCTATGTTTGCCTAAACAAAGATTATACTCAGCCAAATAAATACCTCTATCTCTATATAGCTAGATATCTATATAGATATAGACATCACACACTTCTCTTTCTATTTCTGAAAGACTGACCATAATGAGAATCAGTGATTAGTCTGCCAGTATCGGTCATTCTGAAACTAGAATGGAAAATCTTTATTTCAAAGAAGCTTCATCTTAGCTCAACTTCTCCTTTTCCTTTTCCCTTCCTTTCTGTAAAAACTCTGTTTAAATAATTTCTATATAATCTCAGTGCAGTTCTACATATTATATTGTTTTCTAAGTTCATTAATGCTTGATTAAATTAGAAGCATTATTTAAAAGCCTATATGCCTTTATAGACCCTTGCAGATAGCTATCTAATTTACGCAGAACCAGGTTACTCCTGACAGTTTTTACCTCTAAATCATTTTATAACCTCTTTTACATAATCTTCTTTGTTTTAACTTTCATAGACCTGTTGGAAATTATAAGTTGTCCTTAAATGACAGTGTAAAGTCACTGAGAGGCAAGCAGTTTCTAAAGAGTAGTACATGTTGTAGAAAACTTTGTTTTTTCTCTGTTGGGGTGAGCAGATACTCAACTAGGAGGATCCTTAGAGGAGATTCACACCAGAGGCTGCCAAGATTGAGACCTTCAGTTGTAACAACTTGATTCCTCTAAAACCCTAGTGGGGTTTTGGGGGATATCTCAGAGCCTCTCACTATTTTTAAATGACAGTATTCCCTTATACATGTGCCTGGATGCCAAGTAGCTCCATGCAGTGTGCTAAATCTAGGCTAAAGCAAGAGACAAATAAAATTTTGTTTTAAAAATATAGGAAAGTTACTAGCAATTTGGGAAACTACTATTCACATCAATATTTGTCATGTTCTTTGGTTTATTTACTTATCTGATTTATAAAGAGGTGCCCTTGACTACACGTTCGTGGGACATAATGTGATTAAAACATATAGAGAATATTTTAAAAGAGAGATGATAGTACTAATTCATGAAAGAGCAACTTCTACCATTGCTTCACCAGGTTAAGATGATGAGTTTTGTCTTGCTCCCCAGAGCGAGCAGGGACTGTGCCATATTCTGTGTCTGATTTTTGTCTAGAACTCACAGACACTTGCCATTTAAACAGTGTTAGAAAGATCTCACTGTGGGGCACCACAGACTTCAGAGAGCCTCAGTTAGGATGGCTGTAGTGAGAGGTGGTCTCTGTGTAGTTGTGGAAAAGTCAGTAGGAGGAACAGGCTGCTGCTTTTTGAAGTATGTTAGAAGCTAGTTGAGACCTTGGAAAACCTGTTTCAACCCCCTCGTTAAATAAATGAGGAAACTGAAACTCAGCAAAATGACTTAGTGGCTGAACAAGGATAGAACCCAGGTCTCCAGACTCCAGGCCTTTGGCCTTTCTACTCAGTTGCCAAGCTTCTGAGCATGAGTTTTCTACTGCTGGACTCTGGGGTCTTTGTGTCAGAGAATTTTATAGATTGCTCAAGGAATATTTCAGGTCTTTATTAGTCTGCTTAATTAAAGATACATCTTTATTAAAAATTAGTTTACTTTGCTATAAACTTTTACCCATCTTTGTTAGATATTGTGGACAGTTCATTGCCTTGCAGTTCTGTTTCAGAAGTCATTAGTGCTTTTCCTTCAAGTCACATAATTTAAAAATGCAGAAGCAATTGCTACATTGGGTTTGAGTGCTGAGAGTAAATGTATCATCCAGCAGCAACTCTTCTATGTGAACTTTAATAGATGTGGCTCTTCATTTCCATTGTTGGCCTTGGATATGTAGCTACAAACTGAACTTTTAACAGTTCCAGTAGTAGCATGAAGAGCATTAAGGACAAGTGAAGATAAAGCAGTTGACACACAAGTTTTCTGTTTATTTTAAAATGACTGTTAACTACAATTTATTTCCATATCTTGGGCTGACATTAATTTATATAATTAATCCTCATCCAGCATTTCCACAAGGAGGGGTGGGGGAGGTAGGGCACAAGAACAGAGTCAAGTTGGTACCCTGCAATATTTTACACAGGTGTTGATTTGTCCAGTTACTTTTTTTATGGGTCAGTCTTTAATCCAATAAGAGGTTCAGTAAGAAAATGGTTTTCTTGTGTCAGGTAATCAGTGAGACCAGATTAACAGAGAAATTGTATAGACTTTGTTATTTTCTTTCTTTTTTTTAATTTTTTTTTATTATTATACTTTAAGTTCTAGGGTACATGTGCACAACCTGCAGGTTTGTTACATATGTATACATGTGCCATGTTGGTGTGCTGCACCCATTAACTCATCATTTACATTAGGTATATCTCCTCATGCTATCCCTCCCCCAACCCCACAGCAGGCCCCGGTGTGTGATGTTCCCCTTCCTGTGTCCAAGTATTCTCACTGTTCAATTTCCCACCTATGAGTGAGAACATGCAGTGTTTGGTTTTTTTCCTTGCGATAGTTTGCTGAGAATGATGGTTTCCAGCTTCATCCATGTCCCTACAAAGGACATGAACTCATCCTTTTTTATGGCTGCATAGTATTCCATGGTATATATGTGCCATATTTTCTTAATCCAATCTATCATTGATGGACACTTGGGTTGGTTCCAAGTCTTTGCTATTGTGAATAGTGCCACAATAAACATACGTGTGCATGTGTCTTTATAGAAGCATGATTTATAATCCTTTGGGTATGTACCCAGTAATGGGATGGCTGGGTTGATTTGAGGGCCCCATTGAGATGATAGTCAGGTAGAACATCAAGTGTTGCCAAGGGACTGGGTGTTGCATACTGGGTGAGCGAGTGGGTCACTTTACTGAACTATTCATGAAGGCTCTCTTGTGCTCAGAATCATGCCTTAGCATTATTTGGTATGTGCTTCAGTCACCCAGGGTTTCAGAACTAGGAAGGAAACCCAGAAGTTCCAAGATCTCAACTCTACAAAAGGACATACAGCTTTTATAGCCTCCATTGGTGATTTCTTTCATTCTTTGCATGCCTTTTCATTTGATCTCTTGCATAAACTTGAAGGCTTTCTCTTATTTGTTATGTTTAGAAGTAGAGAGCAGCTCTTCAGGATCCCTTTGGGTAGCTCAAAAGCTAACTGTGACACTATCAGCACCTTTAGTGAACATCTTCATGAGTTTCACTTTGCTTCTGTACACCATTTTGGTTGATCAGAAAATGCAAAGACAAAAGGCAGTCAGTGAGTACTTAAACCCTTGCCAATGCAGAATGGTTAGAGTACACCCACTGTTTTTTTTTTTTTTTTTTGCTTTTGCCTTCCAACCACAACCCCCTCAAATTATGGAGACTTTCATCCCCAGCTATTTGCTTCATGTTGGGCTGTCTCCTAAGTCAGTGGATTTCTGTTTACCCAGAGGATATGATTTGATAGCTACGTAAAGACAACAAAGATGAATAAGTTAGGGTTATGAGGTGAGGGCAGATATATCCCAAGCTGTTCTCTACAGAGATTATTGTGGTTTTGGTTCTGGCTCCCAGGCTTTCAGGTTCATAAACTAATTGCGGTTTAGTCCACCAGTGATTAGGCTTAAGATAATTACTTTAGAGGGGTTGAAATCTTAAACACTGATTATCTAACCAGAATGCCAACTGGAATACTGTATGTTTGCCTTTTCAGGGCACTGTGATCCTGGTGTTAATGACACTTGAGATACCATGTTTGTAATCCCAAAGTTTCTTGGAAAGCATGAGTTTAGCAGAAGCAACGAGATAATTATGAGGTTCTGTCCAGGCTCTAGTAGAACCGTATTTCCTCCCTTGGCCCAGCTCTGAGAGTACAAATTCCTGGCTACTGACATACTTTTCTTGCCAAATAAAATATCTGTAACTCTTCTATCTGACTTCTCTCTTTATCTACTTCTCCATTCCCTCCTCCCTCCCCATTCCTAGACCATTCTTATTTTACAATTCTGCTTGTTACTATCTCCATTCCAGCTACTACTCTTCTAATTGTATTCATTATCATAACACCTTATTCCCTCATTTCTATAATTGTTCAGCTGCATTTAACTCCCAAGCTTATAGACCAGTGAGGACGCCTCCTGTCAACCCATAGATCAACACCTAAATTCTTCATCCTGTTAACAGCTAATCCCATTCACAGTTATAGAGGTAACACTTCCTAATTCCATACAGGCTTGACTGTTACAGCCTTCTAGCCAGTAGCTGCAGCGGGGACCCTCAGGAGGGTGGTGTGGAGGGGGAAATTTCAGGAGATTCTAACTTTGTGCACAACTCCAAGGGTGTAAGTAGTGAGCCAGAAGGCAGCTCACCTGAGGGGATATTACAAATACTCCCAAGTTTTGATTAAAGATCATGTGGAGGATCTGAAATCCTCATGGAGTCAAGGCTTAGTTAGTCCCACAAAAGCGCCCTCTTTTCTTTGCAGAATGTGATGTCTCCTCTGTTGCAAGCCAGTGCAAGATTGAACTAGAAAGTTACTTCCCACACTTTGGCATACTCCTAGCATAAAACACAGCACATCTTAGCTTGCTCATTTCTCATATTTGGGATGGCCTGACTGAAGGTCTTCTTTGGTCATGTTTGTTTCTAGTCTTTAGATTTCTCTAGGTTCCTAAATATACAACTTATGTAGTTGAACCCTCTCATTCAATATTCACAAGGGCCAGCTGGACCCTAGTTGGACGCTGGGGAACAGAGGGAAAGACAACTCAATCTCCCAGACCTCAGTCTATGTTTAATAGACTAATTCTCTGGGTTATTGGGGTCACTTTGACTTAAATTTCTTTAGCTTTCCAAAATGTTTCTTCAAAATAACTTATACTGTCTGCATAAAAGTTTTTCTCAAGAATTTTGCTGAACTTTGCACATTTTCTTCTGGAAAATGTGACTGTGTCTTTTCAAGTACTATATAACAGGGTAGAACTGTGGTTCTAAGAAAATGCTTTTGTTTTTGCAGGTCTTATCATTTCTCTGCAGCTTCTTCGTGGAGACATGGAACAGATTCGGAGAGAAAATCCCATGATATTTAATAGGGGATTGGCAATTACAAGAAAATTGGGATTTCCTGATGTCATTATGCCAGGTATGCAGAACTGCTTGGGGCTGGGAAGGAAGATGGGTTAGGATGGAATCTGGTGCTCCCCTCCTGAGCAGGTGGTGAACTGTGCTATGGAGAAGACCTGCAGCTATTAAAATCTCCCACATCCCAAGTCAGGCTGCTTACTGCAGTCTGCAGTCAATGGCCCTTTGGCTCTTATAGGCATTTGTTCTTTTCCAGAAGCCCCTACATTACATTCACCAGTGCAACATGACAATCCAGCAGATAGGCTTTGTTGTCTTCCATGAAGTAGAAGTGATGGTAGAAGTGAATATGGAACCTTCATGGAGAGTTTTTATACTCTACTATCCTATCACATTTCTTAGAATATAATTGTCTCACAAGAACTTACTGCTTAAGGGGAAGAATATATCAAAATATATGCCTGTAGTATCAGTGAATCCCATATGTGTAGGAATAGCAGATACATTTCCATTTTCATGTATCAGAAAAATAGATCAGGCAAATAGTATAAATTAGACATTGTGAATATACCACTACCTGGCCAGCTTCTCAGGAATTGTATCACCCATTTCATCTAATGCCCCGTGGAGAGCCAGGGCAGAAATTGGGAATGCATTGACCCTCAACTGTGGTCCCAGTAGGTCAGTATCAGGTTCTTGTTTTCTAATTAGGCAGACATGGGTAGGGCTGGAAAAGTGGATCCAAATGGGATATCAGAGCCAAGGGGGCTATCAGGAGTGAAGAAAGGGTAGAGGCATGGTTCAGATGGATGTTAGGTGTCCTGATAAGCAGAGAAGATGCAAATAAGGAAAAGGAGATTAGAATGGGTAAATGTCTGGTTATCTGGATAGATTCTAGGAGGAGTGGACCTACCCTCTCAGTTGAGTTTTTTTGTTGTTTTGAGACAGTCTTACTCTGTTGCCCACGCTGGAGTGCAGTGGTGCCATCTTGGCTCACTGCAAACTCCACCCACTAGGTGCAAGCAATTCTCTTGCCTCAGCCTCCCGAGTAGCTGCGACTACACGTGTACATCACCACACCTGGCTAATTTTTGTAATTTTTGTAGAGACGGTTTCACCATGTTGGCCAGACTGGTCTCGAACTCCTGACCTCAAGTGATCCAGTACTGGCATACTGGTCTTGAACTCCTGACCTCAGCCTCCCAAAGTGCTGGGATTACAGGCTTGAGCCACTGCGCCTGGCCTCAGTTGAGTTTTAATGCTTTGCTAAAAGCTTATTTGCTTTTGTTGTAAAGGGCCAGGCCAGACCAGGCTAGACTGAACTGATTGTGATCACTTTAAATATCACTTATTTGGAGTTCTTCATGGTGGTTCACTGAATTCTCTTGTTGGAAGCATTTGCCAGCACATACACAAAGAGTTGGGTAGCTTGGGCATAGAGAAGGCCTATGTGGTGGGTTCCAGCTGCCTTCCAACTTTCCAGGCTATGCCCAGATTTATTTTCTGTCACCTTCATTCTCTCTCCATAGACACTGTAAATGCAGAGCAAGCTGCTACACACAGCCTTCGTCTTCTACTCATACACACAGGAGAGTCTTTTGGATGGGAAATGTAGGCTAGTAGATCAGTTATGTTTTTCTCTAAATGCTAGGGAGACTTCATGCTTATGAAAGCTGTTGTAGGGGTAATGACTGCCACAGGACACTTCTACCATCCTGTCATGACACCTTTCTTAGCTCTTTCTGGGCTGGTAATTAGGAAAAGAGCCCAAGCATAGTCAGGCTTCTTGACTATGAAAAAAAAAAAAAGTTACCAAAATTGAAAAAAGAATAAATAGTTACCAAAATTGACCTGGTGATCTTTTAAAAATTAGGTATCTAGGCTTATGTGGTGGAGTATATTCCAAGGGATATACTTAAAGTCCTTCCTTTCTCTTGAGAACTTTTCTGAGATTTGGATACTACCTTCGTGATAGTCTTCACATACTTCTGGGATTAAAACCAAGTGATCAGAGACTAGAAAGGAACAAGCTTCAGTCAAAAATGTATTTAAGCAAAATTTGATTTTAAGTTACATTGTCAAAACCTCATCTGTGGAAAGAAATCTTTTTTAGGATACTCTGCATCTCTTCATATCATTGGCACACAGCTAGACATGACTCTGGAAATATGTAATTTCAAGCATTGGTGAGGCAAGCTGAGGTTAAGGGGGTTTTCCCTCCTCCGGGCAGCTAAGGGATCATCATATGATTTTCCCCACAAGGCAGAGATACTGGGCAGTCCTGGCAGGCCCAGGGTGGGGCTGTGAGCCTGCCTTTGAAGTACTGAGTGCTGTAGCCGAAAGTAAGGACTGGTTCATAGGCAGAGCAGTCCTTTTGCATAATCTGCCCCCTCTTCCACCCATTCTCTTCCTGAGAAAAGAGCTTTTGCACAGGTGGCCACTCCCAGGGTTGTGGGCTGTTAGCAACTTGCATTTCCCCCTTAATATGCCCCAATATACTGTCAAGAGTAGGTTTGCAGTCCCTGGGCAAAGTGATAGGACTGTACCTGCAGGTCCTATTGGATCAACAGGAAAAGTGTGCAGGAGTGTTTTACATTGTGGTCAGCCTGTCTTGGGAAACAGTGACTGTGTTAAGAAGTCCTTAGGAGTCTTTTTCAAACCCTGGGCACATCTCTACCTGCAGCTAGTCCACCCATCATCTGTGAGAGTGTTTTACTTGAATTGTAGCAGTCCCTCAGCTCTCACAGTGCTGGTGTGACCAAGTTACAAGAAATTGCAACTTCATCTTCTTGACCCATGAACACGTGGAGATATAAGAAGGAAGGAAATCATGTCAGTAACTGTGACCATGATAGCATGATAAGTCTGAGAAATTAAATGGAAAAATTAGAAGTATTCATAAACTGTGATCCTTATTTTAAAACTATCCAGCATTTGGCAGAAACTATCAAACACTCATTTGGAAAGGTTTTTTTTTTTGGTCAGGATGGCCCAGATAGGTCCTTGTCAAAGCATACTGGCAGAGCTGTAAGGGAGAGTTCAGACAGGCTCTAGCCACACCAGTAGCTAACATATGATTTCTAAAAAGATCTTTTTGACATTCTACCATTGCTTTCCATGAGAGTGTACATACATATCACAGGGATGATGTGAGCATGAGATATTCTGCTCTGCCATAACTGAGGCCATGACTACACAGCCATTCAGTTCTGCTCATGACCCATGATAATGAGCAAGAGGCAACAGTGATACTGCTGGTGTTCTGGGAGCCAAACCAGGAAGTACCATCTTAGATTATAGAAGAACAAATAGATATGAGAAATTTAGCCATTTTTTAAAAAACTGAACATGTAACCTTTTGTTAGTTGATCACCATATTTCAGTGGATACTTTCTCTTTCCTTCCAAACTCATTTTATTAAAGTACAAAAGCTAATAATAACTCTATGGCACACTTTTAGTCCTTTTCTTGATTTTTTTTAAGAAGATGGGCAGGCACGACAAACAGGCCAGGTGTTCCAGGTAAACAAATGGATGTTAACATTGTTTTCTGTAACTCCTGTGTCAGAATTAGCTATAATAAAACTTTAAAGAAAACCGTTAGCCAAAAGAGTATAACCTGAAAGGAATGATTTAAAACCTCTAGGTCAGGCCAGGCACAGTGGCTCACACCTGTAATCCCAGCACTTTGGGAGGCCAAGGCAGGCAGATCACTTGAGGTCAGGAATTCAAGACCAACCTGGCCAACATGGTGAAACCCCATCTCTACTAAAAATACGAAAATTAGCCGGGGGTCGTGGTGGGCGCCTGTAATCCCAGCTACTCAGGAGTCTGAGGCAGGAGAATCGCTTGAACCTGGGAGGCGGAGGTTGCAGTGAGCCAAGATGGCGCCACTGCACTCCAGCCTGGATGACAGCGAGACCCCATCTCAAATAAAAAATTAAAATAAAATAAAACCTCTTGCTCGGTCAGGCACAGTGGCTCACGCCTATAATCCTAGCACTTTGGGAGGCCGAGGCAGGTGGATCACCTGAGGCCAGACGTTCAAGACCAGCCTGGCCAATATGGTGAGACCCCATCTCTAAAAAAAATGCAAAAATTAGCCGGGCATGGTGGCGTTCACCTGTAGTCTCAGATATTCAGGAGGCTGAGGCATGAGAATTGCTTAAACTCGGGAGGTAAAAGTTGCAGTGAGCCAAGATCATACCACTGCACTCCAGCCTGTGTGACAGAGCAGAATCTGTCTCAAAACCAAAACCAAACCAAAACAAAAAACCTCTTGCTCAAGAAGGGACCGTACCCTTCTTCAGACCATGTCTAAGCCAGCAGAGATGTGCTACCACTTGCCATGGCTCTCTTTCTTTGCTTTCCTGGAAAGTCTGTACCCTGTAGTCAGTGGAAATAAAGGGCTTTGTCGTGGTTTTTTGGGAAGTACAATGTTTTAACCTATTTTCTAAGACTTGAATTTCTAAGGTTATCATTGATTGTAGGTGATATGAGCCAAATTACATATTAAATGGTTTTCTGTCTTGTCATAAGAAGTCCATCTATGATTTATTATGTTGTTCTAATAGATGACTAAGTTTTTTTCCTAAAGCAGTGGTTGCCGAACCTCAGTGTGCCTCAGAATCACCTGCAAGGCCCATAAAACACAGATTTCTGGGCCCACCCCAAGAGTTTCTAACTTAGTAGGACTGTGGTGGGACCTGGCAATTTGCATCTCTCACAAGCTCTCAAGTGATGGTGATGCTGCTGGTCTGGAACCTCCTTTGAGAACCATGTCATAGAGAGTACTCTGCTTATGGATGTTTTTCTCCTTCTTGATTCCCTTTACTCAATTACTGCTCCCCTTTGGACATATCTATTAGAAGGCAGCTATATAGGCATAGCATCCTTTTAGAGGACCCTCTGACTCTTCCCCTTGTGCTCAGAAACACACTCTGTCCTTTTCTTTGACTCCTGACAAAAATGTGCATGTTTCATCACTGACCTTCAAGTGATGTTTCTTTCTTTTCGTGTTTGTCTTAATTGTTCTTGTTTTTCTCTGTGCTGTCCCTTCATTTTCGCCCCTTTCTTTCTGACGCAGAGATGAAGATAGTTGGGTGTAAGTTCTGTCTTTTGTGTGCTCTGTCTGCTTATTGCCTGCTTTGTTCTCATCTTCATTTGTTTCATGGAATGTTGCAATACTGGGGTGGGGTATCATGTACATATTAATAATCCTCATCAGCCTCACCTTCTTGGGTAACTGACAAGACATAAAAAGAAAAGCTACCAGCCCATCCTATAACACTGTGTATTACTTTTGAGTATTCACTAAGATCTGAAGAAACTGGAGACATATTGGAATGTCTAGAAAATCTTAACAAGCTTAAGGTGTATAGATACAGGAAACTATTTTTGTATGAGACTGATCAGTTGCATTCATTGAAAAGAAAAGGAATCGTGCTTACTCCAAGCCAAAAGAATCAGAAAGGTGGAAAGCTTCTCTTTTTGGCTTTGTGGGACATACTTCACATGAAAAGGCAAACCAACAGAGATATGGTTTTTGGAAGAAAGCTTTCCTCAAGGGGAGCAATGACATTATTTACCACAAGTGGGTTCATAGCGCTGGTCAATCTGAGTGTCAAATGAGGCTATGGCAGTGTATCTAAGGGATGGTTTAAGAATAATCACATCTAGTCTCAAAAGAGGTTGGAAGATCATCACATCCCTGACTCAAGAAAGGACAAACTATCTATAGTGATGTCACACTATGCCCATACCTCTCATCCTGTTAGAGCAAAGAGCATCACTGACTTTGTTGCAATGGAAACCAGAAGTGTGACACCAAAGACATGGTAAGAAGAAGAAAGAATCCTTCTTTCCTGGGTACTCTAAAGAAGTCCTCTCAAGAGCCTTTTTTTTTCTTTTGGTCTCTTCCTCAAGTAAATAAGAACTACTCCATTGGTTGCATACCTAAAACCATCCAAGTTGAATGGTAGCTAACATCTCTACATTTCCATGTATGCTGTTAGGAGACATCCTTCTATTCTTCCAACACATAGGCTTGGCATCATCCCAATTGTACTGAAAGAAAGTCAGTTCTCATCTTACATGATCTTAAGGAAGAGAAAGCACATCTGTAGAAACCCCTCCTAATCCTATCTAGAAGTAGACAAGGTATAAATAATATAGTATTAAATATTATTGGGCAGGGTGCGGTGGCTCACGTGTGTAATCCCAGCACTTTGGGAGGCCAAGGCAGGCAGATCACCTGAGGTCAGGAGTTCCAGACCAGCCTGGCCAACATGGTGAAACCCCATCTCTACTAAAAATACAAAAATTAGCTCGGCATGGTGGCAGGAGCCTTTAATCCCAGCTACTCAGGAGGCTGAGGCTGGAGAATCGCTTGAACCCGGTAGGTGGAGGTTGCAGTGAGCCGAGATTGTGCCGCTGTACTCCAGCCTTGGCAACAGAGCAAGACTCCATCTCAAAAAAAAAAAAAAATATATATATATATATATGTGTGTGTGTGTGTGTGTGTGTATATATATATATATATATATATAAAATACTTGAACCCAGAGCCTCCTAATATGAAGTGTGAGTAATTTATACAGAAGGAATGTGAATATAATAAAGAACTCATATCAGATTTTGACTGGCCAAACTTGTTTGGGCCTTCGCACATTATTTCTGCTGGGATGGAATTCCACATGGGCTAGCACTAATGAAACATTTGGCCCCAAATTCCAAGTAGTACTGGAGTATCTGGCAAGAGATTCTCTTGCTAACAAATGTTCTGGTGCCTGAGCTGGACTTCAGAGGTTGGGAGACCTCTGAGACTACTCTCAGAAGAAATCTGCAAACACATCATGAACTGTTTCTCCAGAGTCACTAGGATACAGGTCTTCAGAGGGTCAGACCTGTCACTGGTCTGTGACAGTGCTCCCTATCTATCCCGTTAAGATTTCTGGTGGCTGAACAGCACTGTTTACTTTTAAGATCGCTCACTCCATAAGCACCTCTGAGTATTCCAGGCCAATCCCTGTCATAATAACATAGCCCCAGGTTCATTACCTTGCTTTCTCCCAGTAGCTGTTTGTCTAGGTGCACAGGAATCTGTATTTTTGATGTGCAGTTGCAGTGTAGTGTGGCTGTTCTTCACACATAAACGTTCCCAGCCAGGTATCAGTAAACTATAGCCTATGGGCCAAATCCAGCCAACAGCCTATTTTTGTACTTCTTGCCAGTGAAGAATGTTTTTCTTTTACATTTTAAAAGTGTTGTAAAAACAAAGAACAACTGCCAGAGACATATGTGGCTGACAAAACCTAAAATATTTACTATTTAGTCTTTTACAGAAAAGGTTTGTCAACTCCAATAAACCTAAGTGCCCAGTTTTCTGAGTGCAGCTGTACCAACAGATCCTGTGAGACTGTAAAAGGGACAGATACTTTATTCCGAGACCCTCTTATAAAAAAAAACTCAAATCGTTCCACTTCATTCAAGAAATTCTGTTGGATGTCACCCAGGCACTAAGCACTCAATGTAAGGCATTACTGATGCTGTAAGATGCCCTGCCAACCTTAGGAAGCAGAGGGCACTTAACAAAGGGAGTCAGGGCTGCCCAAGGTCCTTCCTAAAGGAGAGACCCGTCATCAGGGCTACCCTCAGAAATACCTACTCCTACTTCTTGTAGAAAAGACTCACCCTCTCAGCACATCTGCATGCTGCCTAAGAGCTGCCCAGTCCCCTACTCCTACCCAAACTCCATCAACGTCCTCCCAGCAGACCTCCATATTCTGGTTTCCTAGTGTTAAATAATGAAGAACATCAGAATCACTTGGTGATTTTTTAAAAAATATATGTACACAAGACCCACTGGAATTTCAAGGTGTGAGTGCTAGAAATCTGTTTTCAACAAGTTCCCCAGGTGGTTCGAATACAATCATCC